>NC_000003.12:158857089-159160119 GCF_000001405.40 Homo sapiens
ATTCTTTCAAATAAATTTTCCAAACTTTTTGCTTTCTCTTCTCCCTCAGGAACACCAATTATTCTTAGGTCTGGCCTTTTTACAAAGTCCCGTATTTCTTGGAGACTTCATTCATGTCTTTTGTCTTTATTTTCATCTGATTGGGTTAATTTGAAGGCCTTGTCTTTGAGCTCTGACATTCTTTCCTCTACTTGTTCTAGTCTGTTGTTAACACTTTCTGCTGCATTTTGTAATTCCCTAAATATGTTTTTCATTTCCAGAAGTTCTGATTGATTTATCTGTAAAATGTCTGTCCTTTTAGAAAATTTTTCATTCATATCTTGAATTGTTTTAAAAATTTCTTTAGGTTGGTTTTCACATTTCTCTGATAACTCCTTGAGTAGCTTAATAATTAACCTTTTGAATTCTTCATCTGGTATTTCAAAGACTTCATTTTGTTTTGGATCCATTGCTGGAGAGCTGGTGTGATCTTCTGTGGGTGTTATAGAACACTGTTTTGTCATCGTAACAGAATCATTGTTCTAGTTCCTTCTCATTTGGGTAGACTATTTCTTCTAATTATTATAAATTTATTTTTGATTTTACTTTTTTTTAAATTTCCTTTTTTCCCTCTTAAGGATGCGACTTTAATGTTTATAGTTTATTGTAGCCTAATTTGGCTTTTCGTGCTTTCATTGGTGAAGACTTTGTACGCATTCCTTGATTATAGATGTAGGCTGGCTTTCTCAGATGCCGGTTGTAGTAGCAATGTGCTCGGTGTGTGAGCAAGTTCATTGTCTCCTGTGTGGTTGGAATGGCAGAGGTCTCTTGAAGCTTATCTTATCCCTCTGTGGTGGGCACGTATTTATGTTTTTTTCCCAGTATTTTACTTACTGTTTTTATTTACTGGGTTGAATAGTTCAGGCTTCAGACCAGTAGGGGAGGTGTTCCTGGGTAGAAACCTGTTGTGGCTAAAGTAGGTGAGTGAATGCAATACTCAATGGTGGGCAGAGGTCCTAGCCTTGACACAGGTGACTGGGGGAGCTCTTAGTGAAACACACTGAGGTCTTATCATGGGGAAGGGTGGGAAACACCTCAGATCCCCTGCCAGTCCAGTAGGAAAGCAATCTACCTTTCAGACACACTCCTGTCCCAGTGTTTTTGCTATTCAGAGCAAACAGACACCTCTTTTCATTTGTGGTAATGTTGATGTTCCAAGTAGAGAGAAGTTGTGACTCTAACTGTCATGCAAGCTCCACCTGTGGAACACCCTGAAGTGTTCCAGGAAGGCTGTCTATAGCCACACCCACACCAAACTCCCATGGGAGAAGCCCTAGCTATGTCTGCAGTGGTGGATGAGGGGGAAAGAAGTCCCCTTCTCCAAGACCCTTCATGAGCCCCAGGGTTGCCTGACTGTTAGGGTAGAGCTGTAGACTTTCTCCACTGAGCCCAGCACTGCAACTGTGCCTCTGATGAAAGAAACTTCCCAGTAGCAGACAGATCTGAGACTCAAGGCCTGCTGTCCAGATTTTTTTGTCCCATGGGGTGTTCCCTTGTTGTGGCACACTCCCTCTTCCCCTAGGAGTAGGAGTCCCTGAGAGTCACATTACTGTGAATGCTGCTGCTCCTCTGGGTCTAGCCGCCCAGTGGGGCTGCCTCACTCCAGGCTGGTGCTGGGGAATGCAAGGGATCTTGTGGTGTGACCTGCCCTCAAGTCTCCCAGTAGTGGGTACCAGCACCAGGTCTGATGGGGGTGGCAGGGGAGTGACATAGACTCTGTGAGAGTCCTTGGTTATAAATAGCCTCAGTGCATTGGTTTTCTCAAGCGCCAGTTGTAGCAGTAATGAACGGATCATCTGAGCAGTATCAGGACCTCCTGATTATCCAGGGTGTTGCAGGCAGTGGTCATAGCTGAGGTCACACACAAGTTTTCTCCTTCCTGGGTGCAGGGTTATTCTACCTGCAGATACTCTCATGAACTGTGTCTGTTAGCCTCCAGCCAGGAGGTGGCACTTGAAAAAGAGCACCAGCTGTGGTAGCAGCAGTAGGATTTGTGTTTGCCTTATGTTACCCAGGGGAGGTATTCTAGTGTCTCAGGTGATGGATGGGGCTATAATGCTCCCAAATGTTTTTGTCCTTTGTATTAAGCTACTAGGATGGGTGGAAGGGCAAAGCCAGGTGGGGACTGGGTCAGGCAGGTCTGTCCTCTGGTTCCCCATGTGCAGGTCAAGCAGCAGCCCATGGCGGGGTTAGGAGGGTGGTTCTCTGGTCACTAGGGGTAATGTTACAGGAAGGAGCATAGTTGCCTCTGCTGCACAGAAGAGCTTGTGCAGGGAGTGGGGAGTAGCAGCAGCAGTAAGCTCATCCAACTCCACGCACTTGGGAAGGCAGGTCTCTCACTTGTAGTGTTCCACTAGTAGCAGCTAGCTAAGTTCCAAGTAGTCTACACTCAAAACTCGAAAGTGCCCTAGGCCATAAGCCTTCCAGGGGAGATAGCAACTGAAAGTTTCAGGCCATGCCCATGCCCCTCCCAGTCTGTCTGCAAAGCTGGGGCACCCAGCTCCTGCACTCATGGCTGTAGCACACTTCCCACTTGCCCCCTGGTTCTGGCCAAGGGAGTTTGTCCCCACTTGAGATTATATTGTGAATTTTAATTGGGAGCTTCTCTCAACCTGTGACTGCCGCCTGAGTTAGCTAGCAGACTTCTGTGAGGTCCTCTGTGTTTAGAATCAGAAATGGCTTCCCGCAGTCCATGCTGGAGACTGGAGATGCCCACAAGGCTCTTCCCACTGCTGTTCCTACTTTTATATTATCTACTGCTCCCTAAATCAGTACTGGGTAGGCTTAAGGCCTTCTTCCCCTGTGGATTGCATTGCCAGGTTCCTCAGTGGGGGTGTGTATCCTGTAGGCAGTTTTCCCCTTTTTCACACTCTGGGGACTTATAGCTTTGCCTGAAGCCTGCCTTGTGTTTCAAAGGGTCTGTGTTTTTTTTTTCAGTTTTCCTGTGAAGTTCCTTCATTGCTTCTTTGAATAAAGTTCACAATGTGAATCCCTACACACTATTTTGTCTTTCCAAGTGGGAAAGGCATGCTAACACTTAGTTCTAGGTTTGGGCAACTCCTTTGGGGGTTGAGACGTCTCTGAGGCCCTACATGTAGGACACCAATTATTGTTGATGAAAAGAGTCAAACTCTGCCGCTCTCTGTACCATGTGCTGCTCCATGCCCAAGGACTCTGAGGTGGCATTGTCTACAATGACCCCACGGAGCATGAGGGCACAGGCCTGGGCCTTCTTGATGGGGGTGACAACCTTGGCATCTCCAGGCTCCCCATGGGAATGTGACCCCCACATCCAGCTTGGGCACCAGTGGGAGGAAGGCATGCCTCTTGAGTCTGTGGGAGGAGGTGGGCACTTTACTTAGGCTGACAGGCATGCAAGTGGAAGTGGCATGGCTACTGCTCCTCTACTTCTCTGACTCCCAGCTGCCCCCACCTCTCCACCCAGGGCTCTCTGCATGCCTGACACCACCGCCTCCTTCCAACCATGGTCCTGGTCCCCTCTTCCCTCCCTGGCTGCTGTAGAGCCCTCCAGGCAGTGGTGGCAAACTTTACATAGAAGGAAGCTGCTAGCAAGCCTGCTGGGTGCCCAAGCCCCTCCACAGCCTGCCCTGTGTGCCACCTACCCAGTCCTTGCATCCTGATGCCCACGAGTGTACCTGTGCAACCCAGTAGGACTGCACAGTGACAGCTAGCTTTCCAGCATTTTAGACAGTCTGTTTCCCTATAGTTTACTCCCTGGCTCTGATTTGGTCTTGGTTATTCTGATGCTGAGTTTGGTCTTACGACCCCAATCACAAGTTCATTTTCCTAAAAGCCTATCTGTTCCCTAAATATGTAATGCTCTTTCATGCCCAGAGTCTATGCAATTTCTGTCCCCACTGCTTGGAACATACTTTTTCCAGCTCTTTCTCTGCATGGCAGAATTCTTCTTATCCTTCAGATCTTAGCTAAAATGTCATGTTCTGGGAGAGCTTTTTACTATCTAAAAAACAATTTGTGCTATAATTTCTTACTAATGAAACTTCTTCACTTTACATTTTTCACAAAATCTATGTTTATCTATTATTTTGCTTGATTTTTATCTGTCTCACCCACTAAAATATAAATCGAGGTCAGGGACCCTATCTGTCTTATTCTGTATGTCCTTGGGCCTAATGGTACCTTGCACATGTAGGCACTTAGCTGAATGAGAGATTGTCCTGTTTACCATCTAGGAAGGGAGGGAGACAAGTGGCTTGCTCTGCTGAGAGTACTGCTATCTCTCCCACCCAGCAGGATGGACTTTATTGCTGGATTTATGCAGACAATGACCACTGGCCTCTGAGGCAGTGATTGTTGGTGACTACCATCATGGATGGGCATAGAGAGAAATAGCTTGAGCCTTCAGCCCTCAAGGTCTTGGCTTTTGGTGTGTTCGGCTTCTCTATTGCTCCAACTCTCTAGCTTCCTTTCAAGAAGCAAGGTATATCTATGAGCAGATGTTGAGACAGAACATCTCAATTTCATGTTCACAGATCTTGATTCCTTTGAAATGAGATGTGTGTTCTTGAGGAGGATAAGGGAAAAGCATCTATTAGTGATCTTGCAGCCAACTTTTCACACAATGGTTAGAAGGAAAGTTCTGTATGATGTGGAAGTTAAGACATCAAATAAAAAAATGAGTGAATTATGGCTTGTCTTTGTCTTAAAAAACACTGTGTTGGATTGGTCTCTTTACTCACAATTTTATAGGAGTTGTTTTGTGATGACTGATCAAGTATTTTTGTTGTTATTGCAGTTCATTGGGAATTATAGAAGTCAGCTTTTACTAGGTATTGCTGTAATAACAAAGAACCCTAAAATCTTAATGGCTCACAACAGCAAAGGTTTCTTTCTCATTTACAATATGTCACCTGTGAGTCAGTCTCAGCTCTTTTCCATCTTTATCCTGGGATCCAGGCTGAAGGAACAGTCCCTATTTGGGACATACTAATTTTATAGCAGAGGGAGAAAAGAGAGATAAAGGAAACATAAATGACTTTAAAAGCTTTTGCTTATAAGTGACATGCTTCAATTCCACTCACATCATTGGCCAAAGCAAGTCACATCATCAAACCTGACATCAATGGGGCAGTGTAATCTTCTTACACAGAGGCAGAGCACATGATTGAGAATGTTAATATAATCTTCCACAGGACCTTTCTAATGAAGACCCAAGGTACAGCTGCTGAAAAATTTTGGCAACTTTTTTTTTTTTTGAGATGGATTTCACTCTTGTTGCCCAGGCTGGAGTGCAATGGCGTGATCTTGGCTCACCGCAACCTCCGCCTCCTGGGTTCAAGCCATTCTCCTGCCTCAGCCTCCCGGGTAGCTGGGGTTACAGGCATGCGCCACCACACCCGGCTAAGTTTGTATTTTTAGTAGAGATGGGGTTTCTCTATGTTGGTCAGGCTGGTCTTGAACTCCTGACCTCAGGTGATCCATCCACCTCGGCCTCCCAAAGTGCTGGGATTACAAGCATGAGCCATCACGCCCGGCCTGGCAACTTCTAATGCATAAAAATTAAAGAAATAAAGAATGAATATCTTTAATTATGATGTATTGGCTTTATGCATAAACCACATAATGCAGGACAAAGAGCATGAAATGGAGAATTTGGAGTCTTCGTATGCCAAAATAGTTCGCTGTGTGAGCTGGGTCAAGACATTTATTATAGCTAGGCTCCCATTTCTGCAAAACAAGTAGCTTAAATGAGATGATCTCCAAGTTGCTTACAAATCGAAGATGTCTTTGTTCCTCTGATTCTAAGTGCTTGCTGTGCTGGTGAGTCTGAGTGACAGTAGTGACAATGTTGAGGGCTCAATTTGCAGAGCCTCTTAGGGCTGTTAGAAGGTTTGTAGGCAGGGAGTGAGATCTAAGACTTTTACCCTTAGTTGACATTGGATGGGATGGATCCTGTACTTAATTTCTTCCCACTGAAGCCTTGCCACTTGCTCAAGTGGGGCTGCTGTTCAGTTTAGAAGGGTTTTTCATTCTCAGTTCTCTTAGCCAAAGAGCAAGTTCTGACAAGGTAGCTGTTTGAGTATTGTCAATCAGTGATAATTTTAAAAAGCAGCGGTAAGATGTGAATGAAAACCTTGACTTCAGCCTGGCCCTAAATTGTTAGTTTTTGAAAAGATTTTTTTTTTAAATTAGACTTTGAAAATCTCATCCATCTGCAGCTAATTCTGTATAACTCTTGATGCTGGATGAGCCTCAGGGGTTTGGGAAACTTGTTCAGTGAGATGCTAACCTGAACCTGTCAAGATTTTCTTTTCTCAGTACGTCTATTCTCATTTTCCCTTGCTATTTAGGTCTACTTGACATGTATCTTAAATTAGAAACACTCAGCTCTTTCAACCAGATTTTCAGCTTACATCAGACCCTGCAGAACTTCAGCCACTAAATAAAAAACTGGACCAACTTCTGGTAGACTTCTACATGCCCATTTTTCTTCATCGCAACTTAAATGATTTCATATACAATCATGTACTGCATAATGATGTTTTGATTAATGACAGACGGCATCTGTGACAGTGGTGCCATAAGATTACAATGGAGCTGAAAAATCACTGTCTCCTAGTGATGTCTTGATGTTCCTGATCCTGTGTAGGCCTAGGCTAATGTGTGTGTTTTTGCTGTAGCTTTTAACAAAAATGTTTTAAAAATTAAAAAACAAACAAAAAAATGGGCCAGGCATGGTGGCCCATGACTGTAATCCCAGCACTTTGGGAGGCTGAGATGGGTGGATCTCTTGAGTCCAGGAGTTCAAGACCAGCCTGGGCAACATGGCGAAACCCTGTCTCTACAAAAAATAAAAAAATTATCCAGGCATGTTGGTGTGCCTCTGTAGTCCCAGCTACTCGGGAGACTGAGGTGTGAGGATTGCTTGAGCCTGGGAGGCAGAGGTTGCAGTGAGCCGAGATCATGCCACTGTATACCAGCCTGGGCCACAGAGCAAGACTCTGACTCAAAAAAAAAAAAAAAAAAAAAAAAAAAAAGAGACACTTATAGAATGATGACATAAAGGAAGAAAATGGTTTTGCACAGCTGAAGAGTGTTGTTTGTGTTTTAAGCTGTGTTATGAAAGTCACAAAATTTAAAACATTTAAAAGTTTATAAAGTAAAAAGTTACAGTAAAGCTAAGGTTAATTTATCATTACAGAAAAAAAATTTAAAAATGAATATAAAAATAAATAAATAAATACATAGTGTAGCCTAAGTGTATGGTATTTATAAAGTCTACAATAGTGTACAGTTATGTCCTGGGTTTTTATATTCACTCACCACTCACTCACTGACCCACCCAGAGCAACTTCCAGTCCTGCAAGCTCCAGTTGTAGTAACAGCCCTAAACAGGTGTACCATATTTTATCTTTTATTCTGTATTTTTAATAGACCTTTTTAATGTTTAGATATGGTTAGATACACAAACTTACCACTGTGTTACAATTGTCTACAGTATTTGGTACAGTAACATGCTGTACAGGTTTTCAGCTCAGGAGCAATAGGATATTACGTGTAGCCTAGATGTGGAGTAGGCTACATGGAATACCGTTTGAGTTTGTGTAAGTATACTCTATGATGTTTGCACAATGACACAATCGCCTAACGATGTGTTTCTTAGAACGTATTCCTGTCATTAAGTGACATATGTCTGTATTCTCAAATATGTGTCCTGAAAGTGCTGCTATTCTCTGTGACGTGAAAATATCATTGTCATTGTTATCATGATTAGCAATTAGAATATTAATTTAATTTAATAGACTACTTTCCTCCAATGTGTTAAAACATTTTACATAAATATTATCCCTTGGGGAAGCTCTCACACTTGTGCATCAGGAGATAGGTGAACAAAAGGGTATTTATTGCAGTATTGTTTGTAATCAGAGAAAAGGTGGGGGATACCTTAATATTCACCAATAGGAGACTTGATAAATATATTGTGCTATAACCATACAATATTGATACAGCATTTAAATGAAATGAAATAGAACTACATATATTAATATGAATATATCTCAAAAACAGGTTGAGTGAAAAAAGCAAGTTGCAGAATTATACATACAATATGAAACCAATGACATACCACATAAAAACATAAAGACTACGTGTTAACATATAGATACACCCATTTATAATAAAAATAAAAATAAAATATGCAAGAAGGATACACAAGAATTTTGGTATAATGGTTACCTCTAGGGAAGGAGGGGAAAAATGCACAGGAAATCAATTGATGTCTGTAATGTTTTATTTCTCAAAAAAAGAAGAGAAAGGAAAAAGAAATATGGTAAATGTTAATCTCGGCTAAATCTTGGTGGTGGGCATGAGGGTATTTGTTATTGTTGCTTCATGATTTTTGGCATATGGGAAATCTTTAATAATGAAACAGTCAATTTCTCTTCCCCATTACCCCACTTTTTCTCATAACCTCAGAGAGATAAAGTAGTATTGCATGTGAAAAACAACCTGTCAGACTGGTTTTCTTCATGTGGTTTTGAGGTGACCCCTTCTTTCTTTTTAATTAAAAAACATCACCTCAAATTCAGATTTGAGTAGGTTTCAAAAAAGATCTGGACTCTAAGGGCCTTTCATTTATAATGACTTTTTTTCAGAATTTCTGAGTCCCTTTCCCTGCTCCAGCCGCCTCCATTCTTAAAACCCTCTGTGGGCTTCCTGTTGTTGTCAGGATAAAAACCCCAGGCTGCTCTGAGGCCTGCAGCCCTGAAGCATCCAGCCCCAGCCTCCTCCTCTGACTGTTGGACTTTTTCTACCACATTCATAGTTCTTTCCGTGGAGGCAGGAAGGAGGGGAGTTAGGGTCTTCACAGGTTGGTGGCCTCTGCCAGGCTTGCTGTCACCCCTAGTCCCTCTTCAGCTCTAAGCTCTAGGTGACTCTTCCAGGACGTCTGTGTTGGTCCAACTCTCTGCTGGCTCCCAGTGTCAGGCATGGTTCCTAGGACATATGATCAATATGTATTTGTTAACTCTCACTAACTAACCTGAAATTAGAATTATACAGATTAAATAGAACCAGATGACACTTTAACACCCACCATCCCTTTTATGAATGGTGATATGTTTATTTATCCTTGCTCTATTTTTGCTATACATGACAATGATAGGTATAAAGTTAACTACCTTATCCAATTCATAGAAATTTCTACTATGTGTCTTTGGACATATCTAAATTTAATATTACTTCATTTCAGTGGATCCTAATGTAAAGAGCCTATTGCCTCATGAATTAAGTAGTATTAGTTATTTTTAAGTAAGTTATCTGTAAAATAGATGGTCTGTTCTCCAGGTCAGGAGCATGCATTGATAACAGAAATTCCCAAGAATTTTCACTGAGTTTAATGTCAGTATTGGCAAGCACTGCATGGGAAGGAAATCACAGCAACACATTCTGATAAAGTAGAAGCCTGTCTGAAGCAGGCTTGTATTAAACCAAGGAGTTTAAAATTAAGTATAATTTTTTGATAGTTTCATTGTACCAGGCAGCTTCTTGGAATGGATTCATAGGGTGGCATTAGAATCAGAATCTTCTGGCCGGGCATGGTAGCTCATGCCTGTAATCCCAACATTTTGGGAGGCTGAGGCGGGAGAATCAACTGAGGTCAGGAGTTCGAGACCAGCCTGGCCAACATGGTGAAACCCCGTCTCTACCAAAAATACAAAAATTAGCTGGGTATAGTGGTGCATGCCTGTAGTCCCAGCTACTCAGGAGGCTGAGGCATGAGTATCACTTCAACCCAGGAGGTGTAGGTTGCAGTGAGCCAAGATCGCACCACCACACTTTAGCCTGGGTTTAGGAGTGAGGCTCTGTCTCAAAAAAAAAAAAAAAAAAAAGGGAAAAAAGAAAGAAAAGAATCAGAATCTTCTGAGCTTAATAATGCAAGTGAAAATTTATGTAGTGTCTCTCTTGCTTTTTGTATGAGAGGTTGAAAGCCTGCACATCTTAATAAGGTATACCTAATAACATGTTAATAACTCACATATTGTCCGCTTTGGACTACAGACCTTAAATGAAAGGGCCTTCATAAATTATACATGTCTGACAAATAGGTGATACATTTTTCAAATCACATAAGCTCTTCAGAATCAAGTCTGCTTTGTGGAGATAATTAAAGAAAATCAATGTGTTTTGGTTGATAGATATTTGACTAGAAAACACATTCTCCCCTCAACTCAGACAATGGGGCGCCTAAGCTTCAAGACCAGTGTTCTCTGAAGACAGAGTGAGGGATGGGATTGGAAGGCTCAAGTGTTCTGGGTGCAGGACTTATGACTCCAGACACCAGGTTCTCCCTGTGGTACCGGTCCTGACCCTAACTTCCCACTGAGCTGAGGGCAATTGAGTTGAACTCCTGATCTCTGTCTCTTTCCCTGGGTCAAGGAATATGATTCTTTTTGTCTCACTGGGACCACGAGAGGCTTAATTCATCAATGTTGGTAAAGTGCTAGGAAGATGAGAAGTGCTGTGCCCATTCTAAGCAACATTATTGATTCACTTTTTCCTTGTGGTTAATATAAAGTTCTCCACATATCAGATAATGGCTCAGCGTTGCATAAACAGCCAAGAATCGCTAGTGGGAGAGATGTGGCCTGTGTTTTCTCTTAGGAATATTGATGTCTGTAAAATGCCTTCAGTTTCTCTGAAAAAACATTATTACATGATTTAAGCTGATTATATTATTGTTGTATTTTTATCTGCATATCAGAGTCTTTTTTTATTTGTTTGTATTGTTTTGTTTTTCAGTAATGATCTGAAATAATGTTGAGCCCAGTAAATATTTTATGTTAAGGAAGGCCTAGATTGGTAAAAATTTTGCTTATCTATTTTGGGTTGCCCTGTCCACTAAATAATAGGGGGATACACACACACACACACACACACACACACACACACACACACACACAGAAAACTCTGTGTGTATTTAACATATGTATATAGTGTGTATGTATATGTATACATAATGCTAATGTGCATTACCCATAATTCATAATCTTGTTCATTAAATCACAGGATGTGTGTGTATATGCATATATATGTGCACATAGATACATACACGTATAAAAACATATATCATGTTAATATGCTTACTTATGTATTTACCATTATTCTGAAATAACATGATAAGTAACTGTTAATTATGGCATTTAGCTAATTCACCATTCTTGGAAAGATTTTAGGAATTGCATTCCTGAAATTGCTTTCAACAGGAATTTTATAAGCATATATAGAATCTCAACCAGTTACTTTATTGTTATACTTGAAAAAAACTTGAATTGGAATAATACAGCTTGATCATCTACCTTATAGTTCATCAGACTTGGTTCTGGATCACTTCTTCCTGTTTCCAAATTCTAAACATCCTCAGGAAATGGAGAATTCAACACCACTAGTTATCATAAAAATGGATGTTCAGTGGACTGTCGCAATGAAGGTGAAAATTCCCTTTTGAGTATGTAAAGGTCTAGTTTGTTAAAATGAGCAAACAAACCTGTTTCTAACAGTATTATGGTGATGACTTTTTTAAAGTTCTTATCTTCCCATGGTACCTATTGGAAAAATAAGTCAGTTCCATTGTCCTTTGGTTTCCATGTTTCTGCTAGATGGGATTGCTATGCCAACACGCCCCATGTGTGGAACTGTGTCTCAGTTCCCCCTCTCAGCTCTGCTCAGGTGTCCTCCTTGCACTTTCCTCCCTCCAGTCCCTTGGGCCAGTGGCTCTGTCACTCAGGTGTACAGGCAGCTGACATGGGTGGTAGAAGCAGGGATTATTCTGTAGAGTCACACTATTTTTGTGTAGCTTAGCCATGAAAATAGTCCACATATACGTTACCAAGTTTTTAAGAATTTGCTTGTTTCATTTGTTATTCATTCATTCTTTTCCTATATCATCTATTGGATGCTTAGTGTTTACTAGATGACATGAAACACATTAAAGAGAAGAAGATAGCTCTTTAGGAAGTTATAATCTAGTTGAGTCAAAGCAAATGCTCTATAGAGAAATGATTAATTAAATTATTATGGGCAGAGGCTGGTAGTTGTTCCTCAACATCTGTTCTCCTCATTTTCCTCAGTAACAGAATCCCCAGTTTTCAGCTGGTCACATGGCAGCCCAGAATAAAGCCACATCTCTCAGCCTCCCTTGCAGCTTGGTGTGCCAGTGCCGAAGCTTGGATGATGCTGTGGAGGAGTAAGTGTTCTGGGGCAGCTTCTGAGAACTTCCTTTAAGTGTCAGCTGCATCTCCTTTGGCCCTCCTTTTTCGTCTTCTTCTTGATCATGGGATATGTGGATGTAACTGCTGGAGTTCCTGTGACCATGTTGGACCATGCAGATGAGGGCCTTGCTTAGGAGTGGGGAGTGGAGTCTGGCAGGAGCTGGGACCCTGTGTTCACAGGGCTGCGTATTGCCCTGGACTTTTACATGAGAGAGCTGATGAACTGTGATCTGTCTGTTATTTTGGGTGTCGGACACTTCCAGCCAAATGTGATCCTGATAGGAACGTCCTACAAAGTGAGCACTTTAAGTATGGAGGGGACAATATACAGAGCAGTGATGAGAATGGAGAATGGCAATGAGGGAAGGCTTCCTGGAAGAATCTGCTATCCCAGCCCAAGCTCTTCTCTTATCTCTCATTATTTCTTCTGTCTTACTGTTTTGTGAACATGACGCTTTCTCTCTTCCTGACCTTTGCTCATGCTGTTCCTTCTGCAATGCTTTCTCTGGTTATCTTCCTGCTTGTCTAGTTAATTTTATAATTATATTAAATTATACAGTCCGCATAAGTACTTAACACGGCTAGTAAATCTGTGTAAACACCACGTACATTTTGCTGTTATGCTCCTTATCATGATTACTAGCCAGGTCAAATTTTGCCTCTTTTCCGAAACCTCTCTTGAACACTCTTCCTCTTTGGTACTGCAGTAGTACTGCCACTCAGTACCCTAACACCTGACACTTAAAATGTATTTCACTCACATCAGAACCCTGATATCTGGCACCTAGTGGTGCTCGGGAAATGTTTGCTGAATGCAACTGTGTTATACCAGTTCTGTTTAGGGGAAGTAACTCTGTGTTCTGTTTAGGGGAAGTAACTCTGGCTAGTTATTTGTGTAGCTACTACTCAAGAGGAATGGAGGGACAAGATCAGTGTGGCCCCCAAGCTTCCGTCTTCTTTGTCTCCTGGCTTCTTTGCCATTGTGTCACCTCCCCATCCTCAGGCTGTTATTCTTATGGCCACTTCTGTAAAGGAAGGTCATAGCAAAACAGCTTCAGCCTTGCCTTAGCTTGCCTCCTGAATCCTCAGCTTTGCCGACCTGAATTCTAATCACTGCTTTTTAGGGGTCAGAGGAATGGAGGCAAACAAACAGATCAGTATGGGGTTGGGAGGAGTCAAAGCTGTATTTGCAAGGTTACTCCATTTTGACAGCAACAGGACTGGTATTTGAAGGCAATTTTTTTTTTTTGAGACGGAGTCTTGCTCTCTTGCCCAGGCTGGAGTGCAGTGGTGCAATCTTGGCTCACTGCAAGCTCCGCCTCCCAGGTTCATGCCATTCTTCTGCCTCAGCCTCCCGAGTAGCTGGGACTACAGGCGTGTGCCACCAGGCCGGCTAATTTTTGTATTTTTTTTTTTTTTAGTAGAGACGGGGTTTCACCTTGTTAGTCAGGATGGTCTTGATCTCCTGACCTCGTGATCCGCCCACCTCGGCCTTCCAAAGTGCTGGGATTACAGGCGTGAGCCACCACGCCCAGCCTGAAGGCAACTTTTATACAGTATTATGCTATCCTTTGGTTTACATGTTTCTGCTAGATGGGATTGCTATGCCAACACACCCCATGTGTGGAACTGTGTCTCAGTTCCCACCCTCAGCTCTACTAAGGTGTCCCCCTTGCACTTTCCTCCCTCCAGTCCCTTGGGCTATTGGCACTGTCACTCAGGTGTCCAGGCAGCTGACATGGGTGGTAGAAGCAGGCATTATCCCGTTGTCTCAGTTGGGCTTATACAGGGACTCCTGCTTGGTCTTTGGGAGTTCAGATGCTAAAAAGTCCCCTGTCAAGAATAAGGAGGGCCTTGACACTGAAGGGATGAGGCAGATTTTGCTCCAGATGGTCTTTGGAAAAAGGAATTAGTACAGCCAGATTGGAAAGTTTTAGTGATTGAGAAAGAAGTACTGATTTTGATGAATCATTTCCACAGTCCCTGCCCTATTTCTTGGTCTTGTCTCTGTTTGGAGGACTGAGTGAAAGTGTCCATCCAGCTTCCTCCCATCGGTGCTAACAAACTGCACTGGCTGGATTTTGGTACCACATTCCCACGGTGGTATGTCTTAGGTCTCAGGCCAGCGTCCAAAGAGACCATATATTATTGTAATTGACTATTTTATTGAGACCCTTATAATCATACCTACTTTACCCAGTAAAGCAATTCTTGCTTTCTTATTCACAAGCTTTTTCCGGATAGTAGGTGATTACAATATGTCCCTCATCTAAGCCTCCACCTATGATTTCCAAACAGTAAAGTTCCTCAGCTGAATATTAGTTATCCCTCTTGTTTTTTTTAAAAGTGACATTAGGAAATGGCTAAACATTTTATTGCCTTCTTATTGTCATCTGCTTTTCCTCCACCCACCTCCTGGGTAGGTACAACAGAGCTTGCAGGGTGGCAGTGGTAGAATGGCATGTGGGCCATAGACTTGTTTCATTTGGCTTGTAGAGAACTTAACATTTTGAGGAGGGATTATTTCCTAGTTAATAAGTGGGAGATTTCAACTCACATAAAAACCTAGATTCCCAACTTTTAAAAAGTCAGTTTCCACTTGATGACAGTCAGCTACTACTGGGCAATGGTTGCCTCTCTTAACCAAGGCATTTTCTCACCAGTTCACCATCACTGGCCCACATTTGTCTAGCTTCTTCATTATCTGCTTAGCCCAGAGGGCATTTGGTTTGAGACCCTTGACACAGCCCCCTTCTCCAGCTCCCACACTTTTCAGTGTCTGCTTTGCTACTCCTGCTGTCTCAGATATTCCCTCCAATGGGCCTTTTCCTCACCAATCCCGGCTGTAACAAATCCTGTACAGCAGCCCTATGCACTCTTCCTGGGGAAGAGCTCTATGCTTTATTTCCCCACAGATTTAGTTGCAGTTGGGAAGCTGAGTGCTGACCTCCAGGTAAATATTGGAGATCTATGGGCAGATCCCAGCCTGTTGGCTGGAGGTGCTAGTTCTGGTGCCATGGACATATGGGTCTGACCCTGCAGTCTTTTGCCCTGCTCCTGAACTCCCAGTTTTGAGCTTGATTGCAGCCTACAATTAGGGGCAGAGCAGTATGGGGAGTTGTTTTTATCCTTTTGGAGAACTGTGGGCTTTCCCCATAATAAATGCTGTAATATAATGATAACCGCACAGTTGCTTTACAGTTTTTTCGTTAAGTTCCTTCTTATAAATCATTCCTTTACATGTCTCAATGACCTGATGAAGTAGGTGTTATTATGGCCCCTGTTTTGCAGATGAGCCCTAGAGGAGGCTCAGAGCACCTGCCCAAGATTTCATGGTCACAGCCCATCAGGGTCTCAGGCGCCCATGGTTTTTTATTTAAAAAAATTGTTTTAAGCTATCATACTGCTCACTGTGTGGCCTCAATTTTAGGCTTGAATGTTTCTCCAAATCTGTAAATGCCTATAGACACAACTTAGCACACAGGAGCATCAGGGTTACTAGTTACATTCACCCTATCACTGAATAGGCCATCAACAGAACCCAAAGAGAAAAAAATCCCCAGTACTGTTTATATGCCAGTGAATTTCTCAACCTAAACTCTCTGAATCCTGAGCTATAAATGTTAGAAATATATACATTTTTAGTAACAAAAATGGCTTTGGCATTTCTAAATATTCAGAAATTTGCAACCATTACCTTCTTTATTATATCTACACACCTTTATATTCTTAATTGTTTAAAATTCAAAATTGACAGATGTTAAAAAAGTTGGTTACATTTTAACTAATAATAATCATATGGGTTTGATATGCTGGCTATGTTTTTTAAATGTCCATGGAAATAAATATATAAGTACGAATTTTGTTTTAAAGATTTTCCATGTATTATCTAAAATTATGGTACATTTGTCACCCCTTGGGGAAATCCTGCTTCTGATGGAAAAAACCATGCAAATTGCAGCTCTTTATTTTTGTGTCACTGGTGAGCTTCCCTGGCTCAGTGTTGTGAGTGCATGATGTATAATGCGACAGGCATGGAACTGTAAATGAAAATAAAATTTCAGGGCCCTCTAAATTTATTATGCCAAGGGAAGTTACGCCCTGGAGACTGAACCACATAGTATACTTGCAATTCTGCTTCTTAGATTATAGATTAGCTCTCTTCTTTATTGTTCTAGTTCTAAAATGACTAGGAGAGACCAGAGACCAGGCCTTCTACCCCTTCTAATCACTGATCTTTGTTCTAGGTTAATTGCCTCTTTTATTGTCCTGTACCTAACTCAGACCATATGGTGCCCAAGAACCCATGATTGTACCCATCTTCATATGGAATGTTTAATATACCTCTCCTGAAAGAAAAAAAGACCACTTTGACTAATCAGATCATTGAAAGTATGCATTAAGCCTAACATAGAAGGGTGTCGAAATTCTGTTAAGCTTCCCTATACTTTATGTAAGCAATTGCAAACTTCTACACTTCACGACACTGACTTCCATTCTTTGGGATCTGTGCCTCCCAGGAGGCTCATCCTCAAACTTTGCATTTGAGTAAACTCTTTTAAAACTAGATTCTGACAATTTTGATCATTTTAGGTTGACAGAACAGATTCACTGGGGGGACCTGGCAATAGTGTGTTGCTGTCACTATCTATCTGTTGCGCCTTCCTAGGGTTTTGTGTGGTCATGAGCAGAGCTGGTGTTTTGGAAGATACTGAGTGTGCTGAGCACATGTGATGACCCATGTTCTTTGAGAGACAGTCCCTTATGGTGGTTCTTTCTCAAGGCTGGGGACTTGCATTCTTCACCAGGCTTTGTGGAGAATCAAAATTTATCCCTTGTTGAAAACCTCCACCTGTAAGAGCTTACAGTGGGAACTTTGAGACTTTTGAACTCAATTAAGCAAATTTATGCATATCGTAAGCTAGTTATTAATTTGAACAAAAGGTCCTGATCCTTTTTTAAAAACATGGATTTCTACTACTAAAGAAAAAATTAGAAAATTTATATACATTTATTTTTAAAAATCACTACACTGAAAGCAACATTAAGGCCAACAGGAATTCTTTTGGTTTATGTGCTAGGAATTGTTGCCTGGATCCCAGTTTCTTCCCAGGCACTGAGTTTATTGATTGAGTTATCCATGTGGTTCATATTGGTAGAGTAGGGCGTAACCAGCTTATAAGATTCAGATCTGGGGAAATAAGAACTTGGCAGATGCCCATTGGACTAGCTGGAGAGAAAAAGAATCTGATAGCTCAACCTGTTGTATGTATCAACTTGGCCCACTGACCCACAGAACAATCACTGTATAACATTTCTTTATACATTTTTTAAAAGCATATATTGTTGTTTAGAAATGTTTATCCATTCTAATAGCTGTAGTGTTCTTCTGAAAAATAATTTGTAATTTGGAAGGGATTATGCTTTTTAAAATGTATGCATTTGGTCTGGAATAGCCCTCAGAGGATATCCACACATATAAGTAGCAGGCTACAAACAGGACTTGGATTAATAGACCACAGGGGGCTATTTATATGGAGAGTTTAAGTGCATGTTATTGTTATTTCTAAATTGTATTAATAATAATACCCTACACCTGTCCAGCATGTGTATGAGATTTTACTGTTCTACAGAGTGCTGTTGTATACATCATTGCATTTGTTCCCCACAACAACCGTGGGAGGGAAGTTGGGATATTTTTAAGTGTTGACACTGAAGTCCTTTGCTTGAGATAAAAAGTCCCAGTAAGGTGTGGGAAGGAAAAGACGCGAAGGAGACACAAGCATTATTTTCACTGTATTTTTGACTAGTGTCATTGCAAGTGTTCAGATTGGTTTTGGACATTTTAGTCCCCTGGGAGAGACCGTATCTCATTATTTCTTCCACCTGGTAGGTGGAGTACTCTCTCAGAGGAAAAGCTGCAAAATTAAAGGAGAATGCTATCTTCCACTTCACAACGCTTAATAGCAAACTTTTGGATTCCTCACTGAACACTTTTCTATATCCTTTTCGTTTCAATATGCGCCATTTCTGGTAAGATCTGGAAAATCAAATAAGCATGTAGAGATTGTCAGAGGAAACACAAGATTCTGTTATTATAGGCAGTAGAGATCAAATTGTGACTTACATATTATAGGTGGAATATTTTGGGCTTTCCTGAAACATGGGAAACCAGAGACAAGCTGTATAGTATGTTGATAGCCAAGCTGGAATAGTGAAACTAGGACTCTGGAATCCTGGAACCTGTACTGAGAAATATTTAAATAATTTATTATGATTATTTCCACAGAATACAATTCTAGGATGAAATGCTAATTTTATTTGACTTACATAAAGGGAAATTATTACTGCAGTTACTTTTAAAGAGCTCCCTGGGTTTTCTGGGAGTATCTGAATTAACAGTAAATTGAGCTCCATTACATATTAATGGGTCCAGCTGATTTATTGGTGGTATATCTGGCAATTAGCCATTCTGCATAGTGTCTTCTGTTTGGCCATTACTTTTCACTATTGAGTGCAAGCTCAGGGATGAGCACCTTGAAGCAATGGGGAAGTCTGCCTGTCAACCTAATAGGGCCTTGCATCATTTTAATGGTGAGTTATGATCTGTCTTGAAGGATATTTGGACACACTTAATATCTTTTGGATGACAACCATTGGAGGCATAAATGAAAGTACATGTTGTCATTGAACCACTAAAAATCTTCACTCAGTCACCAGATAGCCATTATGTTATATTAATCTCTTTGGATATTTCCTTTATTTTAAAAAATTATACAATTTCTTCTAGCTTCTGTGGCACTTACAGAATGAATTGCTGTGAGTTCAGTGTAGCACAGCAAGTTATGGCCAACAGTGGTTATTTGCAAGAGTTACTTTGGGTTTCCTAATTTGTCCTCAAGAGAAATATTTTTTGCTCAGCCTGCAAAATGTTGTCATAAAAATTGGTGATTGATTTTGATTATAAGATTAAATGGCTAGGCTACAGTGGCCAATGTTGTAAATCAAAGCAGCCCAAAGTTGTGATTGGCCACTAGAGAAGGTTGTAACTGTGTTTTCTTGAGTTGATATATTTCAAGTCTTTATAGTATTGACTCCTAAAGTTTACTGAAACAGTATTTAAAGCATCTTTCTACAGTGTTTTAAATTAGTTTCTAGTACAATTTAGCTTTGCCTATCTAAACATGCAGTAGTAGAAGAACATACATGAAAATTCTCTTCTTAGAGGGAAAGCAGTTTAAGAGTTGGTGAGGGCATGGAATTTGTGAAACCTAAGTTAATTGTCTGAGTTTTTATTGGATATTTTTTGTACTTGGCTATTCAGAATTAATTTCTCCTTCCTAAAAAATTCTTTGCAGGAGGGACCCTTTCCCCATTGTTTATAGTTTGGTGCCATCCCTCTTTTTCCGAGGGGCTAGCCCCTGATCCAACATAGCCAAAGGGATGTCCCTTTCTGAAGTTTGACTGTTGAGTAGAAGAACAAACACCGAAAAAGTTTGGAGTTCCTAATTTCCAGTCTGATCAGATTGTTCCTATCACTGTCATAGTCTGGCCATCTGCGTGACAACTGTTTTTCAAGTCTGTTTCTCCTACATTTGACAATTCCGGGAGCCCCATGGTAACATCCTAATAAATTCTACTTTGCTAACCAAGCCCGAGGTGGTTTCTCTTACTTGAAACAAAAGACCTTAATATATAAATTGGGCATTTGTTAACCCACAAGAAACTGAGGCTTCCTGATTGGACTGTGAATATTTATTCATTAATTTATTCACCAAATGTTTATTGAGCACCTACCGTGTGTTAGGTACTCTTCTCTGTTAGGGAAACAGAAGCGAATAAAACAAACAAAAAGATGCGCCTTCATGAAAGTTGCATTC
Organism: Homo sapiens; assembly: GCF_000001405.40. Classification (NCBI taxonomy): domain Eukaryota; kingdom Metazoa; phylum Chordata; class Mammalia; order Primates; family Hominidae; genus Homo; species Homo sapiens. Next base: position 158,877,260 of record NC_000003.12, read on the forward strand.
TAATTAAGGGGGATAGATGATAAGCAAGATAAATATATGTCTTTATTTTATATATAAATATATGATATCCAAGTTAAGGAGTGATAAGTGCTATACATATTCATGTAAAATATTTTTCATATTGGTTCTTTCCTTTTAAAGTCCCACAGATCAGATAAGCCTGTTGGGGGTGGATGATGAGATGGAATGACTGGGACTGAGGCTCTGCCACTCTCTTGTACCTTGCTCCATCTGCATATCTCCCAAAGGGCTCCTAGTCAGGATCTAAGCCAAGGGAGAACTATTCAGATGAGTAAGGATGAGTGTCTGCTGAAAGTAGAGACCTGGAGAATAGAGGACTTGGGTAAGACATGGAAGTGGCAGGAGTTGAGCAAGGGTTATAGTCTTGGAGAGGGGGAGATTTTTCCCTTGGTGGCCCTGCCTTCAACGGGCCCCAAAGGGCTCTGGTAGGTAGAAAGATGACAATAATATTGACTCAGGAAAGTCAGACTGGGACTTGGGCAAGTGATCAAGGATACCAACTGATCTGTGGTAGGGAAGGGGAGTCCAGGTCAGAAAGGGAAGGAAGCATCATGGGATTGTGTGAGACAGAGCTAGGTAGCAGCTCTCAGAATTGGTCAGGGATCGTTGAAGGGAAGAGAGCTTGCCACCACTAACCAAGGGGATCCCATGAGGGATGAAAACTTAGAAAAGGGCTCAGACTCCCTCAAGAAGAATAGAGGTTGAGGGGAGCAAAAGGAGTATTTGTCTTCTTGCTTGCAATGAAATCTAGTATTGAGGACACTCCCTAACCTGATGTGTACTTGAGGTCAAAATGAAGAGGTTTGGTGAGAAGTGCTAGGATGTGGTTATGCTAAGGTGGGAAGGATCCACACCAGCCCCGTCAGTCTGGAAACAGAGGATGTGACAGAGAAGATAACTTTCCACCACTCCTGGAGACTCCTGATTGGTGTGTTGGTCACCCACAGAGAGGGGCTGGGTATATGGAAGAAAAACACATGCCAACAAGGAAGAATCCCAGTCATTTGTCAGCTACCTGCTACTGGCCTGGAATGAAAAGAAAAGTTATGATACTTATTGATTTCCTGGTAATGTGGACAGACAGGAACAGAGTAGGCTGAACAAATACTTGACAGGTTCAGCTGGGAAATGAGCACCAAATTTTCTGGAACATATTCATTCCTGATGATTTTCTATAGGAATAAATGACACTTTCAGAAGAGAACCTTGAAATGAACCTTGAAATGCCTTTAAGGTTTATGGAAACTTGGGCATCTAATTTAAGTACATGAAACATTGCTTTTGTTATATATTGCTGCACAAGGCACCCCAAAAACTTAGTAGCTTAAAACAACAGTTTTTTATGGTATGATACAGTTCTAGATTCAGCTTGTGGTCCTTACTTGCAGTCAGATTGTGGTTGGGGCGGTAGCCATCTGGAGACTCACCAGGGCTAGAAGATCTACCTCCAAGAGGGTTTATTTTCTCATACATCTGGCATATGGGCTGGGGTATCTGGAATAGCTTCAGCCTGGCCAGGTTCCATCTTTTTTCCACGCAGTCTCTCTGCATCATTATCTTGATATTCCTCATAGAATGAGGGTCTCGGTATAATTGGATTTTTTTTACATCGTGACTGATTTTTCTCAGAGCAAGTGTTCTATGAGAGCAAGGCAGAAGCAGTGAGCCTTCTTATGACCTAGCCTCAGAAGGCATCACGAATTATTTCTATCTCATTCTATTGGTTATAAAGACTAGTCCAAAATCATCTTGGGAATGGACTACACAAGAATGTGTATAACTAAAGGCCTGTTCACTGTGTGTGTGTGTGTGTGTGTGTGCACATGCATGCATGCATATATATTGGAGACTTCTACCACGAGCATGGTGTTTTCTTCTCCTTGGCATATATTATGACTTTAGAAGAGAAAGGAGATCTTTGATGAATCATTGGCCTTGAATTTCTACAATAGGATTTAAGATGCCTTAGTGACAGGCTCTTGCAAAACTATCAAGGTCACCACTAAAGGAAGAACCTGTTTTTCCCAGAAGTATTCCAAAGACTTTCTGAAACAGAACTCAATTTTAGGACGTAGGGGAAAAGTGAATCACCTTTATGCTGTTCAGAGGAGAGTTTGAATAATATCAATAAGTTTTATATCTATATAGATATGAATATACTTAAAGTTAGATGATGTTTTTTAAGAAAGTAAATGAATGAGCATAAATTTTTTTTAGACTTCATAACAAAAAACATTTAAGTAGCCACAACCTAACAAGCCCTGCTCACCTGCCTCTTCCCCTTCCTGCCTGGGAGGGGGCTCCTTGGTGTGCAGAGCCACAAAGTGGGGGTCCAAATTAGGGAGCTCCGAGGTCCTCCCCACAGGCCTTGTTGTCAGCCGTGGGTCCAATGATGAAGGTGATGAAGACAATGATGAAGAAGAAGAAGAACTAGAAGTTTGTCTTGGACCTTGATGGAGCATGGAGAATGCACTCTTGAGGGAGCTCAGAGCTGGCTGCCCCGATGCCTAGCACAGTGTCTGACAGGTTTAGTTGAGAAATATGCTATTCTGGAGTGTGCAACAGATTGTTTTATAAAACATGCTCGTGATGTTCACCCACTTCTCATGATTTTTTGTCAGGACTAGTTTAGACATGGATACTTTTACAAGGGGATATTCCTTTAAGGTTATAAAAAAATCTTGGTCATTATCATAGCCCAAGGCATAGTTGTAAGGGGATCATTGACTCTCTGGGTGTCTTCTAAGGCTACTTTTGGCTAAAAGCAGAGCATCTTCAACATTTTTAATGTGATATTTTTTCTCTACTGAAGAGATGAGAAAGTCAAAAGGAAACTGCCACTGGTTCTAATTCTAACCATGAAGGGTGTATTGGTTAATGCTAAAGGAAGAATAGAGAAGAGCAGGAGGAACAGACTTCCACTGGGAAAGAGTTCATGATTGCCAGTGAGGGAAAGCACAATCAGACTGTGCTAAAGGTGTCAAAAAGTTGAGAAATGAAAGATGTGTTATTTCAATGGCATGATATCAAGGGAGGGAAGATGACCCAGGTGGTGGGGGAAGCTTACAAAAATTCAATGTTAACTCTGAAAAGGTGGTGCTAAGGGGTGGCTTGGAAAGCTTTAGCTTTCTCTCCTCACTAATCTTCATTAGCCCTCTACCAAGCCCTAATAATGAGAATAATAAAAATATGTTTTTTTATTGATATGAATAATAGGTATCTTATTAATTTCATTTAAAGTATGAAAGCAAACTTATTCACCTGACTATTTTAATTTGTCTGTAATATACATACAATATAGGCAAAAGATACTTGCTTAACATTATTACCACCTCAAAGCAAGACCTAGCTCTTGTTTCAGTCAGATTTCCACCATCCCTAAGGTCCTTCTATAATTCTGGAGCCAGTACTGTGACTGTCCTATTGCAACCATCTGAATAAGCAAATGGAGAGACCTAAAGAAACAAATAGTTCAGATTCTTTCTTTCTTTCTTTTTTTTTTTTTTGAGATGGAGTCTCGCTCTGTTGCCCAGGCTGGAGTGCAGTGGTGTGATCTCGGCTCACTGCCTCCTGGGTTTAAGCGATTCTGCTGCCTCAGCCTCCCAAGTAGCTGGGACTACAGGTGCGTGCCACCATGCCCAGATAAGTTTTTTTGTATTTTTAGTAGAGACGGAGTTTCACTCTGTTAGCCAGGATGGTCTCGATCTCCTGACCTTGTGATGTGCCCACCTCGGCCTCCCGAGTTCAGATTCTTAAAAATGTATTATGTAATAAAAAAGAAGGAAAGAAAGGTATCTACAAGGATAACGATAAAGACCAGTATGCACCAGTAAAGTGGTATCATGAATGCTAAAATCCCGAGTTGAAGCTTGGAAAAATGGCAAGGATGACAATAGATTTTTTTTTTTTTGAGATGGCATCTTGCTCTGTTGCCCAGGCTGGAGTGCAATGGTGTGATCTCGGCTCACTGTGACCTCCTTTGAGGTCATAGCCACTCCTCAAATCCACTCTTGGTGCAGAGTCACATGTTCTTCTTGGCCATGGTTTTTCAGATCTGTGTGCCTCCAAAATCTCTTGAATTTTATGTTGCAGCACCTATGGCTATTTTAACTTAGTGAATTGTTTCATTAACTGTATTTTTATACAGCCCACTGTATTTTATACAGCCATTGTCTCATAATTCTAACTTAATTCTCTTTAGAGCTTACTTTCTGTTTCCAACAGAAGCCAAATGGAAAGGTGACATGGCAGGAGTGGCTTCCTGGTCCATATCTTTCCTGAGTACCATATTTCCCAATCAGTGGGATAATTTTCTAATCTGTTTTAGCATCTGAGAGAGTGTCTCCTAATCTTTTCCATTTTGCCAATTTGCAGATAATTTAAGTATAATTGTTAAATGTACTCATTAACCACTTCACTGAAGTGCAAACCCATAAACTTGGTTCAGAACACAAACAACTTTCCGTTACAGGGGCCATATCTCTTTGCTGGTAACAAATCCAAACTTACCCAGCATGTATATTTCCAAAATACATCAAAATGGAATTTAAAGGGTCATAAGAACACAGCTATAAAGCAGTTTTATCCCACTATGTTATTTCTCCCAGATTATACTATGGCCTTTTTTTTCTCCCAGGGGCCCCCAGGGATTGAGCCCAAAGCAATAACCAATGAGGTGGTTTTCTGGATCTGGAAAAGAGATCCAGAAAGAGTGGCATTTGTTGGCCTTCAAATGCCACTTTGGGGTTGTTTGCTGTGTCCATGTCTGGGTCTTATTTACAAACTCAAATGTTAACAGGAAAAATCCACTGCACATATTCTTAAATCAAATAAAAGAAAGCCACCAGAAAAATCCTAATGGCACTGTGGCTCTGAGAAAATAGAAGTTATATGAGTTGAGGAAACCTGAAGAACAAAGCTTTCTTCTCTTAGATCTAAACCCCCAGAAAGTCTGACAATAGCATATTCCACCTAGAAATAAAAACATTTATCTTTTTATGGTTGAGAACAAAAAAGAGACGCAGACTGCTGAAAAGAGCTTTTCTCCCCCACCAAATGGTCATGCCACATAGGTTAATCTGCCCGTTGTTTATGAGTACTAGCTTTGTGCAAGGGCTTCCCTGGACAATGTGAGATATGAAGGTGATTCATGGCAATCCAGGTTGGCCCTGAAGCAGTTTTGTTCCTCCAGAACCTGGTCATAGTGAGAAGAAGGTGTTGGCAGTAGACCTTATCTCTGCACAAGAAAAGCAGGACAATGTAATTTGGTGGCTTTGGAATTAATGGAATGGAACTGTCAGGATCATCACAGCATTGGCTCGAGCAACAACTGAACTAGGCTTCCATTCAGCCTCACACATGGTTTCTTCCAACGCACTAATTGTTCACTGTGATTCATACATCGTTCTGACAAGATGGCAAATGGAAAATGCAGAAAGTAATTAAAATAAGTGTGTGGTTTCAATTATCATAAAATTCAGCCCTGAGCTGAATGTCATTATCAGGGAGAACCTGGAGAAGGGCTGCATTTGAGCATGGAGGACAAATAATTTCTTCGTTTGTCTTTTATAACAAAAATTTAGCTCAGAGAAATAGACTGAAGAAAGAGAGGCTTCAGGCTTAAGCTGATAGTTCTTTCCAAAACTTAAAAATGGGAATTCTTTGTCACTGGTTATGATCAAATTTTCTAGGGCCTTATGAATATATATACACTGATCAGGAGGGCTATAAATGAATTTATACATGGGTTGCATATGACCATGTAAGTTTTGTCTCTTATTGAAACAAAATAACATTGGAATTATAGTTGGTCTTATGAATATTTCTTATAATTATAGTTATACATTTCTGAAATCATTTTCCACAGACCAATCATTGGGAAATCAAATATTTGCCCATTTTGAAAGTCTGAAAAGTACTTTATAACTTATGTTTATTATTATTATATAGTGATGCTTATTGCATATATTGTAGAGAACAGATAAAACTATAAAGAGGAAACTTTTTTTTGCATTCTAATGAGGCTGAGCTAATCTCTATACATCTTGTGCTCTTAAAAAATGTGTATATATGTGTCTATATGTTAACGTAACTAGTTTTATACTCTATAATGTTTTCTATCATGATTTTTCTCACTTTCCATTTTATTGAAATATCTATGAAAGTTTGTTTTTAATGACTGCATAATATTTTATTTTGTGTCTGTGCTATAACATTCAACCTATATGTAGACATTTGGGGTTATTGCCCACATCTTTGGTGCATAAAAATTTGTCTGCAACCTTAATGGTTTTCTTTAGATGTTCAATTTCTTTAGAAAAGGTATAACGCCATCTTTAAAGGTTGCTCTGGTACAAACGGACAAATGTTGAACAGTTGAATTCAAGAAGATCTAATTTTTCAAGTCAGGAAATTATTTCTGGACTGATACCTCTACTCTAATTTGGTTTTCATGATGCCAGGGTTATTCAGACTTTAGATCCATGCAGACTTGGATTCAGATCCTAGCTCTGCTGCTTACTAACTACTTGATGTTGGTCAAATAACTCAACTCCCCTATCTAATGTTCTCATCTATAAAATGAAAGCAGTAGGACAGGTGCAGTGACTCACACCTGCAATCCTAGCAATTTGGAAGGCTGAGGCAGGTGGATTCCTTGAGTCCAAGAGTTCAAGACCAGCCTGGCCATCATGGTGAAACCCTATCTCTACCAAAAAACAAAACAAACAAACAAACAAACAAAAAGGTAAAATTAGCTGGGTGTGGTGGCACATGCCTGTAGTCTCAGCTCCTCGGGGGACTGAGGTGGGAGAACTGCTTGAGCCCAGGAATCAGAGGTTGCAGTAAGCTGAGATGGTGCCACTTCAGTCCAGCCTGGGTGACAGAGCAAAACCCTGTCTCAATAAAGTAAAATAAAATGGGATAAATAGTAGGTTTTCTGTGAGGATTCAGTGCCTGACTCTTGCTAGGGGCTCACAGAATATTTGTTTGTTTTTCAAGGAGTATGCAAACTGATGGAGATGTGGAGGTCAGTTGGATGATGAGGGGACAGAAATGCATAATCACACTTGGAGACATCTGCTTCACTCCATTTAAAATTTATTCTAATATAAAAATTCACAATGAACAGGGATTGATATCATTGGATGTCTGTCCTTTCCAAATCTTGTATTGAAATGTGATCCCCAGTGTTGGAGGTGGGGCCTAGTGGGAGGTGTTCGGCTCATGGGGATGAATCCCTCATGAATTTCCTGGTGCTGTCCTCATGTAATGAGTGAGTTTTTATGAGATATCGTTGTTTAAAAAGAGCTTGGCACTTCTGCCTCTCTCTCTTGCTCCTGGCTTGCCATGTGATGTGCCTGATCTTTCTTTGTCTTCCACCATTATTGTAAACTTCCTGAGGCCCTCACCAGGAACAGATGCTGGCACCATGCTTCTTGTACAGCCTGAATAACTATGAGTCAATTAAATCTCTTTTCTGTATAACTAACCCAGTCTTAGGTATTTCTTTGCAATGCAAATGGACTAATATAAAATTGGTAGGAGGAGTGAGATGTTGCTATAAAGACACCTGAAGATGTGGAACAAGCTTTGGAACTGGATATCGGGCGGAGGTTGGAAGAGTTTGGAGGGCTCAGAAGAAGAAAAGAAGAAAAAGGAGAGTTTGGAACTTCATAGAGACTTGTTAAGTGGTTGTGACCAAAATGTTGATAATAAATATTTACAATGAAAGGCCAGGCTGACAAGGCCTCAGAGGGAAATGGGGAAGTTGTTAGGAACTGGAATAAATGTCACTTTTATTATGCCCTAGCAAAGAACTTGACTGCATTTTGTCCACGTCCCAGGAATCTGTGGAAGTTTGAACTTAAGAGTGATGACTTAGGATATCTGGTGGAAGAAATTTCTCAGCAGCAAAACATTCAAGATGTAGTCTGGCTGCTTCTAACAGCCTAGATCAGATACAGGAGGAAAGAAATGACTTAAAGTTGGAACTTACATTTAAAAGGAAAACATTAACATTTCGAAAATTTGCAGCCTAGCACTGTGGTAGAGAAGGAAAGAGAATTTTCAGGAGAGAAATTCAAGTAGGCTACAGAGCAACCACTTGCTAGAGAGATTTGTATGACTAAATAGGAGCCAAGTGCTAATAACATCCAAGATAATAGGAAAAAGACCTTGAAGGCATTTCAGAAATCTTTGAGGCAGCCCCTCCCAACACAGGCCCACAGGAGGAAAGAATGGTTTCAGGGCCCAAGCCCAGGGCCACATTGCCCTGTTCATCCTTGGGATGCTGCTGCCCATACTGGCTGCTCCAGCTCCAGCTGCAGCTCCAAGGGCCACAGGTACAGCTTGGGCTGCCACTCTGGAGGAGGCAAGCTATAAACCTTGACAGCTTCCATGTGGTGGTAAGCCTGCAAACACACAGAATACAAGAATAAAGGAGGCTTGGCAGCTTCTCTCTAGATCTCAGAGGACATAGGGGAAAGCCTGAGTGCCCAGGCAGAAGCCTGCCACAGGGTTGGAGCCCCCACAGAGAGCCTCTACTAGGGACAGTGCCAAGGAAGAAATGTGGAGTTGAAGCCCCCATACAGAATCCCCACTTGGGGTACCACTTAGTGGAGCTGTGGGAAGGGGCCTGCCACTCTCCAGACCCCAGAATGGTAGAACCAGTGGCAGCTAACACTGTGGGCCTGGAAAAGCCACAGGAACTCAACACTTACCTGTGTGAGCAGCCATGGAGGCAGAGCTGCCCAAGGCCCTGGGAGCTGGCCCCTTGCACTGGTGTGCTCAGAATGCAGCATATGAAGTCAGGGATTATGTTGGAGCTTTAAGATTTAATGTCTGCCCTTCTGGGTTTCAGACTGGTGTGGGGCCTGCTGCCCCTTTCTTTTGACTGATTTCTCCCTTTTGGCATGGGAATATTTACCCAATACTTGTACCATTATTGTATCTTGGAAGTAAATAACTTGTTTTTAATTTTACAGGCTCAGAGGTAGAAGGAGCATGCCTTGAGTCTCAAATGAGACTTGGGACTTTTGAATTAATTCTTAACTTTTAGTTAAGATTTTGAGGGACTATTGGGAAGGGATTATGTTATTTTGTAATGTGAGAAGGACATGAGATTTGGGGGGCCAGAGGTTGAATGATATAGTTTGGATGTTTTTCCCCTCCAGATTTTCTGTTGAAATGTGATCGCCAGTGTTGGTGATGGAGTCTGGTGGGAGGTGTTTGGGTCATGTGGGCAGATCCCTCATGAATGGCTTATGCTGTCCTCATGGTAATGAGTGAGTTCTTGCTCTGAGTTCATAGGAGATCTGGTTGTTTAAAAAGATCCTGGCCACTCTTCCCTCTCTTTCTCCAACTCTTGCCATGTGATGCACCTGATTCCCCTTTGCCTTCTGCCATGATTGTAAGCTTCTTGAGGCCCTCACCAGCAGTAGTGGCTGGCACCATGCTTCCTGTAGAGTCTGAAAAACTATGAGCCAATTAAACCACTTTTCTTGATAAATTACCCAGTCTCAGGTGTTCCTTTATAGTGATGCAAACAGACTAACACAGGGATAAAAGCCATATGTTATTCAGTTATTTGCCAAAAGTGGCAAAGAATTAAGGAACAAAAAAGTGTACCTACTGGCAAACTCACCAGTTTACCACACACTGGCTGGTTTCTTTCAGAGGACAATCAGGCCTCTGCAAGCTATGAGAAGCAAATTGTATGAGGAGCTAACCAGAATCCCATCCTTTGAGCTTTGAGGCCACCTTAGTGACAAGGCTTACTTTAATGAATTAAAATATAAAATTATAACAATTGTGCAAATGCATTAACAAAAAGAAAAGTGATAACTCTGACTTCTGAATAATCTCATACTTTCATAAGAGACACTCAATGTTTGGGGGTTAGAAGTTACAAGCTTATTAACTATCTTTAGGATTGATTGAGAAAGTCTTACAAATCTGCTTAAAATGCATAAAAAATAAGCAAAATGCACAATATTGCAAATATTTTTCATGGTAATTCTGTAATAAACTCTAATCTAGGCAATGAAACACTTTTTGTTTTCTTTCCCTGAAACAATTTCTAGTAGACCAAAGAAATGAGATAGACAGCAACATAATAATAGTGGGGGCTTCAATGCTCCACTGACAGCACTAGACAGGTCATCAAGACAGAAAGTCAACAAAGAAACAATGGATTTAGGCAAGGCATGGTGGCTCACACCTGTAATCCCAGCATTTTGGGAGGCTGAGGTGGGCGGATCACCTGAGGTCTGGAGTTTGAGACCAGCCTGGTCAACAAGGTGAAACCCTATCTCTACTACAAACACAAAAATTAGCCAGGCGTGGTGGCAGGCACCTGTAATCTCAGCTACTCGGGAGGCTGAGGCAGGAGAATTGCTTGAACCTGGGAGGTTGAGGTTGCAGTGAGCTGAGATTGTGCTACTGCACTCCAGCCTGGGCAACAGAGCATGACTCCGTCTCAAAAAAAAACAAACAAACAAAAAAAAAAAAGAAAGAAACAATGTATTTAAACTATACCTTGAAACAAGTGGACTTAACAGATATATACAGAACATTTCATCCAACCAGTGCAGAATACACATTCTATTCAACAGCACATGGACCTTTCTCAAAGATAGACCATATGATAGGCCATAAAATGAACCTCAATAAACTTTAGAAAACTGAAATTATATCAAGCACTCTCTCAGACCACAGTGGAAAAAACTGTAAATCAACTCCAAAAGGATCCTTCTGAACCATGCAGATACACGGAAATTAAATAACTTGCTCCGGAATGAGCATTGGGTCAAAAACAAAATTAAGATGGAAAATAAAAATTCTTCGATTTGCATTTCTCTAATGACCAGTGATGATGAGCTTTTTTTTCATGTTTGTTGGCTGCATAAATGTGTTTTTTTTTTTTTTTTTTTGAAACAGAGTCTCACTCTGTCGCCCAGGCCAGAGTGCAGTGGCGCAATCTTGGCTCACTGCAAGCTCTGCCTCCTGGGTTCACGCCATTCTCCTGCCTCAGCCTCCCAAGTAGCTGGGACTACAGGCGCCTGCCACCATGCCTGGCTATTTTTTTTGTATTTTTAGTAGACATGGGGTTTCACCATGTTAGTCAGGATGGTCTTGATCTCCTGACCTTGTGATCCATCCGCCTCAACCTCCCAAAGTGCTGGGATTACAGGTGTGAGCCACTGCACCCAGCCTATAAATGTCTTTTTTTAAGAAGTGTCTATTCATATCCATTGCCCACTTTTTGATGATGGGGTTGTTTGTTTTTTTCTTGTAAATTTGTTTAAGTTCCTTGTAGATTCTGGATATTAGCCCTTTGTCAGATGGATAGATTGCAAGAATTTTCTCCCATTCTGTAGGTTTCCTGTTCACTCTGATAATAATTTATTTTGCTTTGCAGAAGCTCTTTAGTTTAATTGGATGGCATTTATCAATTTTGGCTTTTGTTGCAATTGCTTTTGATGTTTTAGTCATGAAGTCTGCCCATGCCTTTGCCCTGAATGGTATTGCCTAGGTTTTCTTCTAGGGTTTTTATGGTTTTAGGTCTTACGGTTAAGTGTTTAATCCATCTTGAGTTAATTTTTGTGTAAGGTGTAAGGAAGTGGTCCGGTTTCAGTTTTCTGCATATGGCTAGCCAGTTTTCCCAGCACCATTTATTAAATAGGGAATCCTTTGTACATTGCTTGTTTTTGTTAGGTTTGTCAAAGATCAGATGGTTGTAGATATGTGGTGTTATTTCTGAGGCCTCTGTTTTGTTCCATTGGTCTATGTATCTGTTTTGGTACCAGTACCATGCTGTTTTGGTTATTGTAGCCTTGTAGTGTAGTTTGAAGTCAGATAGAGTGATGCCTCCAGCTTTGTTCTTTTTGATTAGGATTGTCTTGGCTATATGGGCTCTTCTTTGGTTCCATATGAAATTTAAAGTAGTTTTTATCTAATTCTGTGAAGAAAGTCAATGGTAGCTTGATGGGAATAGCATTGAATCTATAAATTACTTTGGGCAGTATGGCCATTTTCACAATATTGATTCTCCCTATCCATGAGCATGGAATGTTTTTCCATTTGTTTGTGTCCTCTCTTATTTCCTTGAGCAGTGGTTTGCAGTTCTCCTTGAAGACGTCCTTCACATCCCTTAAAAGTTGGATTCCTAGGTATTTTATTCTTTTTGTAGTAATTGTGAATGGGAGTTCACTCATGATCATGATTTGGCCCTCTGTTTGTCTATTATTGGTATATAGGAATGCTTGTGATTTTTGTACATTGATTTTGTATCCTGAGACTTTGCTGAAGTTGCTTCTCAGCTTAAGGAGATTTTGGGCTGAGACGATGGGTTTTTCTAAATAGACAATCATGTCATCTGCAAACAGAGACAATTTGACTTCCTCTCTTCCTATTTGAATATGCTTTATTTCTTTCTCTTGCTTGATTGCCCTGGCCATAACTTCCAATGCTATGTTGAACAGGAGTGGTAAGAGAGGGCATCCTGTCTTGTGCTGGTTTTCAAAGGGAATGCTTCCAGCTTTTGCCCATTGAGTGTGATATTGGCTGTGGGTTTGTCATAAATAGCTCTTATTATTTTGAGATATGCTCTATCAATACCTACTTTATTGAATGTTTTTAGCATGAAGGGGTGTTGAATTTTATCAAAGGCCTTTTCTGTATTGATTAAGATAATCATGTGGTTTTTGCCATTGGTTCCGTTTATGTGATGGATTACGTTTATTGATTTGAGTATGTTGTACCAGCCTTGCATCCCAGGGATGAGGCTGACTTGATTGTGTTGGATAAGCTTTTTGATATGCTGCTGGATTTGGTTTGCCAGTATTTTATTGAGGATTTTTGCATCGATGTTCATCAGGGAATATCCAATATGGCCTGAAATTTTCTTTTTTTGTTGTGTCTCTGCCAGGCTTTGGTATCAGGATGATGCTGGCCTCATAAAATGAGTTAGGGAGGAGTCCCTCTTTTTCTCAGCCACAATGAGATACCATATCATGCCAGTCAGAATGGCCATCATTAAAAAGTCAGGAAACAACAGATGCTAGAGAGGATGTGGAGAAATAGCGGCACAATTCACAATAGCAAATTCATGGGACCAACCTAAAGAATTGTAGTTAGTATTTCTTTTCTCATTCCTAGTTATTTCTCTTTCTTAAGTGTAAAAATCATACACTTCTTTTAATTTTACTTTTTAAAATATTTTTCCATAAGTTATTGGGGTACAGATAGTATTTGGTTACATGAGTAAGTTCTTTAGTGGTGATTGGTGAGATTTTGGTGCACCCATCACCCGAGCAGTATACACTGCACCATATATATACACACAGATATATATACACACAGATATATATACAGACATATACATACACACACATATATATATACACACACACACACTATATATATATATACACACACACACACTATATATATATATATATGGTGGGCAAAAGCTGGAAGCATTCCCTTTGAAAACCAGCACAAGACAGGGATGCCCTCTCTTACCACTCCTGTTCAACATAGTATTGGAAGTTATGGCCAGGGCAATCAGGCAAGAGAAAGAAATAAAGCATATTCAAATAGGAAGAGAGGAAGTCAAATATATATCTATATATCTATATATCTATATATATATGATGATGGAATACTATGCAGCCATAAAAGGAATGAATTAACAGCATTTGCTGTGACGTGGATTAGACTGGACACTATTATTCTAAGTGAAGTAACTCAGGAATGGAAAACCAAACATCATATGTTCTCACTGATATGTGGGAGCTAAGCTATGAGGACACAAAGGCATAAGAATGACACAAAGAATGACACAATGGACTTTGCGGACTTTGGGGGAAAAGGGAGAGGGGGGTGAGAGATAAAAGATTACAAATATGGTATAGTGTGTACTGCTTGGGTGATGGGTGCACCAAAATCTTACAGATCACCACTAATTTACAGTTCTTTAGTTTTCAATGTGTAGCTTTCCAAATCACTTCATAGTAGATTGTTTTTTAAAAGATAGTTTAAATTAAATGTTATAAATACTAAATTCCAATATGCAGAATAAAGTAGCTTAGAAACATGTAAATAATATGTCTTGTCATTTAGGGCTGCTATAATAAAAAATAATAGAATAGACTGAGTGGCTGAAATGATAGAACTTTATTTCTCATAGTTCTGGAGGCTGGAAAGTCCAAACTCAAGGTGCTGGCTGATTCCTTCCTGGTTTGTAGACCAACATCTTCTTGTATCCTCACATGGCAAAGAGAGGGCTTTGATTCCTTTATCTACTTACAGGACACTAATTCTGTCATGGGGGCTGCATCCTTATGACCTTATTGAAACCTAATTACCTCCCAAAGACCCCACCTCCAAATACTGTCACATTGGGGATTAGGACTCCAACCTGTAAATTTTAGGGGGACACAGTCAGCAGTCTATAGCAGATTAGTGTGTATATATATATGTGTGTGTATATATATATGTGTGTGTGTATATATATATATATGTGTGTGTGTATATATATGTGTGTGTGTGTATGTATATATATATATATATATATATATATATATATATATATATATAGTCTGAAAGTCTGTTTTATTTTTTAAATATACTGAGAAGTATAATGAACACTTTCTCCAAAAGACATGTGTTTTTGCCTGTCTGAATCAATGATGGTCTGACAAGGAGACGGAAGCCACACAGTAATTTGAAGAGGGCAAGTTTAATATCAAGAGTTATTAACTGTAAAAGGGGATTAACTGTAACTCTGGGGCCAGGGGAAGCATCCACAGGAAGTGCCACACCTGGGAACATGCCTTGAAGCTTCCCAACAGGGAACTAGGGCAAGTAGTTCACTAGGACATGCCTTGCCAGTGGCACTCCACTGTGAAGTTGCCTTAGGGATGCTGGGAGAAGCTGCTGACCACTGGGTACTGCTAGATGCTGCACACTGCGGGAGCTGGGTGCTGGAGAAGTTGTTCATACTGCAAGAGCTGGGAGCAGGAGAAACCACCTGCATTGTAGGGACAGGTGCTAGTGAAGCCATATGTGCTGTGGGACTCTCAAGAGAGGAGCACACCAGAACCAGGAAGAGAAATCCCTTTTTTCTCCAGTGCACCTCCTGCCCTATCCCTCCAGTGCACCTCCTGCCACCATGAGTGGCAAAGCCTATCATGCCCACTGGAAATGAAGAAATATTTACAGCTCAGTACCATAGAGAAGGCAATAAAAGGTGGATCTGGAGTTCAGGGATAATTACAATTACATTGGTAATTGCTGCAGTCTCTCTGGCTACTCAGTTTCCATACACACTCTTCCACACACATTTGAACTTCAGTACAACAATGAAACAACTTTATATTTCTCCCAAACAAGATACAGCTGTTCTTTTTACAAGTAAAATTGTTAGCCTTTTCCCAAAATGAAGGGACACACAGTCCCAACAATCATTGTATCCATAACTGGCTATATTTATTATTCATCAAATTCTGTCAAAGGCCCACAGAATATTTTGTTACCTGCAAACTAAGTTGTAAAGTTAACCTCCAACAACTTATATATAAAACCAAAAAATAAAGAGATAGAAGCAAATTGTTAACATATACAAATAAACACATACACATAGCAAGCAAGAAGAAAATATGCAAAGCTACTATAGACATTGTTTCTCTAATTGGTCATGAGGCTGTAATTGATGCCAATGGCTTCCTTCTTCTACCACCTTTATAATATTTCCTCTGCCTTCCACCTGGAATCTCAGTTAGCTGGAGTTTTTTTTACCTGGTAGAGTAAGCCAAACCTTCGGGAACAGTCTGAGTCCTCAATTGTCCTGTCTTTTGTTGGTTGCTATGATTTTCCACTAACCTTCACTACTGTGCTTGGGAGTACTGAGAATCCCAAAGAATCCCCTGTGTTACAGAAATAGTTACTCTTCTCCTCATTTTTGTAACCTAATTTACCCTTGGTAGTTGGATAAATTTCTCCAGCCAAAAGAATAATCATTTTTTTTTCTGTCTTTTATTCAGTGGTATAGGCCTAAAATGGCCAAGTTGCAATATCATCTTCCAATTTAATGGAACCATTTTTGTGCCCCCAGACTGAAGCATTCCTTACATGGGAACAAAGACCTACAAACTAGCACAGCTCAAGGTTGCTGGTAAAGGAAGCATCAACTCTGAGAGTGAGGTATTAGACATAATAATGAGAAGAGGCATTCCCACTTCTACTTCTCAACTCACAAATCTGTGTATTCTGCTGGGAGGGAGATAACACCATGTAATTGCCTGTGACTCAAAGCATATATTGTATCCTGTAAGACACAACCCCTTTTCAGGGTGCAGGGTCTCAAGTAGTATCATAGCTGAGTCACAGAAAGCCATTCCCCTTTTCAATTAGCTAGCCAGTTTATTTCATATGTTTAAGACCATTGCTGTCCTTCCTTCTCTGTGAAATGGAGTTTGTTGATCAGAAGCAATGCTATGGAGCATGCCATGATGATGGTAAAGCATTCTGTGGGTCTATCAATGGCAATACTCAACTACCATCTTCCCTGTTACCAAGGAAGGCAAATACTTATTCAGAATATGTGCTTGTTGCAGTGAGGACAAAATCTATACCCCATCTATTTTGGAAGGAGTATAGTACAATTTAATCAACTTGCTACCAGGTGGTGGTCTGTACCCCTGGGAAATGGTGCCATATCTGGGGATCAGTGTTGGTCTTAGCTGTTGACAGATTAGTCACACTTGGGTCATTTCTAAGGGCAGTCCATGTTGTTGAGCCCATACATAGTATCCTTATTAGTCCATTTTCATGCTGCTGATAAAGACATACCCAAGACTGGGCAATTTACAAAGGAAAGAGGTGTAATGACTTACAGTTCCACATGGCTGGGGAGGCCTCACAATCGTGGCAGAAGGCAAGGAGGAGCAAGTCACTTCTTACGTGGATGGTGGCAGGCAAAAAAAAATGTGCAGCGAAGTCCTGTTTTTTAAAATCATCAGATCTTGTGAGACCCATTCCCTATCAGAAGAACAGCACAGGAAAGACCTACCCCCATGATTCAATCATCTCCCCTCAAGTCCCTCCCACAACACATGGGAATTATGTAGGAGCTACAAGATGAGATTTGGGTGTGGACACACAGCCAAACCATGTCATTCTCCATCCCTGTCTCCTTGGCCACTTGTTAATTACCTATTAAGAAAGCACTGGGGTGACTTGGGAAAGAGACTTACTAACATTCACAGAGTGCATCATTTTGTCCATTTGATTATTAAAAGCCTATTCTGCAGTAGATAAATATGGAAATTCATATGGCGCACAAATATCTTCCTCATTCAAGTGATCATAAGGAAGCCATAGGCATGGATTGAGAGAGACAGGAGGCAATGCAACAGGAATTGCGTGGAAATTTGAGCGACCTGCTTTGCAACTTTCTCATACCTTTCAAACTCATTTGATCTTAGTCTTTCATCCGGTTTATGATAGAATGCAGGTGTGCACTCCCAGCTTATGGCTGGGCAACACTCAGTTCATGACGGGAAGTTCAGGTTTCATGGCCACCTGATGTCCCATGGTTAGGTGTTCAGTCTCTATCAAGGACCAGTAGGTGTTTCCCGAAAAGAAAATAGTTATCTGCAAAAAAGGACGTAAATTGTCTTCACCATTCCAGAGGTTTGCATTATGAGTATTCTTTTGTACCCACCAGAGATTCCAGACAGCATCCTATTTGCCACAGAGATTTCAGATATCACTGAATCTGCTGGATAATAAGGATGAAGTGGTAGAGAAGCTTGTAACTATATTGTTTCCAAAATTCAAAAAGGCCTCCCAAGCATTGTGCCTTTTATTTGGGTGTAGGTGATATGAAGTGCAGCAATTTATATTTAACTTTGCAGGGGATATCTTGACTTGTTCCAGACCTTTAAGCCCTTAGAAACTTCACTGAGGTGGCTGGGGTCCCCTGAAATTTAGTTGGGTTTGTCTTTTATATGTCTTACTAAGATGTTAAGTACTTGCTCCATCCTGCTCATTAGAGCCCATCAGCATAATGTTGTCAATGTAGCATAAAGACAATCAAGGTCTCTGCAGATTATACATGGCAGAGAGCAGGAGAATTGATATAGCCCTGAAGGAAGACTATTTCCCCTGTAAGGTACAAACAAACTACTTCTGGGGGTCTTTGCAAATTAGTATGACGCAAAAGGCATTAGTTACATGTCATGTGCCCATAGCCATGTTTGCTTGCTCTAGCAAAGATACTACATGTAGGTCAGTAGCTGCAGTTGCCACTACCTAAGACTGCGATAATCCACAGTCATTCTCTATAATCCATGAATGTCTGCATAGGTTAAATTGGTGAGTTAAATGAGTGTGTGATAGGTACCATCTTTGCTTCTTTCAAGACTGTTACGGTGGTATTAGTCTCTGAAATTCCCCAGATTTACTACCTTGGTAGAAAAGGGAAGTTCCAGTGGCCCTCATCCCATAGGAATTCTTCCAGTTGCTAAGTGTGTCTATTTCAATTATACATTCAGAACCTGGGGAATAACTGCAAAGCAGGTCCATGGACCAGCTGGGTCCACTGTAATTTGGAATTGATGTATGACTCCATCTATTACCTGACCACTGTGAGCTCTACAGAGCTCCTGGTGGCATTTTCAGTCTCTAGAAATTAGTGTCAATTCATGGCCAGTGTTTAGTAATCTCTGAAAACTTTGGGTGTTTCTTTTGTACAATGTGTAGACACTCTAGTACATGGTTGCAGGTCCTTTGGGGAGATTTGTAGGAGTATTTGCAGTGTGAACTTATGGATCCTTTTGAGGCAAATTCCATCACAAATTAAAATAGCTAGGAAATATACAAGGATTAACATATATTTATCCAAGAATATATTTTATTGGTTAATTTATCAAATGGCATAGTGAATATTTCTTGTAAAAGATAGGGCACAGGGGAAAACATCTTGTTTTTGCCTGATTTTCCAGCTAAAATTAAAGTCTGGGGCATTTCAAGGGCATCATCACTCAAACCCTGGCTCTCTGCAGACTTGCAATAATATTTATAATGATGTGCTGATATTAGAAACAATAAATGAAAGCCGAGAGAATATTTCTCTTATAGACCAGAAAGCAGCTGATTATTATGACAAACGTCTTTGCAGCCAGTAAAGGTCAACTTGTCACCTTTGCTCTAGCTGCAAATCGTTTTCCTCGAGTTGCCTTTGAAAAGTGACTTAGGGCAATAGACCAAACATGTGCTTCTTGACTATCTGAAAATATAAAGTAATAGAGAGCCTAGAAATTTTAAACACAAAAGTAAACCAATTTAATGTGAACAAAATGCTTCAAAATGTTGCCAAGTTAAGGAAAAACTAAAATCCATACTTGGTCCCCAAACCCTGTTGAAAACTGTAGATTCAGTTGTTTACTCCATTGCATATTTTATTAGTCATGCAAATAACAACTAGATAGCTTGGCTTGAGGGTCATTCTTCCCTTCCTGAATGTACACAGTTACTGCTAATGAGCAGGTTGTTCGAAGTGGGCAAGAAGCAAAGTGCTTTGGAGAAACCGCAAACTAGAAAACCTGATGAATAATTGGCAGTTTAATAGTCAAATAAACACAGTCCAGAAGCTTGATTTGGCAAGTACAGAGGGGACAGCGTTACTTTCTGGGAGGAAAAGCAACCTTTGAATTTTGTGCTAGAAGCCGTCATAGTTCAGGTTGCTGGCCACTAGAGAAAATAATTTATTTAAAAGAGCTGATTTGATATCTTTGTTGCCAAGGTTCATTTGCCCAAGGCGTCTCGTAAAAATAATCTTGTTTTTAGTTTCAGATAATTTTAAAGTCATACGTTTTCCTCATTCTCTAATTTAAAGATAGGTATTAATACTTATTAGACATTTTATCTGATTAAATATTAGGTCTGGTTTGCTTTTTAAGGTTGTTTCTATGTATTTTAAAATGGTAAACACATTAATGATGTTCAATTACTGAAATGTTATTTCTCCCACTTTTCACTTCTGACCACTATTAATATACAAATTGCAAAATAACAAATGAACAAAAAACAAAACTGAAAAATTAATTCTATAACATACCATGCACAAGATGTTACACTTTGAAACTCTTTTATATTTGTAAGAACTAGGATTATGTTTGAATATTATGACATATGGCTTTAGTTACTAGCTTTATTGTTTTTGAAAATGATAACCATCCAGAGACAACTTTCTATATATTTTTTCTAATCTCTCCTAGGTAAATGTTTATATAATCTCTGCCTGTAGTGTATAGTATAACTTTTAAATTATTCCATGTGTTGGTGTATTCATTCAAATTCATATATTCAACAGCTCTGAACCTACTTCAGTAATATTTTTCACTGATCCTTTAAAATTCACATTTATTGCCTGAAGGTCACACACATATAAACCTGCCTTATGCAATTTCTTCTTTTTGGTTTACCGTATTATTAGTTGTATGGTCATTTGTCACTTTTGGGGTGGGAGAAGGCCTTGCCATGCCATCTACTTTTTTTTTTTTTTTTTTGAGATGGAATCTCACTGTCTCACCAGGCTGGAGTGCACTGGCGCAATCTCGGCTCACTGCAACCTCTGCCTCCTGGGTTCCAGTGATTCTCCTGCCTCAGCCTCCCGAGTAGCTGGGACTACAGGTGTGCGCCACCATGCCCAGCTAATTTTATTTTTTTGTATTTTTAGTACAGATGAGGTTTCACCGTGTTGGCCAGGATGGTCTCGATCTCTTGATCTTGTGATCTGCCTGCCTTGGCCTCCCAAAGTGCTGGAATTACAGGTGTGAGCCACTGTGCCCAGCAGCCATCTACTTTTTAAAATGCCTAACTTTTACATTTATTGAAGCACTTTAAATGCCAATTACTCAGCTTCAAGAGAAGTAGGGTTTTATTTTGAGAACTCTTATGCATGTATAAAAGTCTTTGTAAGGAGAATAGTCTTCAGGCCATAAATAGTAAGACACAGTTTAGTGGAAGAAGAGTCCAAGATACACATTGGCATTTGCAGGAGACCATCCCTCAGTGACATTGAATGAGTCTTGGTCTCCAGATTCAAGCAAATGGCAGCGTCCTAAATGAAGACGAAATCTATACAGGTGAGCACCGCTAGTTGGAGAAGGGCAAATACCTTGATTTTCAGAGGTGGAAGATGGCAGATGCTAGACATGGCAGAACAGAACCAGTATAGATTCTTTAAGGAAAGTCCAGAAAAATTAACAAACAAAACATTGGCTAACTATTAGTGGGTGCTTTTAATGAGGTTGAACCACATGAAATTGCTGCTATTGAACCTTGACCTAGAAAAAATAATTTCATAAGACTTGACCTACTAAATCTGTGTTTTGACTTCAACAAAGCTTTAGAAAGCCTTGCCAGAGTGAGATGATGAAAGCTAAGGTGGGTTTGCTGCTCAGTCCCACAGTATGACTAATGACTCAATGTCACCTTGACCAAGGTCTCTTGTTGAGTCCTAAAGGGTTCCAACTTTGGCTCCAGCCTCTCCAATGTTTTCATCAATGTCTTAGGGAAGGCCGCACAAGGCAGACTTATTAAATTTAGAGGGAACATGAATTAAGAAATATAACTAATACTGAGTTTAGACGGCAAATTACCTCAACTAACTAAATATCAAGGTTGAAATTCAAAAATTAAGTAAACAGGAGGTTCTTGTATTTACAGTCATTGAGTTAATCAGCCCTCATTGAATCCCTACCATGTGCCAGACACTGTTCTGGGTAGTGGTCGTACCATGATGAACAAACCAGCTGGGATCCTAGCTTGAAGCTTGTGTTAAAAAAACAAACTATCCATTTTCCAAGGTAGGAAAGGAAAAGAGGGACCATCAATGCAGTAGGTTCTTGTAAACAGACTCTGGAGGTTTTGGATCACCTGGAGCTTCAGTGCCACATTCTGGAAGCCTACTATGTGTCAAGAATTGTACTAAAACTATCAATCAACCATGTGGTGTGTTTGCTAAAAGAAAAAGAGCCAATAACATCTTAGGATTTGTCATCACAAATTCAATGTTTAGCCCATTGAAAGTGACCTGCACACAGTCCTCTGGGCTTTTCAGATCACCCCAAAGGTGAGTTCAGGGATGGGGTGGATGGGAGGAATAACATATTTTAAAAGAGATGTTGACAAATCAGAGTATATTTAGACTAAGAGAACTGGGATGTTAAAGGATCTGGAAGTTACATATTTCAAGGAATAGCTGAATGAACTGTAGAAAAATACACACTAAAAGCAGACATACTAATTGTCCTCAAGTATTTGAAGGGCTGACAAGTAGACAATGAAGAAAGCTGACTCTTTGTTGCTCTATTTAACAGAAATAGCATAAAGCAATGGAAATTTCAGAGGGAGTAATTTTTATTTTGGTATAATAATGACACATCTCATATATAGAAGTTGTCCATCAATAGAACAGGATGGCTTCTGAGGTAGTGAGCTTTCTGTCTCTGGAGGCATTTAACCAGAGGATGGATGGTCATAGACAATGAGACAGCATTTCTGCATTGGATATGACGTAGGAGGAGCTGCCCTGGTGGGGTACCTCCAGCTCCACATCTGATTCTAGTGATGTATTTGCATGTATTTATGTGAGGATATTCACGCTGTTCAGTTTTCTTTCTCCTCAAAGGAAAAAAGGCCAGTCTATGTTGAAGTTGGAGAATAGGTTTCTTCCAAGATTTTGGGACCAGTCTAAGTTAGATTTGGAGAGTCACTCCAAATTAAGTTTGGAAATGCTAGAAAGGATGAGGAATGGACCACAAGCCTGCTAGAACTGGCTTAGGGATAGGACCATAACTGGAAGCAGGCAAGGCGGACAGTACAAGGAGGTGAGGCTTTAGTCCAGTTGCCACAGTTAGACCCTGGGGATGATGGTGGGATCTTAGTTAGGACTCTGGGTTGCAAGTGGCAGAAACTAACTCAAAATGTCTTAAACTAAAAGAAGATTTGTTGATTCATGCAGTTAAAAAGTCCAGGGGTTAATCTAACTTGAGGTATAGTTGAATCCAGATGCTCCAATCGTCTATTTCTTTCCCTCCAACTCTTTTGTTTTCCTTTATGTTGCTTCCATCTGCCACCTAGAAGGGTGCCTGACAGGATAGATATTTACAAAAGATTAGTTAAATGCATAAATGAATGAGCCCTTCAGTTTGGCAACCCCAGCTGAAATCCACATAGCCAGAGTCCTAGATGAACTCCAGTTTAGTCCAACTTGATCATGTGCTTAAATTGAAACCAATTACTGGTGATGGAGAGGATGGAACAAACTGATTAGGCTGGACTGGCTGGGCCTAGAAATAAGCAATACTTTGTTCAGTTTTATCTCTCCATCCTTTCTTGTATACTCCTTTAGGGAATGGCCTCTTATCTTTCTTTTGTATCCTCTGCAGAGATTGGCATAGTACTAATGCATAGTTTTTAGCGAACAAACGTTTGTTTTTTTCCTCTGACCAGAATGACTCTTAATAAACAAAGGTGCTAAAATAACTGGTTTTAACATCTCCTTTGAAAACTATGCAGCAGAAGATGTGAGTGAATTCAGAACTTCATATATTGCTTCCAAATCATTTTCATGTGCATAAATATAAGTGGCAAGTAGGAATTTTGAATTCATTCTAGTCACCACAGAAAGTTATCCTTTCCACATCTTTAATGCAATTAAAAGAGTAAAATTTAATGAATATATTATTTAACAGGAATAATTTTCACAGAAAAGCTTATCTTTTTATTGGCATATTAGTGGTGGGGGAAAAAAAAATCTAACTTCTATCCCTGGAGCAGAATTAAGAAATGGTTAATTTTTAATATATTTTCACCCAATTTTTACCTCCTCTATAATCAGCACCTGACTCCAAGTGTTGCACTGCCCTCTTCATCAGGAATAGGACTGTGTTATATGAATACTAGCAAATGGTACTGAAAATGAATTCAAGCAAATCAAAGGAACTTTACAAGTAGGCTTTTCTTTCTAAGTCCATGGGGAGCTGACTTTTCTGAAATGCTGGAATGTTTCAGTGATTTGGGCTAGCAAGAATAGGATAAAAAACAATTACAGACTGCAGAGGACTGTGTTTTTCTAACAGAAAAGGGAAGAGATTCTTTTTCCTTGGAGAATCATTCCATTTTATTAGGTTGGTGCAAAGATAATTTTGGTTTTTTTCTAATTTTAATGGCAAAAACTGGAATTACTTTTGCACTGACCTAATATATTTGAAATGGCCTTGCAATGATATAACAGAACAGCAATCTGTGTGGATCCCCTTTTCCTTCCAACTCTAACTTAACAGAAATGGAGATATACCCATGTTCAATGTAAAATTACATATACTTGCAGTATATTTATCCTACCTGATCACTATTTAGCTCTTTAACCATGTTCTTCCTACATCATTATTATAGCATTATCTCCTGAGAGATACTGTGTGTAAGACATATAATGATTAAAAAAAACCTATGTGACTGAACTGATACCTCAAATAAAAGCAGGCCTTTCATTATTTTATAGGCAGACCTGGTATTAAAGTGTCTGAAAATCAATACAGACTACCTTGATAAAGATAACTCTAGCATTCAGAATGAATAAGACATTAAACATCATTTTACGTGTGTGTATATTTATCTTTTGTTAAATCTTATCTTTCTCGGTCAGCTTCTCAGAATTGAGATTAGATAAACTGTTGGAGGGAGTGAAAATGATGATGATGCTGTACTGAGGTGTAACCAGAACATGTTGGGAGGATTTTGTGAGTGGTGTTTTATTTATATTCTGTATTTACATAATGGCCACAGATGTTATTGTTTTTCTTACCTATTATGGTAGATGACATTTGTGGTGGAGGACATGTATATAATTAACTCCTTGCAAATACTGTATTTTGCAAATAGATGGGAAATCTACTTAACAGGTCTAGATATCTTATAATGTTCTATTCAGAAAGTCTAATCATCCAAAAGACATCAGAACCACTACTACCAAATGCAATGAACAGGTTAAAAGGCATGACTAGTGATATCCTATTGGTTTGACAATTAATCTTACCTTAAGGTGGAGAAAAATCTGTCTAGGAGATGGACTAAAGGGATTACTTGTTCAAACCTTCCACTTTTCTTTTTGTAGCATTTTCTAAGTGCTGTCAAATGACACTACTTGAGGAAATCGTAGCTTAGTGCCTTCAGAATCTCTACAAAAACTACTAGGGTATTCAAATACTTTTGCTAGCTTAGAATTTACGCTATAAATGCAATGGGTGGAAAGGGCAAATGGAAGATTTTCTAAGTGTGAACTTTTTAAAAAACTGGGCTTTCTCTAAGAGTTTTTATTGTTTTTCAAAATATTAGCTGCACCATGGAGAATTTTAGTAAATACAAAACACTATTTTGAATCACAGTTAAATTTTGAATCATTCACGTACTCACTTTTCTCGTGTAGGCAATAACCAACATGTTACCATCTGAAGCTTCAGTGACCTTCTACTTAATTGTGCTAGACAATGAAAATTTAGTTAATATTCTTTAGCGTTCCTTTTGCTTAGTAACTTGTATTCATTTGTACCTTTCTGATGTCAACCTGATTGATTTTGCCTATCTGGGTGCCGGCGCATCTTTTGGAAGGAAGACTTGCTTTCCAGAATGTATTAATATTGATTGTCACCATATTGCAACCAGAGAGATGTCAGTGTGCACTTAGAATTTCATCTAGTTTAGTTAGGGTTCTGGTTGACAGAGTTTAATTCATATATAGATATTCTGAATGGTCCCTTGCAGATATTACATGAGGGCAGTAGAAAAGCCCTGCCCAGAAATCTCTCCCATTTCTAGGGTGCCTGAAATTCCACTTAATAATATTTACTACTTTGAGAAGAGATATATTTGACACATTTATGAAGAATGTAACTCTGGCTTCCAACTAGCCCAGTTTGTGCAAAGGAAACAGCTTCCCCAGCTGGCAGAATTAGGTTCAATGTGATCATCATGTCCAGCTATAAAACTATACTTTGCTAATAAAGAGTTTACTTCATTTATTTGGACCCTACACATTTCCAAAAGGGATTTAAGGAGGTTCAAAAATTATTTTAAATAACTCCATATGGGAGTTGTATTTGAATTATTTAAGCCTCATTCATGGGAAGTAGTGCAAACTGCTGTTCTAAACTTCCAGGCGCATATGCTTGTCATCCAGAGGTGATGAATAATGAAAATAGAAACAGGATCCTGAAAATTCACAAAAGAAAAAAAAAGTCTGTTTTTTGACAATATATCTCCCAGTGACAGATGATATTATATGTCTATAGTGTGAAGACTCTGTATTGTTATAAGATGTATTTTTAAAAATCTACTGTTGAATAGGTAATGTCAATGCATGCCATGTAATTCTAAATATGTAAATGACATACAAAAAAAGTGAGTTTCCTGCTTGCCCCTCTACCCCAGTTACCTAGCTCTTTTTAAGGCAATCACTTTTTTGTTTATTCTTCCTGAGACAATTTACACAATTTGTAAACATGTGGGTGTGTGTGTATTAATTCCTACATTAATAATACCATACCATACATTGCTTTGCTCCTTACTCTTTGTTTGTTTAATATATCTTGGAGACTATTTCTTATCTGTACATGTAATGCTATTTCATTTTTTAACGGCTTCATATTATTTCATTATATGAATAAACTGGAATTTATTTACTAGTTATCTATTTGTGGACATTTAGATTGTTTGTAATCTTTTGCTCCTATAAAATGTTTCAGTAAATATCCATATACAGGCCAGGCACAGTGGCTCACACCTGTAATCCCAGCACTTTGGGAGGTCAAGGTGGGTGGATCACCTGAGGTCAGGAATTTGAGACCAGCCTGGCCAACATGGTGAAACCCCATCTCTACAAAAATACAAAAATTAGCTGGGCCTGGTGGCGGGTGCCTGTAATCCCAGCTACTTGGGAGGCTTAGGCGGGAGAATCGCTTGAACCTGGGAGGCGGAGGTTGCAGTGAGCCGAGACTGTGCCACTGCACTCCAGCCTGGGCAACAGAGTGAGACTCCGCCTTAAAAAAAAAAAAAGATCTTTATACAAATATCTTACATATAAAGTGAAACTGCAGAGTCAAAGTGTATGCACACTTTACATTTTGATAACAATTGTCTTTCATTTATGTTGCATCAATTTATAATCTAACTGGTTATGTATAAAATTCCTTTCTTTTTATACTGTCTTCAAAACTCTGTGTTTTAAAATATTTTGATCTTTGCCTACCTAACAGGTTAAATTGCATCTCATTAGAGTTTTAATTGGTGTTTCTCTGAATGTAAATGAGGTTGCACATCTTTCTGTGTTCAAGAGAAATTCGTTATTTTTTAGTAAGAAACCTGTTCATCTTCTTTGCTCCTTTTCCTATTGGTTTGTTGGCTTTTTTTTCTTATTGTTTGTAGGACTTCTTTATTTATTAGATAAATCAATTATTTGTCTGGAATATGAGTTGCAAATATGATTTTGTAATTTGTTAATTTTTTTACTACTCAGAAATTTTAAATATTGGTGAAATTTATTGCTCTTTTCTTGTTTTTCCTGGATTTTGTGTCATACTTAGACCATTCTGACTCAGATTAAAAACAAGATTAATCTTGTTTTCTTCTATGCTTTTATGGTTTGATATTTCAGACTTTTATCTTTAATCCAGTTGGAAGTATAATAAAAAAAAAGAAAAGCTCAGAAACAACTAAGTAATACAAATTCAGCATTAATTAATAGTACTATTTCTATAGTATAAGTTAATCACTATCAATAAATTAATATGGAAAAGTTAAAAAAAAAGTGTGAAGTAATGACCCTATGTTCTTGTTTTTCCCACTGGCTGGCCAATCGGTAGTCTCACCATGCAGTACTTTTAAAGATGGATTTAGAGTAGTCTGAGAAGTTTTATAGCAGTGAGATCAGGCAGAAAGGAGCTCTCAGGGATCCCAGTGATAAATTCCAACACTTTCGTTTGCCTATACTGCTTTTATCTCTCTCCCTGCTCCCACCTGGGTTGCTCTTGATTTTTGTTGTTTTATCTAATCCCTGGGTGTTATCTAATCCCAGAATGGTCTCCCACCTCCCAGGGGAATTGGATTAGCCTTTCTGCTTCCTGTTGGAAGAAAGGAATAAGCAGGTACATAGCATGCATATGTCTATGTGATAAGACCCTTGACAAGCTGGACTAAGCTGTGAGGTACATATGAGGCCAGGTGGTCTGCATTATCTGACATTCAAGCTCCTTGGGCTTTTGAAGAGTGGTTAACTTGCCAGTGAGGTCACAGAGATTCTCATTAAGATTGCGGACTCCATGTATTTTTAAAATAATTCTGCTGTTTACCTAAACAGCTATTTATTGGAGGATATTGTTTAGAAGTTGGTGTAAAATATACTTAATGAATATGCTTATATCTCTGTGGGTAAGCATGTTATTTGTTGATATAATTTGGCTGTGTCCCAACCCAAATCTCACCTTGAATTGTAATAATCTCCACGTGTCAAGGGAAGGGCCAGGTGGAGATAATTGAATCATGGGGGCAGTTTCCCCCATACTGTTCTCATGGTAGTGAATAAGTCTCACGAGATCTGATGGCTTTATAAATGGGAGATCCCCTGCACAAGCTTTCTTGCCTGCCTGCCGCCAGGTAAGACATGTCTTTGCTCTTCTGTTGTCTTCTGCCATGATTGTGAGGCATCCCCAGCCATGTGGAACGGTGAGTCAATTAAGCATCTTTCGTTTATAAATTACCCTATCTCAGGTATGTCTTTATTAGCAGTGTGAGAATGGACTAATACATTTGTCAATACATATAACTTATTTATGGATTTCCTATTCTTTGCGTAGTCTTTAGTCAATAGGGACTCTGAAGGCTGACCTCATTTCTCCAGTGGCTGCAGCTTTTCCAGGAAGGCAAAAATGATTTATTTGGAAAAAAGCTTGGCAAAAAGCGTGGTATTGAGAAAGCTAATGCCAGCACCAGGCTTAGTTTCCTCTTCTTTTCTCTTGACCACACTCCCTCCCACCTCCTTCAGCATTCCCTCAGTCTCTCATTTCCCTACACCTGGGGCCCTCAAACCTCCTCCCCTTCATAGCTTCTGTCAAGAATTCAGTGTATAAACACACTCAGGTCCCCCATATATACAAAATGAGCCAACACCTCTCAGCCATTTCAATCTCCCTTTGAACTAATATCTAAATCTTTCATCCCTCTTCTTTCTGAAATTCTTGAAAGAATAGTTTATTCTTTCACTTGCTCATTCCTCAACCTTCTGATGTCTGGGCTCACCCCTATCATACCATTAATGTGACTATTGTTTGGGGGCAGCAATGCCACCCTTTAGTTGCCAGAGCCAGTGAAGATTGTCTAGATGCTATATTCACGATAGAGCACTCTCCACTGGACTTGTGCATTAGGTACTGCTCATCACCTTCTTCCTTCCAATTATCACAATATCCTCCTTTCCTCTAGTCTATCTCCCTCTCAAAGGTGAGCTCCTCTTCCCACTGCTTAAGCATCAAGCAGTCCCCAGGATTCTGGCTTCAGGCCTTGTTTTGATTGCTTCACATGATATCCACACATGATATGATGTGGATGACATCATGCACCTGTTGGGTACCAACTGTCGTATCTATCATTATATCCCAGTAGACTTTACCCTGAACCCTAGATTTGAAAATCCAGCCAACTGATGGTGGTCCCAAAGGCCTTCAAACACAGATGAGGACTGGGCTCAGCATCTATATTCTATATTGCCCCCTCTTCTTCTTCCTCTATTCTGCATCTAATTCAACAGCATCACTTTTCACTCAGTTGCCTAGAAAGGACACCAAACGGGTTCTTACTGCCTGTTCTTTCTTTTACCCTTACATTCAATGAAGTACCAGCTTCTGGAAATTTTGCCTCCCATGTCTTTAATTTCTTCTCTCCTCTGCGTTATTCAGGACTTCAGCCATTCTTATCTGGACTACTTTTAATTGGACACTTTGATTCTGGTTAGACCCATTTTTCAAACAGTTAACAAAGGGATCGCTTAAAAATCTGACTACGCCACTTCTTTCCTATTGCTTCGTGTTGCTTGTGGGATAAAGCCAACCTTTTTTGGGTTGCATTACAATACCCTCTTATCTGCTCTGCCTGCTTCTCTGCCCATTTCTTGCTATTCCTTGCCTGGTTCTTCTTTCACATTCCACAATGCAAAACAGCTGTAGTTCTCATCTGACCTCTTTGTTCAGTCTGTGCCCTCAGTCCATCCTCCCTTTATCTTTCATGAAGTGATGATTACTCTCCTGTAATACAGCTCAGGCATCATCCCTGGGGAAAGTCTCCCCTGAGGGCTCCCCATTCTATTTAGGTAGCCTTCTTGAGAGATTCAAGATACTCAGTGCCTATCTCTATCATTTCTCTTATCCTACTCTTTATTTCTTCTAAATAATTAGTATTTAAGCATCTTACCCCCTACTCTGGGCTTAGGGCAAGGATAAATACTGTGTTCTTATATTTCCTATGCTGGACTCAGAGCTTAGCACATGTTCTAACTCAGGGCTTGTTGAATTAATCTTGAATGACTGGTTGAAATTTAATGACTATTTGTACATAGATAAGCATGGCATTGTTGACTCAGAAAACATCCCAGGAAACACTTTTTATTAAACCAGATATAAATACAAATTCACATTTTTTTCTCAGGTTTATCAAGAATCTAGAGCAGAGATCCTAAGAAAACTACACTTCTCTGCCTTTCCAGTTTTCCTGTGGTCAGATTTTTTTTTAACTTGGTGTCTCTTGGGTATTGTTGAACATACTTGTATTCTCTTATTGTGATGCTACTGAAAGATATAGATTGAGGAGGATGGCGATTTTAGTAAATGTAGGAGTAAATATTGAAATGATTTCTTTAAAATCTGCTTTCAAGGCTGTTTGAAGCCATTTTTATAAAAAAGTTAGCCAGTTAAAAAATACTCAGAAGACATAGCTTACTCCAGTACCAGATGGTATTAATTGAAGGGATATTTCAATTGTGGTACCTTGCCATGAATTTCTCTGTGGAGCAATTATTCTACAGACCAGCACAGCTCTTGAATTAGTGTTACTAGTAGAGTCTTTTAAAAAACTGTTTACTGACTGACACCATAATAACAGCACTGCATGCCTGATGTGATATACGGTTTTGATTGTTGTTCCATATTACTGGAAGACTTCATCCACAATCAATCATCAAAGCAGTCAACTGCATTAGGAAATGAGGGCAAGCTTTTGTTCAGTAATGCATTTGATAAGTTTAATCTTCTAAACCTGGAACTAGGTAATGATATGGATAGTCTGTGTTCAAATGGAAAATAATTTATTGAGATTTTTGGCATGCAATTTCACCCCTGCTGGTCTAGAAACTCATTACAAGGTGAAAAGTGATTGCTAATCAAGATTTCCAGGCTATATTCCTTCCCTGGTAAGTCTTATCCCTCTGACTCCTGACATTTTATCCTAATTTTCAGCTGATATCAGCATGTAGCATGTCTTACCGTAAGTAATAAAATATTAGGGAGGTTTATGTGACATTTTGAAATATTAGGGAATAGTCATAAATTATGTAAAATGATTTTCCTTTATTTGGATTTTCTAATCATGATGTGTCTGAAATGGGGAATGTTTGAATCTGAGGAATTACACCATTAAAATGGCCCATTATCTGGAATCTCATCTTCTCATTGGTCTATAAAAGCTTGAAAGGTGCCTTATGCCTATTCCCTAGTTCTCCATTCCTAGATCTCTGCAGGGTTAGAGCTAGTAGGGATGGCATCGTGGTTGGGGCCAATGGGGCATTCGTAACTGGTATGAACTATTTCTAGGGCATTGAGAAATATGGGGGAGTGGAAATGGCCGAAATGGGATTTAGAGTGGAACCATATGGGAAAAATGTTACATGTGTTTTCACTCTTAATTATTTCACAACCACAATTAAACAAAAATTGCAATGTGCTGTTTGGTTTTGATACTTAAGTCCATTAAAATGAAATTAATAATAGTTAATCCATATTCTGAGAAAATAATGGCATTTATACTTCTGTGTAGTTTGCAAAAATACAACTTTTATTAATATCTTAAACATGCAGATTATAGAATGTTCATAGAAGTTAAGATATAGAATATCTTAAACTTTGCAGATTATAGAATGTGAGTATTCATTGTATTTGGAGGTTTTTTTGGTTTTGTTTTTATAACTAGGTATTAGTAAAATCTTAAACAATATTAAACTAAATATTGGGTGGGTGGTGTACTTTCCTAATACATTAACTGTGTACCAAAATGTGTATAAATCATCTTTTTGTGCCATCAGAGATAGTTGCTATTTAAAGGAGTTTTTGGTGAAGGCTTTTGTAAAACAAATTCTCATCCCCTAATCAGAATGTTTATGTGCTGAGTTTGGTTAAAGAAATGCATGCAGTTATATGTAAAGTTTAAATGGAATTTTAGAACTCAACAGAAAGCCTTTCTGGATCGTGGAAACTTTTCCCAGTGAAGTTATTTTGCTTTCTTAATGAGATTTTATAGCACAAGGGGTGTGTGTGTGTGTGTGTGTGTATGTATGTGTGTGTGTGAAGTTGAGCCTATTTAGATGAGAACATGGGAGGAGACTCCTCCGCTGACAGCACTTTTTCCCCTTTAGCCCTCCAGGCCCAAGCTGTGGGTCTTTTGGCACACAGAGGCTGAGACTGCCTGTGTGTTGAGTGGAGCCCAGTCAGACAAAATATGGGCCTGTGACTCACTGGGATTCTCCCTCTACATCCAGGAGCTGAACTTTCAATTTGGGCTGCTGCTTGTTGAAATGTGAAGTCATGAAGTGTTCAGGACGTTTTTATTTTTTAAATTAGTGATGTTTGTTTCATCTCCCACAGAGAGAAGTGTGGGTCAAAAAGTCAAAACTTCGTCCGACTTAAGGTGCTCGTTGCCATGTAACTCTGATCAGCACTTTCCTTGGTCTCATACACTTTCTTAAAACACGTTAATTTCATTTGGATTTCTGGCTCAAAATTGTAACTGAAAAGAAACAAATCCACTTTTAAATGTTTGAGAAACAAGGGAGCTCAAACTACAGCATGAACAAAAATGGCTCTCACAAGGAGCCCGCCAACAATTCTGCGAGGCTTTTATTGCATTAGTAGGTGGCTGATTCTATCTCATTTGACATTTGGTGCAATACCATTGTGATGCAGGACAGGTGGGCCCCAAAGTGGGACCTAGCCTGCCAGGGTTCTTGGCTTCCCCAGAGAAAGAATTCAAAAGCAAGCCAGTGGTAGGGTAGAAGAAAACAGCTTAATTGAAGTGGCAATGTTACAGCTCCAGCAGTGTGGCACTGCTGTGCTTTTCCTGCAGAGCATAGGCAGAGAATACCCCATAGGCAGTAAATTTATACCTACTTTTGATTGTATGAGATTAGCAGCTAGTTTATTGCAGAAATTTCTGGGAAAAGCGTAGTAACTTCTGGGTCATCAGGTTATTGCCATGGAAAGCGGGGATAGCTCCTGAGTGTTGCCATAGCAATGGTAAATTGACATGGCACACTGGTGGGCATGTCTTATGGAAAGCTGCTTCCACAAGGCCCTATTGTAGCTAGTCCGCAATTTGTTCTGGTGTCTGTACCCTACCTCTGGAGTTGAATTCTGCCTCTTACCTCATTCTCCTCTTAGATGAGATACTCCTCCTTAATCTTAAAGGGGCTGCAAAAGGGCAGAGGTCTGTCTTCTGATTACTTCCTGCCGAGTTTATGGGCATGGGCACTGCCTAGCACCAGAGGAGTAAATATCTCCGGGTACCTGACCTAAGGGGCCCAGAGGCAGGACAGTTTTATTCTTTGGGTCAGCAGGTGGGATGGGTTGGAAGCCTTGTGCCAGCATTGTCTTTACCTGGAACTGCTGTAATCCAGAAGATACAAAACTTTAATAAGACGTTAAACAAACTAGGGTCAAAAATTAGTAACAAGAAGATTGCTATCAAAGGTCCTAGGAGAGGTAAAACCCAAGTAAGACTTGGAAAGGCACTTTTGATAGTCAACCAGTTTTAGTTGCGGTCAGTGCCCTTGCTGTATCTACATAACCAGGTAGATTGCTCATAAATCTTTGAGTGTTAATTTCAACTTGTCCAGAGTTGTTAATATATGAGCAGCAGGTTTTATTAATAACTGCACAGACTCCACCTTATTCAGCTAGTAAATTATCCAAAGCTAGTCTCTTGTCAAGGACTACATTTGCTAAAGAGTCCGGGGACTTTTAAATTCCCTTTAATTCCTGGCCTGTTTTAAGGAACATGGATGCGCTGCAGCCAGGCAGGCATAGGCTGAGGTAAATATCCTGTGTGACTTGGTGGGATTGGAGCACAGGTGCACAATTCTGTGTCTTGTATAATCATAGCTATGTCAACATAACAGACTCATCACCTGGCTCTCAGCCACTATTGTTTGTGAGGTGTATAAATGCAGCACTGACACCGTGAAAGAGCTGAATAAAGCCATGTCTCATCTACCTGCTGTCGCGAGTGTTCTTCCAGCTCCCTGCCCCCTTGTTCACCCACTCCTCTCGGACCTCAGCTGGGGTTCAAACCTGACACCAGTGTTGGTGGCTAAGGATTCTAGGGTTTGAGTTAAATTCTTTAGGGTTAACTCATGGTAGGCAAGGTTGCCCCAGGGTGCTGCTAGTCCTTTCGCTGCCCTGATTCCTGCCAGAATTAACCCTATTGCTTGTTTACTTCTGGTATTCCTGTGTCTTAAGGGGTTATAGACAGTGACCCCTGGAGGGGCTAGGGTAACCAATGTAATTCACCTCTATTCCAAGTTTTTTGACATACAAGGGAAAGCTGTTCCTAAAGAAGAGGTGACTCCCTGGGGAGTCAGGAGTTATGAGGTGTGACTTCTTCCCATTCATGGCCACAAACAAAAATGAGCCCAATTGGGGCACAAACAGAGGCCCTCTGGGGTGTGATGTTTATTCTTTCCTGTCAAGTTGGGTCTATAGAGATATTTTCCCCCCGATCCCATGGAGATGGTCAGACAATCTTTGTTTTCCAGAAGGGGGCAGTAGTCCCACCTTCACAGACAAGGCAGTTGTTTTTCTCTTGCGTGATCTAGGAGAAGGCATCACATATGGTCTCCTTGCTTAAAAATGGAATCCCTTTTACCTCGCTGTGGCCTTGGGAGCTTGGCAACTAGAGTTGGATCAGAGCATAGCAGGGAAACTTTTACTTTTTAGATATCCAACTTCCCAGGTCCAGGTAACAGTGGTGGGCAGACTCAGGTGGAATTTGTTAAGTAGGGGAGCGTTCCACTTAACAAGTAGGAGTCTGGGTATTTGGGGATCCCTATGGTTAGTTAAGAGGTCTGGGGAGATGGTCGTGAGATTTTCTGGATAAGTCAGAAGGTAGAACTCTGTCGTGAGAATGTTGATGACAAATCCAGCAACCACAAAGATGATTCCCTGATGTTATAGTTGTTGAAATATTTACTATGGAGTTACGTTCCCACCCATGCTGAATCAGGGTAACAGGGAGAGCAAATGGGATTAACAGTGACAGCGTGGTGTCCGGTTTGGACCTTAGAGTGGCCTCTACACCCAACAAGGACAAAAATGTTTCCTAGGAGGTTGGCTAAAGTAACAGAAAAGAAGTATTATAATCAGCTAGAAGAGAAAAATTAAGCTCGTATTCCCACCCACAACATCACATTACCACTTGTAGCTGAGTGTTGATTCTTTTAAGTAGGTAGCAGAGAGCCTCCAAAGGCTCACAGATGTAGACCATAGTGTCCTCTTGTGCCTGTGATTCATAAAAAACCGCTTTAATCCTGGGCAGGTGTGCCCAGTAGTTATTCCCTGAAGTCTATCAGCTGTGGGGGTACTCAACAACACCGGATAGTGGCCCCTCCATTTTGGTTGTATTGATCTTCAGGGGATCCTTCTTTCCAAGTTTTTAGCAGGACTAAGTCTCCTGGTTGAATGGGGGATTCAATATTTCTCTGGTGGGAGGGGGCGATATTTTATTTCCATAGGCTTGGAGGGCCTTTTGAACCTGGCCTAAGTCGATAATATGGGTGAGCTTTCTATGTGTCCCCTCATCAAGCAGGAGATCTGAATTTAAAAAGGGCCTTCCCTAAGTCATCTCAAATGGACTAAGTTTTAGAGTTCCCTTTGGGGCCATCCTTACATATTGTCTGGGGGATCCCTGAGCTGTTAGGAGTCCCCTTTCTTTCCATATAGCAGCATGAGCATGGGGTACCAGGAACCCCTATTTGGAGTCAGTAAATACATTGACTCTTAAGTCTTTTCCCAATTGGAGGTCCCTAATTAAAGCAGGCCGTTCTGCTTTTTGAGCGGGAGTTTAGGGTGGCAAAGCTTTTGCCTCAATGACCTCTTTTGGATAACTACCACATAACCTGTGTTTCTTACTCCATCATGCACAAAGCTATTCCCATCTGTAAACCATTCAACATGGAGATTAGTCAGGGGCTCATCTTTGAGGACAGGCCTGCTCTTGTAGGTCTGTTCAATGGTTTCCACACAGCAATGAGTAAGTTGGGGATCTGTTTTCTGGGATGTGAAGTCCAGAAACAGGGTAGCAGAGATTAAAACTTGACACACTTTAAGAGTAATATCTGGGGTATGAAACAGAAGGATCTGATATTTAAGTAAGTAACCTCCTGTCACTGCCATTAGTGTCCTTTTGCATCTAGAACCTCCTGTACTTGGTGAAGGGTGATGACATGTAATTGTTGTCCCAAGGTAAACTTCCTGGCTTCTTCTACCAATAGAGCAGTGGTGACCGCAGTTTGCAAGCATCCTGGCCACCCAGCTGCCACCTTGTCTAGCTGTTTAGAAAAGTAAGCCACTGTTCTAGGGCTAGTCCTGACCCTTTGGGTTAGGACACCCCAAGCCATCCCTTGTTTATCAGCCACAGAAAAGATGAAAAGTTTTTCTAAATTAGGGAATCCCAAAGCAGGAACTGTTCCTAGTTTTTCTTTTAGGATTAAGGATGATTGTTGGCAGGTTCTATCCAAATTCAAAAGCTCATGATCACTTCCTTTCAGAGCTTCATAGAGTGGTTTTGCTATAAGCCCAAAGTTGGGAATCCAAATCTGGCAAAATCTGGCCATTCCCAAAATGGCTTTTAACTATCTTGGTCTGAGAGGGCTAGAGTGCCAAGATGGCCTTGGGGTGGAATCCTGCACTAGAGAACTGGTGAGGCCCCTCCCTTAGACTAACGGATTAAAGAGTCTCTGAAGGTCGGGGGCACAGGCCTCCTAGGGGGAGCAGTTAGGAGGGGGCCATCTAGAATACGTGGTGCAGCTTCTGGGTGCCTGGGAGTATCATGAGCCAGACACACTCTACAGTTAGCCCTTAGGTTAGGATCCTGGTGGCAGGCCATAAAAGCCTGCACATAAGAAACTTCCTCCCATTTTGCTTGCTTTTTACAAAGCAAATATAATTGTACAATATTATTGTAATGTAAAAAACCATGCCTAGGCAAAATCTGTTGGCTTGCCAATTTGTAGTGAACCCAAACATTACTGCAATAGTAAATGAGTTTTTTTCTTTTTCAATTTGTCTAACTTAAATTTGTTCCAAATGTCTAAAAGCCTAGTGGTGAGTCCCTCGGGATGCTTGCTGTTGTCCCCATGTCTAGTAAAGATTTCTACACGGGGTTTCGGTTAGCCTAAGTTTAGCAAATGCTTAGTTACTTCTCCCTTTTAATTTCCCACTTCCTACAAAATACAGATAATAAGGTGCTATGAAAGTGGATTGTGCACTACAAATGAGCAGTTGGAGGTTGAGCCTAAATTCCACAGAAAGAGAGGGTTATGCAGAGAGGGGCTAAACAAATGGCGACTGTGGAAGGGAGGAAGGGAGGAAGGTGGGTAAACAGCATCGCCTAAGGGGAAACCTTGGAAGCATTGACTTGTGGGAGAACTTACCCAGCAGCGGAGACACTAAAAAAATGTTTAGGTGGTCATTCATCTACCACTGTAGGTGGCTGTCTATCAGGCCAGGGGCCTGGAAACGCCCGGTTCCTTTGACCAAGAGAGGCTTGAACAAGGCAGTATTAAGTCAGCCACAAGAAAGGGCTTGCAACGGGATTATTATTAGGAAAATAATAACTTCTAACTTCAGGGTAGAAAAAGGGAAGAGCAATATTCCTCTAGGGGGACCACAATCTTAGAGGAAATGTCAGTGCTAAATACCTCAGAGCATCTAGGTGCTGGCTAAAATAACGCTGAAAACCCAGAGTGCCCAAGTTTCAACGAATGAGGGTCCCCCTACTCCAAATGTGAAGACCCCTGGGGCACCCAGGGTGGGGTTGGCCAACAGTGAACCCAAAACGAAGCTGGGGTCACTGAACAATATGACTCTGGCATCTCAGGGTCAACACAGTAGGGGATCTCTCACAACCAAGTGCCCTGCCTTTAACAACTGCCCAAACACAAAGTCCAAAGCAAACAAAAGACTGCAAACAAAACATACATCGTAGAACTAAAATAGCATGACTGGTGGAACAATAAAATGGAGTCAGAGGAGAACTGGGAGAGGGATGATGGGGACGTGCTTCAGGGCACCCAAACTGTGCAGGACTTTCGACTGACCAATTAGCCAAAGGCTTTTATTTTGTTTCCTAGCTCTCCCGATATTATGGGGACCATGGGGGAGAGAGGATACTCACCCATCCGCAGGAACCAAAATGGCACTGACTGATCTTCCACATGGGACCCAGTTGAATGTCTCTCCAGATTTCCTCACCTTGGGTGGGCTTGGCTGTCACACAGGATGTCTGGTGCAAATGCTGGTAACCTATTGAGCTGTTGGTTAGAGCAGCGAGTCTCACATGAGGCAGCAGCACTATGGTCACTTGCCCATCCACTCAGCTCTGTTGCCTGCCAGGGAAAGTGATGGCTCTGAAAAGAGCCTTTGGCTATTAGTACAGCTCTATAGTATTAGCTATTTATTGTTACAGCCTTTGTGTTATAGCTCTTGCAGCCTCTATCACAGACTGCTTTGCTGTCTCTTGCCATCTCTGCTTGTTGTCTCACTGATCGGTCTCTTGCTGTCTCTCACGGTCTCTTGCTGTATTCTTGCTGTCTTTGCTGACTGCCATCTCCTCATCTCTCGCATTCTATGGCTCACTGTCTTCAACCCTTTGTTAATCACCGAATGATGGAGGGCAGCTGAGCCTCAAAACTGGGGCTTAGCCTAGGAGGGTTCTTGTATTTTCCCAGGAAAGAATTCAAAGGCAAGCCAGTAGTGTTATACAGCAACTTTTATTGAACTGGCAGTGTACAGCAGCATCAGAGGTTCTGCTCCTTGTGGAACAGGGTTGCTCTGGGCACACTGCCTGTTGGGTAGCCCTTGAATTCCTTCCTGGGTGAAGCTGAGAACTCTCTCAGGCTAATCTCTAATTTTGGGGCTCACCTGCCTTGCATCAGTTGCATCTATGGCAGGCTGTGCTGACCCCATATGAGGCTCCATTGCTAGAGTTGCTTTCTGGGTAGGGTCATGAATGGCCTTGTCCTGAACTCCCTTACCTGATCTTCTTATGGCCACATTTGAGGATGTTGCTAGAGTTTGGGGAAAAAAACAAAAAACAGTTGTGTATGATTCTTCATCTCATGGAGATGAGAGAGCCACGGATACACAGGTACTAGTGTGTGTGTGTGTGTGTGTGTGTATACATGCATGCATCAGTGTGTGTAAAACTACAAATATTCTGTTGCCTTAGGATAAAACAATATGACTTACTTAATACTAAGTTTCAGTATTATGATTTATAAAACAGTAGAAAGAAAAAAGTGCTGTGACAAAATAGTGCACAATTTAAACAAGAAGAAAATACATTTTAAAGGTAATGTAAACCTCTTTCAATGGACTTTGCCAGGTGGTGTACAGGACAGTGACCTAGGGCCCCAGCTCCTCAGGGCAAGCATAGCAGGCTGTGTGCAGAGTACCTAGGTGTTCTTTCTGAATGATGTCTTTCCTGTATAATTTCAGGTGGAATGAGGAATGACCTCATGTTAATGAATAGCAGTTTGATTATTGGTGAGGAAATTTTCTCTTTAGAATGAGAA
Source organism: Homo sapiens (assembly GCF_000001405.40). Classification (NCBI taxonomy): domain Eukaryota; kingdom Metazoa; phylum Chordata; class Mammalia; order Primates; family Hominidae; genus Homo; species Homo sapiens. The sequence continues at coordinate 158,917,455 of NC_000003.12, forward strand.
TTATTGTTCTGGGTTTGGAGTTCATGTATGGAACTCAGGGGTTTCTGACTCTTGAAATTATATTGAAATGTTTGGAGGTACTTGTATGTATGTGTTTTTTTCACAGATAGGTTTGTATATGTGTACATTTTTCTAGGGATAGGTTCTGTAATTTTTCTCAAGTTCTCAAAGGGGCATGTGAACACTCCTACACTGGTTGTACAATCATGTCTTAAATGATTTAGGGTTTTAGGTCTTAGGGGTGGTGGATTGAATTATTGTTCTAAAGTATTCACTGTGCCTCCACATTGGCACTTTCCTGGAGAAAGATTAGAGTCCCACCCCACTGATGTTGAGCTTGGCCATGTCACTTGCTTTGATTGTTAAAATGAGTGGCTATGACACATGACACTCCTGAGCAAAAGCTTTAACAGCCATTGTTTGATTCTACCATCACTCTTTTACTTCTGCCATGTGACTGACATGTCCCAAAGAGGAGCTGCATCTACTTTCTTGACTGAGAATGAAGAACTGGAGCTGAAGTTGACTCTGGAATATCTCACGCTAGTAAGAAATAGACCATATTGTTGCAAGCCACTGAGATTTGGGGGTTCTTTGCTGCTGGCAACATATCTTGGCATGAGCCGACTGCTCCAGTAGGTGGCAGCCTGGGTTACATTCAGAATCTTACAGGACACCACTGGAAGGCCCTGGTGTGATCAGCTTCCTGCGGTTTAGTCCATTAATGAGTGACACATTTTTCCTGTGGATTCTGTGTGTTGCTTCAAGGTTTCCCCATGGAGACAGAAATAAGATATTAGTCCTGTGGGGTTCATCTGTTGAAACTCAGAGGCCATTTTTTCAGGTTCAGAGTGCTTCTCTAGCAGAAGGGAGCCACTCCATGCCTGTTTCTTCCCTCTGCCCTGTGGCTAAGTGTGTGTAGGAAAAAAATCACTGATACGAGGAGGTGTCTGAAGTCAGGAACAACTCTTTGAAGCATGACACAAACCACCTAACGCAATAGTATGAACATATTGAAAAATTATGGGGTGCATATCATTTGTGCTGCAAAGTATACTATAGATTTATTTTCTAAAATGCTCCCTTACTCTAGGAATGACAAGGATGAAGAATAGGTGTTACCACAGTAGGGCACAATGAAAGGCCACCCAAGTGAGAAAACAGATTTCATAGGTGACTCATAAACAAAGTACTACCTTCAGGAAAATAAAGAAGCCATCCATTACCCAAACAAAATGCGTAATAAGGACAAGTGCTTCATCACCTCATGTTTGACGGCTAGAAGTCAGAACTTTCATAAGGGAAACACTGCAAAATCTCATTCTTTAGTCAGAATGGGCTGCTCCTGAATCAAAGAACTATTCTGTCATTGGAGAGATTTGACTTATTCCATACCCCCAGATTCTTAACTACTGCCACCATTAAGTGGTTTTAATTTTTAATAATTTTATTGCTTTTAAAAAAATCTGCACTAAGTTAATTATCCCTATTAACTTAAAATGGGGAAGGTTACTGGCCAGCTCATAAAAGATCTGCCCTGAAACCTTTTACCCAATGGAAAATAATTATAGGAAACCATATTGCTATGTTATTAATACTCCAAGTGGGATAATTTCCTAACCCAGTACGGTACATCTAAGAAAATGTTCAACTTTTCATCATAGCTTGTAAGACTTTATTATTTCATTTATGGCATTTATTCATTTAAGGCTTATTTATTGCCTGTTTTCTATTTGCCAGGTACTGTTCTTGGTGTTGGCTCAGCAAAGACTCCACCCTCGAGGTGGTCACATTCTAATGAGGGAAGGCAGAAATTAAGTACTAACAACAAAGATAAATAAATGTGGAATATGTCAGGTGGTGATAAATACTCTGGAAATGATAAAGCAGAGTAAGGTGAGGTAGAGAATTATGGGCAGAGATATTATTTTATACAGGATCATCAGGGCAGTTCTCATTGATTGAGGGCATTTATGAAAGTCCTGAGTGAAGTGAGGCAATGGCCATGTAAAGATCAGTTGGAAGAGTGAGGAATTGGATTTACGTCTCATTTTACTCATAGTCCTGCAAAGTTGTATGTAAATTGAATTTTAAGCATATTATGAAAGCTTATTATAACTTTTTTGGTAGTGAATCTTTCTCTAAAATGAAGATACCATTGGCAAAATAAACAATTATGCCCTCAAAGTAATCTGCATTGTAAGTGCAAGTTTCTACACATTGAATTCACTTTAAGAAGGCTACACATGTTCAGGGTACGATGTTATCAATGAATAATGGATATGAAGAAGAGTTTTGAGTTAGTGAAAAGTCTTAGGTATAGATTTTTATTTTTAAAAAAGACTTACTATTTAAAAGTATGTCTAATTATAAACAAATTAACAGTGTTGCATAGTTGAGGCTCTTAGAATACCTCTTCGAATAACCAGAATGCTTTATGATTAACATATGCAAATCACATAAATACATGCTTTCAAAATGTCTGAGAGTTCTTAAAAATGATTTCTGTAGTTAGGTTAGCATTATCTTCGTACTCTTATTTACCCTGAGGATATGCTGGAAACACACATTTTTCAAAACTAGGATAGACATAACTCAGGTCTTGGACAGGCTATCATAATTTCTAAGTAAGAGGTGTTTAAATCTCTGAGATTGTGTACTGCTTCTCTAAGTTATCCTCCTTGGATTCACTGATTGTTGAAAAACCCTTTTAACAGAAAAGAGTGAGTTACAAAACTTGTCATCACCCCCATTAAAAAATAACCTTTATGCATAAATTTTGACTATAACAAAAACTGCATGATCTGGTGGTGGCAATCCAAACCTCAGGGAATATGAGCTTTGATTGCCATTGCTATTTTAGAACATTAAGGTTGCTGTTAATTTGTAGAAAAATTTAACTGGTGTGAAGGTAAGCAACCAGTAGAAGAAACAAGGTTCCACATCTCCTTCACCTTCTTGCAACCTTCCCCTTTACCCCTTTCAGTAGGTACAACAGATGATAATGAGGTCCAATCAGATTTATCATTTTAGCATTATGACCTGTTTCAGGATTGGAGATTTCTGGGGAGTGCTTTTGTGACACTCCCTTTCCCTCCTGCTCCCTCACAGAACACTCACTGAGTCATCCAGATTACTGCACTGTTGCTGTCCCATGCTCACCACTTAGACATCTTTCTTAGGGTTACCTGATGTGCTGTTTTTGCATGTATTTTCTCTATTAAGTTAAATAACACAGCAGTTACTTTTAACATGTAAAAACATTTGTCTCTTCATGGCAGCATGGTATTTTGTAAGCAAAACACTTTCATCTTTAATTTACAGGTGTGCCAGACTGAGCTCTTTGAAAAAAGTCCAAACTTGGTTTCTCTTTTCTAAAAAATTTGTTTTCTATTTTTTCCGTGTGGTTTCCTCTAAAGAAGTCTATTTGTTCATATCTGGGCCTTGAAATAGGGCTTGACAGTATTATAAAATCAATAAATTCTATTTAAAGCACCAAACACAATCCCAGTGGGTGAGATTGAGGGGCCAGCTTTCCTCCTGGTTCCAAACAATCTTCTTTCTGTCTCTCCTCTCTCCATCTCTCCACCCTCCCCCTTTTCAAGCTTTTACATGCTTATTTTTAAAGTGGGTTTTCTTCTTGCACTCTTGACTTCTATATCTGCTGTATTAGTTTTCTAGGGCTGCTATAACAAAGTATCACAAACTAGGTAGCTTAAAACAGTAGAAATTTATTATCTCGGTTCTGGAGGTTAGAAATCTGAAATCGAGGTGTCGTTAGGGCCATCTTCTCTCCAAAGTCTCTACAGAAAAATCCTTCCTTGCCTCTTCTGGCTTCTATTGTTTGCCAGCAATCCTTGGTTTCCTAGGGTTGTTGTACATCATTCCAGTCTCTGCTTTTGTCATCATGTGGCATTTTCCCTGTGTATCTGTTTCTCCATGGTGCTTTTTTTTACCCTCTCTGTATCTCTGTCCAAATTTTCTTCTTATAGGGACACCATTCATTGGATTAAGTCCCACTCGAATCCAGTATGACCTCATTTTAACCTGATTACATCTGCTAAGACCCTATTTCCATATAAACCCTCATTCTGAGGTTCCAGGTGGGTATGGCTTTTTGGGGACACTAATCATTCCTGTACACCTGCCCAGAGCTATTCTTACTGAGGGCTTATAAGTGGTCTAATATCAGCAATTCTAGCCTAAGTCTTTTCTTTTGGGAAATATTTCAATTACATGTCATTTTTTTTTCTTTTTTGGGGTAAACTTTCAATCAAAATTTAACATAATACAGAACACATCCACAAATAAGTGAATGTATTTTTAGAGTGAGCAAAGCCACGTAACTACCACTCAGATCAAGAAATAGAACATCACCAACAACCCAGAAGCCTCCATATGTCCCCTCCCCAGTCATTGTCTCCTTTGACTAGTCTCTATTGTGACTTCAATCCCTGTTAAGTTTTGCTTGTTTTTTTAATGTGATACATATATACTCTTTTTTATCTGGCTTTTTTTTTGCTCAACTTTGAGTTTCATCCATACTATAGTGTGTAGCTGTAGTTTGTTCATTCTCTTGGGTGCCTAGTATTCCATTCTATGAATATGCTACAGATATTTTTCCATGCTATTGCTCGTGGACACCTAAATTATTTCCAGTTTTTTGCAATCACGAATAATACTTTGTGAATGTTTTTGTGCATATCTTTGGATGCACCTCTATATGTCTTTGTGTTTGCTACCTGCTTAGAAGTAGAATTGTTAGGCCATAGAGTATGTATTTATTTAGCATTAGCAGATACTCTGTTTTCCAAACTGATTGCACCAGTGTACACTTAGACCAGAAGTGTATGAGAGTTTCAGTTGCTCTGCATCTTTGCCAACATTTGGATTTTTTTTCATTTTAGCCTTTTTGGTGAATACATAATAAAATTTCATTGTAGTTTTCAGTTGCATTTTCCTGATGATTGATGATCTTGAGCATATTTTACTATATTAACTTGCCATTCAGATGTTCTTTTGTGTAGTGCTTTTGAAAATTATTTTGCTCTTCATTTTATTAGATTTCTATCTTTTTATTTGTAATTTATAACAGTATTTTAAGTATCCTGGCTATGAATTCTTGTCAGATATGTGGTTCAAATTTTTTCTACCAAGCTGTGGTTTCTTTTTTCTTTCTTCCTGGTGTTTTTTAATCATGTCAATTTATGTATCTTTTCATCTATAAGATGAAAAGGTGACAGCTTTTTATAACTTATTTAAGAAATCTTTGATTGCCCCAAGTTCATGAAGATATTCTCATGTTATCTTCTAGATGATTTATTTTTATTTTGCATTTAGGCTTATAATCTATTTGGAATTGATTCATACGTCTGTGTGAAATAGAAGTCAAGGTTATTTTTCTTACATGAATATCTAATAGATCCAATGCCATTTATTGAAAAGATAGTACCTTCCCATTTTTATCGAAAATGAATTTTATATGTGCAGGTCAGTTCTTAGACTTTCTACTCTGTTTAACTTGGTACCAATACTATTTTGTTTTTGTTGCTATAGCTTTATAATAAGTCTTGATATCTAGTAGTATAAGACCTCAGAGTTTGTTCTTCATTTTAAAGATTGTCTTAGCTATTCTTGGCTTTTTGTATTTCAATAAAAATTTTAAAATCAGCTTGCAAATTTCCAAAAATAGTACCTGTTAGGAATTTGGAATTATTGAATGTGCAGATTAATTTGAAGAGAACTGACATCTTTACAATATTTAGTATTCTAATCAATGAAAATGATATATTCTATTTCAATGATGGCAAACTTAGTAGAGTCAGACTGTAAATATTTTAGAATTTGAGGATTATATACAGTTGCTGTTGCATATTCTTATTCTTTCTTTTTGTTTTATAGCCCTTTAAAAATGTAAAAACCGTTTTTAGCTCACAGGCAGGAAAAAAAACAGGCTGTAGGCTGCAGTTTGCCAATCCCTGCTTTATTTATTTAGTTTTTATTTACTATATCTAATAATGTTTTATAGTTTTCTGGGGAGAGTTTTTGCATTTAAAATACTACAGTTAAGTAGGAAGTCAATTATATTATTTTTAAAGATACCTTTTACCAGATTAAACAAGAGCCCTTCTATTTCTACTTTGCTAAGAGTTTTTACATAAACACCATGGAATACTATGCAACCATAAAGAGGAATGAGATCATGTCCTTTGCTGGGACATGGAGGAGCTAGAAACCATTATCCTGAGCAAACTAACACAGGAACTTATAAGTGGGATGCTGTTCTCACTTATAAGTGGGAGCTGAACAACACACACTGGGGCGTGTGTGTGTGTGTGCACGCGTGCATGCGTGTGGGCTGGGGAGGGGTCTGGGGAGAGGGAGAACATTAGGATAAACAGGTAATGCATGTGGGCCTTAATACCTGGGTGATGGGTTGATAGGTGCAGCAAACCACAGTGGCACACATTTACCTATGTAACAAACCTGTGCGTCTTGCACATGTACCCTGGAACTTAAAATAACATTAAATTTTTTAAAAAAGTTTTTTAAATTATTAATGACTGTTAACATTTATCAAATGCTTCTTCTGAATCAATTAAGATGATCATGATTTTTTTCTCTTACTAGTTAATGTGGTTAATTATAATTTTCAAATGTTAAACCAACCTCGCAGTCCTAGAGTAAACCCCATTTGGTAATTGTGTAGTATCGTTTAATATCTATATCTATATTGCTGTTTTCTTGTATATATTTTCATGAGAGAGATTGGCCTGTAGTCTTGAAATGTCTTTGTCATGTTTTGATAGAGAGGTTATGCTGACCTCTTTTCTATTGTCTTTTTGTATTGTCTGAAACAATTTGTATTTTGAGTGAGGTCATCTTCGTCTCTCAAGACCAGCCCAGTTGCCAGCTGAATACCACTGAATGAACAAGTAAGTACAGTTGGCCCTCAGTATCTGTTGGCTCCACACCTATGGGTTCAACCAATTTCAGATCAAAAATACTTTTTAAAAATTCTGCAAAATTCCAAAAAGCAAAGCTTTAATTTTCTGTGTGCCTTGTGCTATGTTGAATCCATGTGAAGTGATATGCAAGCATTGTATTAGGTATTATAAATAATATAAATATAGGTTATGTGCAAATACTACACCATTTTATACAAGAGACATATAAAATCAGAGAATTCTCAGATGTTGGTATCTGTGAGGGATCCTAGAGCCAATCCCCCATGGATACCAAGAGATGATCATATATACATAGTGATACTACCATTGGTTAACTGTGGGACTATGAGAAAGTCACTTCTGAGACTCAGCTTCATCATCCATAAAATGCTACAGTTGAATCTTTAGGTAAAGTCTAGCTTTAATGGCCTGTGATTCCCTTTCGTTCTCTATTTCTTGGAATGTGCCGTGAAGATTGTGCTTTGCAAAGTGCTTTGAGCTGTTTTTCCTCACTCCTACAAGATGGCGATTCTAATGCTCTCAAGCATTTGTTTTGAAATTTATATTGAATTATTAATAAAGTATCCTCTGTGGAGAATAAGTTGAATATAGTAGGGAACTCAAGACATATGAAGATCTCAACTAGGAAATATCTGTCCTTTTCACTTGGTAGCCAAACTGTCACTGGAGATGAAGAGAGGGCCTTGGCCACTGTGCCAGGTGTGCCTGCTACAGTTCTTGGAAAACAGAGGCTGCTCAGTAGAGGAGGGTGATATATCTTCCTGACAAAGCTCCTGCCAGGAGACGATGTGCATAACTCAGCCCTGAGCCTTTCTATGAGCTCTGCCAAATCCGACAGACAGGTAACAAAACACTGAAAAAAAAGTAATGTCAGCCCAGCCTGGCGAGTGCCAACACCGCTCCCTTAATTACTCTACCTAGTGACAAAAGCTATTCATCAAACTCGAAATAAAGTGGTTTTAAAGTCAGAAATTTATGTGCCAGCCAGTGAGAGGCTGTAATTTTGGGGGCATTGGTTTAAAGCAACATAAAGCAAGATGAAAACAAATTGGAGAGCCAGGTAACTTTTCATTTACACAATGGCACCATCAGGTTTGTCTTTGGTTCTTTCTGATTTTCTCACCATGTCTTTCTCCCCACATTCTAGCCAAATAAAACTTTTGATCCAGGCCAAGATCCCATCCTGAAGCCAAAAGGAAGATTAATTCATTCTTGATTTACTTATTAAACATTTGTTGTATTAAATAAGTAGAGTGAAAAGAAGGCCGAGTAATCCTGGAGGAATTTATTTATTCAACAAGCATTGACTACCTACAATGTGCCAGACATCAACAAAAGGGCTAGGAAAATGGTGGTAAACAAGACAGCAAAGAAATGTTTTCTTATGGAGCTCACATATGTATACAGAAGAAAACGTAAATACATAAGAAGATGTGGATAGTGATAAATGAGAATGATGGGGGGTGGGCAGGGAAACACAAGAAGAGGCATGTGGAAATGTAAGCACTAGAGCAGCGGTCTACTTAGTGCATCTGGTGAATGGAAAATGGGCCAGTGTGGCTGGTGTGGGAAAGAGTGGAAATAGACAAGGTCGGAGAGGTTGACAGGGCCAGATCAAGAAGGGCCTTTGAGCCAGAATGAGGAGTGAGGATTTCATTCCAAGTACAGCATAAGCCAATGGAGAGTTTTAAGCACAGTGATCATGTGACCAACACTTATTGAAAGTGAAGGATTTGAAAGGGTTTTTGCAAAAGAAGTCATTATCTAATTCAAGATTTATTGAGCTTAAACAATTATTGAACCTTTGTTATGTGCCAGGTGCTGACGACAGAAAGATGAATAAGATGCTGACTCTGTCCTCGAGGTACATACAATCCAGTGGAGACACACAGTCTTGTGCATGAATAAGAACAACATGGCAATAATGAGCAACAGTGCCTTTGTGGGGCAAAGTCATGTGGTGCCACTTCCATCTGTTTTATTAACAAACAGAACATGGTCTCTTAAAAGAGGCTTTTCTGGATGTGCTTTTTGTTTTTTTAAGTGCTGAAAGGTATGTACTACATTCCAGAAGATAAATATGCCCCTAGTTTGGCTCTCCCAGAGGAAGTGTGAGCATTCTAAGAAGAGGCACAATGGAACCAAACGTCTCAAGACTTGTGTTCTCTTCCCTACATGGTTGGGAGACACTGAAATGAGAGCAGGTGTTTTTGGGAATCCAGTCTTCATTTTCTTCATCAGTAAAAGAGGGTTAAAATATTTGCTCTATAAAGTCCCCTCTAGCTGTCTCATTCTGAAACCCAAGGGAAGCTTTGTCTGGATCATTCATTTATAGGCTACATTTTTGCCTTAGTAATAGGGAATACTAACTTTGAACCCCAATAAAGCAAAATGTTATCCCCCAAGGAGAATTATAGTCTTCCCATTAGTAGATGTATATTGCAAAACTTGTACTTAATTATGATTATTTAAAATTTTTGAATATTTGTAAAAATTTTATAGAATTTTAAAAATGCTTTTGAATTTTAACAACTTGTAGAATATTTTTTTCTCTCTTGTCTAGCTAGGTACCTATATTATATCCTTGATTTTGTCTCATGTCCTGAAAAGCCTAAAATGTGGATCTTTATCAAAAAAGAATGCCAAATCTTGTTTTAAAACTGGAATGCTGTGGAACACAATGTTTCCCAGAGAGAAATCCCTGAAATTCTATTCCCACTGATCTTCAATGCAGAAGAGGTACCATGGTCAAATGAAGGCCCTGACAATTCCTGAAGTAATAACAAATTCACGACCACAATCAAATGAACGTGCAAATCCATTTCACTGTGTTTAACTGAATGTTTTTCAATATCTGTGAAGACAGACTGTTCATTGGAAAACAATCCTCAAAATGCACATTGGGCCCTGGCCGTGAGCTGGGTTCTGTCTGGCACACTCCTGTGTTCTCTAGGCATGTACTTTTATTCAAAGCCTCCAGCTGCAATGGTAGGGAAGTCTATGTTTGTTTCAAGTTATAGTCTTTCCCCTTTGCTGGACCATCTTGGCTGCAAACTGGGAGCCACACATGCCGAAACAATACATTTTCCTCCAAATCCTGGAACTGTTCCTTCCTAAAGTCCCATGCCTGGATGCCAGTGGAAGCAGTCTGGCCTCAGATTGAGGAGATCTGAATCTACAGACAATGTAAGACATTGAAGTTGCTTTTCCTTATAGAGGTGAGGGGTTTGAGTCATGTCACTTACATTCTCTTGCTTGGTTTCCCCTGTGACTCTAAGAACATTGTGCAGCACACTGTTTCCCCCTCAGTTTCCTTGTGGGACATCTGAACCCAATGCATGCAGGGGCTGAACTCTGTGAAGCTCTCACTGGGTTCAGATGAGCAGGGCTTGTGCCCTAACTCCTCTCCCTCTCCAAGCACTACCATTCCAATAATAACTGCTATCTCTTTTGAACTTTGTGAACCACCTGAGCAGGCTATGACACTAGCCTTTAGCAGTGGCCAGAGTGATTCACATGGCACCTGCAGGGCCAAACTCATTGAGGGACATTGTTAGACAGTGTTCAACAACTGAGGCATAGATAACAGTTGAATGAGTGAACAAATGCCATTCAGCCCCAGAGAGTTGCCTCCTGGTAGGCAGGGACTTGTGCAGTGTGAGGATTCCAGACTGCTGTCTGTGCAAGGGATACTATGTAGAGAGGAGGCAGGGCAGGAAAATTGAACAAGCATAGGTTTGAGTCCCAGACCCGCCAAGCAGCCAAATATCACCTTAATCAAGTTTTAAAACTATTCCTGGGGATGAGTTTTCTTCTGGAATACCTACCTTGCTAGATTCTTGTGATAATGAAGGCTTCATAAGGGAACTTATGTGACAACTATGAAGGATCTGACACATGGTAAGAACTCAACGGATTACAGTGATGATAAAGCAGTTATTAGGGTTGAAGGCCTCATCAGCCATCACCCCGTCGACTCCCTATATTCAAGATGAGGTGACTTAATCAATATGCCAGTCAGTGGGGGAACCCAGGTTTCCTCAGTCCTAGTTTAGTGCTCTGTTACACATTTCTGCCTTCAATTATACATTAATTTCTGAAAGAAAAATTGCAGTTCTAACCTTGAATATCCCTGTAAATTCTGGCTTTGCATTGAAACCCGAAGGATGGGTACCTGGCCTCCAGTGTTTGTGGGCTGCTCAATGGGACTTTTTAACCACAAAGCTGAGAACATTGCCTTCTAGAAAGAGGGCATCTCTCTTGCTGACACTCACAGGTTGCCAGGCTGGGACTTGGGAACACCAGGCTCACAAATGCCCCATACATGTGAGCAGTTGGCTAGTCTATGTCTCATGCCTTGAGGAAGGTGAAAGATCCTCGAGCCATTGTATTGCTGTCTCACCACACACCTGGCTGGAGCTAGACTTCTGGGGCTTGGCTGAAGTTTTGAAGGAACCACCTGAGGTGACTCAGGTAAGTAGCAACAAGGCAGGGAGGAGAGAAGCAGAGGCAGCAGAAGGGAAGAGAAGGACAAAGGCACTCGTAATAGGCTGGAGCAGGCAATGGTTTTCTTCCTCAAGAAAACAATATACACCATGTCTAGATTCCTTGCCAGACTAGCCTATAAAAATTGCATTAAACACATAAGCCTTATGAGCTATAATACTCGTGAACTGTTAGAGTTACCGAAGTTTCTGTGAACTAGACTGAGTACCTCCTCACTTAGCATTTTCATAGTCTTATTATTAATTACTTTATTATAAAAATATCAAAGTATACTGAAGAGTATAAAATAAGTCTTTTCCCTTACTCTGTCCCCAAACTGATCCAACTTCTAGAGTTTTCTGTTGATAGTTTCTTATATATCTTGCAGATATTTTCTCTATATACGTAACTGTAGTAGGTATAAAGTCCACAAACATCACTCAGAAAGTGACATTTGAAGTGTCACTGGAGGAGGACAGGAAGTGAGCCATGTAGCTATAGGGGCTGGGGAATTCCAAAAAGAGTGAACAGCAAGTGCTGAGCCCCTGGATGAGAGTGGTGGGCTTGAGGAGTGGCAAACAGGCCCTGAGGCTGGAGTGCAGGGAGGAAGGAGGAGATGTGTGGGTTGAGCTGGAGAACCCACAGGGCTCCGTCGGTCAGGGTAGGGGCTTGGGCTTTAACTGAGTAAAATGAACATCTGTGAGCAGAAGCACACCATGATCTGACTTATTTTTAATAGCAGGGAGAATCATTTGGAAGCTATTGTATAATCATCCAGGTGAGGGATGATGGTAGCAAGAATCTTGATGGTAGTGGAGTGTAAAAATAATTGGATGCTGGATATATTTTCACGGTACAGCTAATGTGATTTGTTGTTGGATTGGTTGTGGAGTGTGAGAGGATGAGAGGAATGCAGGGCAACTTCTAGATTTGGTTGCTGAATAGCCAGAATAACATGGTGGCAAATTCATGGTGGGGCCAGTATTCCAAACCAAGCCTACTGGGCGCGGGTTCTCTACTTCCTGCTCTATACAGTCTTGCCTCCTGGGCACCACACAACCTTCCACAACACTGTGCTGTGGTAAAAGTTTGCACTCCAAGGCAAAGAACAAAATGTCAGAATATTGCCTTCCATTGAGTTGGAACCTTTTTAGATCAAATCAGTCATAGTGTCTGAAAGGGTGTTCTTTTGGTCATTTCTGATATTTAAAAGATGCTTACTAGAATCCAGGTGATTCATCTCTAGAATTCTGGACTCACTTGTTGGGAATGATTGAACTGGACCATTACTCCAGAAAGTCTTATATTTCTGTTTTTGGTGACTACACTCTCTGTGTGAGAGTTTTGCTGTGTTTTTTGTTCATCCATCACTTTCTGTGCCTTATAATGAAAACAGTGAAGACAAATGTGCTATTTATAATTTTCTTCCTGGAGTCATTTCAATTAAAAATTAATTAAATGTCTTCACATCATAATTTTAAAGTATTCTATCAGCAATGGTGAGACAACATAAAAGCTGTAAGAATCCCCAAGTCTAAAATAAACTTATGCAAATACCTTTTCAAAATGCCACTGTGTGCATAGACAGCATTACTTAAACATGGTTAGTACTTTTATGTCTTTATTAATTTTATTAAAGTATAGAAAGGAAGACTTGGGATTAAGGGGTATTCAGGGAAGACATTTGCAAAGTGTTAGAGTATAGCATGGTAGGGGCTGTTGAGGTTTCTTTGCTTTAGAACCACTGGTTCTCACATTTTGGTGCCTACCAGGAAACACTTGAACTGGTAAAGTGCATGAAGGCCTGGGTTCACTGAAGTAGGATATGGACTGGGTCTTTCATATTTTTGTTTGGTTCCCTGGGTGATTTTGAATACCCATGAAAATGTGAGAGCTACTGCTTTAGAGGACCACACTTCCTTAGTATTTTGAGTCAGTGATTCTGGATTCTGAACATGACACACCAGGAGGTAAAATCTGTTCTGCTCAATGCTTTGGGTGCCTTAGGTGTGATATCCAACTCCCGCCTTCCAGGAATATGATGTCTGAAAATGGCTGAAGTCAGCAGGGGTCCCAAACATTTCATACCTAGAAACACCTAGGTATGACACTCTTTCCTTAGAAACTGAGCTGTGGAATTCTGGAGTTCCATTGATAAGACCGCAAATGTGTGGATTTGCAGGTGACATATTGGTTTGCACCAAAGCAATTCTCTTATTTCTCTGCCAAATGCATCTTTCCCTATAGGGGCCCCCAAGTCTATTTTTCTGCCAAGAAACCCACGGTGGTTATAAGTGAGGGAAGGGAAGGCTGTGTGGACTAACTCCAACGTTAGAGATGAAGTCCTCCCTAATGAAAGGCAGCAGGAGATACAAATCTAAAGTCAGGGGAGACAGGGTTACTGCAGGATTTAGACTATTTTAATTCCACATTTTATTTCCATTGTGGGAGAGAAAGACATCCTTGAACTTCCCAATAATAGTAACTGTTAAAAAGTGCTAAGTATTGTCCCAAAAGCATTCTGGACAATATTTTAATTATCCTCATAAACTCAACTGAAGATTCAGTATTATGCTCATTTCACAGAAGAGGAAATGGAGGTACAGAGAACCTGCCCAAGGCCATGCCAGCCTGTTACGGGAGCTAAGACCCAAACCCAGGCTGACTGGTTGCAAAGTATATAATTTTAACCATTATGCTCTGCTGTCTTTCAACCTAGCAGGATTTATGCCCCTCTACCCCACTCCATTATGCAGGCCTAGGAATCATAAATGGGAGTGATACAGAGAGACGAATACTCCAAGGCAGCCCTTCAGACAATTGAGGTGTCTGGTGTCAGGCAAGACAACTGGGGGCTCCTGGGAGCCCTCCCTTGTCTGAGAAACAAGGTCCAGGGTGGGATGAGGGTGGGGGTGGGGGCATGCAGGGAGGTGGTCAGCTGGAACACAGTGGCACAGCTGAACTTGTTCCTTATAGGTGGCATCCATTGTGACTGGGCAGTGCCTGCAGCATACCAGTCCTTGAATGTTCTGTATGTCACTCCTGGGTGTATGTTCTTCTCCCTGAGAACCATTGTTGGCTTGAAGATAGGCCCCTGAATTATCATGGACCTTCTTCTAGGACAGAAGAGAGAGGCCAGTTGTTCAGTGGGCCGTCAAGTGCTGCTGACAAGTGGCAAGCTGTGAGCTACTGGGAAGCCTTGAGTTGTGGAGTGGGAATGGTGGAGGGTAGAGGTGGTTCAGTGGATAGGATGAACACCATGATCCCCAGGGCAAGATTTCTAAAACTTGAGTAATATAAGGATCCCTTCTAAGGGAAAAATATTACAGCATATCTCCAGTATAAAATTTATTCTTATTATAGTATTACTACTTAAGGCTCAAACGAAACATTAATTATAAATCTTTATCTTTATGAATTATAAAACTAAATTTAACAAAAACATATGCAAATGACAATAACAATAAAATTCAAGTTAGTAGTACTGATTTAATGTGATAGATGCTGTTGCTTTGCTGAAACAGCCACACCTTGCAATACATCGATGGCGTTGGCACTACAGGCTCTTTGGATGCAGGACCTCCACTTCACATGTGATAGGATGACTCGGTTAACCTTGTACAGTTTTCTACTGCAAGACCTTTGTTTGTCTGTGAAGTCCTTTGGCTCCCATCATATGCAAAAATGTTATTGATGAGTTATGTCGATCTCTGAAGAACTCCTTGGTGCCAATGTGATTGTGATACAAACTTGGGTACAATGTTGTATGATGGTTATAAGTGGGTGATTATATAGATAATAAATAATGGGCCTATTTAGATTTTTTTAGATTGATTTGGGATTATGTTCCACTGGGAATTAAGCTCTTATAAGAGCAGGGGCTTTGTTTTGCTCTCTGCTGTATTCTCAGTGCTGAGCACAGTACCTAGAACAGCTCTGCCCAATAGACATAGAATCCAACCATAGGTAGGAGTCACATATGCAATTTAGAATTTTCTAGTAGCCACATTTCAAACAGTGAAAGAACAGGTGGAATCAACTTTAATATATTTTATTTAGCCCAATATATTCAAAATACTATCATTTTTATGTGTAATCAATATTCAAATTATTGAGATATTTTACATTTTTCTAAGTTTCCAAAATTTGGTATGAATTTTACATTTAAAGCATGCTCAAATAAGGCTAGCCACCTTTCAAGTGCTCAATCATCACATGTGGCTAGTGGCTACTGTATTGAACAATATAGATATAAAAGATAATAGGTGCTAAATAAACTTTAAAAAATATTGCTGTATGAAGGATAAAAAGAACTTTCAGGTCCTCAAACCTTCAATCATTCTGGTTTCAGTGATTCTGATGCTGTCTCTCATATTATAGTGGGGAAGCAGCAAAAGAAGTGATTCTAAACCTCTTCTCACTTGAATAAATGCAGTGGCATCCTCCTACCCAGTCTCCTTGCATGCAGCCTTGCTCCTTTGTAATCATTGCTACCCAGGACAGCTAGACTGCCTTTTCCTAAAATGCAAAGCTTAAGTCCCTCCCTCATTCAAAAACCCTCCAGTGGCTTCTCTTCAACATTAAAATAAAGTCCAGTTTCCTTAGCATGGATTGGAAGGCCTGTGATGATCGGGCCCTTATATTCTCTTCTGCTCTCCTTAAAGTCTCTGCCCCATCCAGACTGGATTTATTCCTGTTTTTTTTTTCACATGCTGCGTCATGTGCCTGCAACATTCCTTTCTGCTCCTCATTCCTTGGCTAACTCCTCCATATCCATCAAGTACAGGTTAAAATGTCACTTCTAGGAAGCCCCCCCTGACCCCATGGACTGTGTAGCTCTCCGATTCTTGCTGCTGTGTACTGCCCTAGTTAAATATTCCTCACTCGCACATCCCACATCAGAACCCTCTTTTCAGGAACTGTGCCTCCTACTTTTTGGGAACTGGGATAACTAAGGAGAAAGACAAAGGCTGACTTGGATTGTAGAGGACTGGTAGATTTTATTATCACAAAGTGTGGCAGAAGTCTTGGGAGAAAGGAAATGGACATTTTCTACCTAGTTAAAAATGTTATGCTGGCCAGGCGTGGTGGCTCACGCTTGTAATCCCAGCACTTTGGGAGGCTGAGGCGGGCGGATCACGAGGTCAGGAGATCGAGACCATCCTGGCCAACACGGTGAAACCCTGTCTCTACTAAAAGTACAAAAAAATTAGTCAGGCGTGGTGGTGGGCGCCTGTAGTCCCAGCTACTCGGGAGGCTGAGGCAGGAGAATGGCGTGAACCCTGGAGGTGGAGCTTGCAGTGAGTCGAGATCATGCCACTGCACTCCAGCCTGGGTGACAGAGCAAGACTGTCTTAAAAAAAAAAAAAAGTTATGCTAAGGCTTAAGTAAATTGCAGAAATCCCATTCTTCCTATCACCATGTGGACCAGGGAATTATTCCAGTTAAGGTCAGCTGGCCCCTGTGTCTTTTTTCAATTGGGAGATGTGAGTTTTGGAAAACTTGTGGCTCCTCTGTCCTTGAGTATTGAGGGTTCCTCCTAGGTCCTCCCCCTCATCAATTAAAATGACTCACATAGCAATGATATTTAGCATACATATCAACTAGAACAGTGGTTCTGAACCAGAGGAACATCTCAAAATCACCAGGGAGTTTTGCTAAAATACAGCTGTTACATATCTGCTCTCCCCTACTCCCCCTCTAGGCCCATGAATCAGAATCTCTCAGGATGGGGGCCAGCAATATGTACTATGTGTGGGCTTCTCAGTCAACTGATATTTCATCTCTGGTTAAGAATTATTGAGCCAGGGTAAGAGAAGAGCAAAGTAGTCTAAAACCAGAGGCTTTGCAGATTATGATGGGTGGTTTCTTAAGGCAATGTAGATGGCTGGGGGTAATATTTCCTATTCTAGGAGCACAGTCTGGAAGAACTATTAGTGTGGGAATGGATAGCTGGTATTGAAAGGCAAGAGAATTCTGAACCCAACTGATCAGGCTTTATTTGTTCCTTGTGCAACTCATAATCTTAAGTTTTTATTATTGCACAGCTGCCAATTTGATTTTTCAATGCAAATAAAAGTCTGATGTGTTATGACACTTTGCATTTGTTCACTGTATCTATTAAAGGATGAAATAGTTTATTAAAAATTGTTCTCAAACCACATTCAAACACCTGTTGATAAGGACAAGTTAGCAGAGTATAATGTGATATTTCATCATCTATTGGCCGTGGGGCTTTAGAGGTGAGGTTTAAAAGTAGCACCAGTATATTTGGGATGTGGGGATTGAGGGAGACATAGTGTTGCCCACCATAATATTTTACATTTTTTCAACACATACTTAGTGAGGGCATGTGATGTGCCAGATCTGGTTTCTAGCCGTGGAAACAAAGACCCAAATCCATGCCTTCACAGAGCTTACATTTTAATGGAAAAAAAATAAATGAATAAATAAGTTATATAGTATTATAGATGTGGTAATTACTATGGAGAAAAAGCCTAAAAGGAGGATAGGCGTTATTGTGTGTGGAGTGGGAATGGACAGGAGAGTGGTGGTGACATTTGAGCACAGACCTAGAGGAGAAAAGGGATGAACCATGCGGGTGTCTGGGAGTAAAGTGTTCCAGAT
The DNA here is from genome assembly GCF_000001405.40 of Homo sapiens. Lineage (NCBI taxonomy): Eukaryota > Metazoa > Chordata > Mammalia > Primates > Hominidae > Homo > Homo sapiens. The sequence continues at coordinate 158,935,535 of NC_000003.12, forward strand.
GGAACAGTAAGTGCAAAGGCCCTGAGACAGGAGAATATTTGGAATGTCTGAGCGGGAAGAGCATGGTAGGAGATGAGGTTGGGGAGGTAATAAGGGGCCTGGGTGGCTACAGCAAGGTGGTCAGCTTTTACTCTGAGATGACCAATCATTGCCAACTTTTGATCTAAGATGTAAGAGACATAATTTTAAAAGGATCATTTGGATGATGGATGGAAACTGCACTCTCCAGGGACAGTGGTGAGGCAGGAAGACCCTTTAGGAAGCTGTTGCAATATCCTAGAAGTGGCTGGGACCTAGGTCACAGAGGTGAAGGTAGTGAAGAGGAGGGCAGATTCTCAATACATTTTACAGGTAGAGCTAGGAGGATTTGCTGAATGCAGGGTGTCTGAAAGAAAGTGAAGGATGAGGCAGATTCCTGGCCTGAGCAACTGGAGGGGCGGGGTGGCAGTTCACTGAGGTGGGCAAGATCATCGGGAGGCAGGATGTGGGCAATGCCTGGAAGTTCAGGAATTTGGTTCAGACCAGTTTACAAAAGTGAGTCGTCGTTTGGTTGGTTGCAGCACTCAAATTGCTGCTATGCAGAGTTGCTGATTCTAAAGTCTTAGTGCATCATTAAGCCTTCTAAGAAGAGGCACAATGGAACCACACGTCTCAAGACTTATGTTCTCTTCCCTACATGGCTGGGAGACACTGAAATGAGAGCAGATGTTTTTGGGAATCCAGGCTTCATTTTCTTCATCAGTAAAAGAGGGTTAAAATATTTGCTCTATAAAGTCCCCTCTAGCTGTATCATTCTGAAACCCAAGGGAAGCTTTGTCTGGATCATTCATTTATAGGCTACATTTTTGCCTTAGTAATAGGGAAGACTTTGGACCCCAATAAAGCAAAATGTTATCCTCCAAGAAGAATTCTAATCTTCTCATTAGATATGTATTGCAAAACTTGTACTTAATTATGATTATATTTAAAATTTAGAGAAAACATTATGAAAGACTTTTTAAGAAATTAGATCAGGGCAGAAAATTTTGGAGAATCTTTTTTCCTGCTAGAAAATGACCAACAAAAGTTGTCACTTGATCTGAGTTAGTGAGGTGGCAGGAAGCATTAACACTCGGAGGAGGGCACGAATCCGGTGTGCAGACTCCACAGGCAGGGGACAAACCAAGTCCTTTTCTTTCGCAGCTGGAAGGCGGGTAGCCTAGGCAAGTTCTCAAGCCCGCTCGCCCTCCACCTGGAAACAGACTTGGGGCTTTTGGCGGGGCTCGGTGAGAGTGAGACCGGCCCTTTGGTTTGCATGACAGCTGGGTGAGGCCTGTGACTGCCGGCTTTCCCCCACTTCCCTGAAAACCTGGATGACTCAGCAGAGGCAGCCATAATCCTCCTAGGAACTTAACTCCATTAACCTGGGAACCTCACTCCCATCCCCCACGGCAGCTGCAGCAAGACCTGCTCAAGGAGAGTCTGAGCTCAGACATGCCTAGCCCTGCCCCCACCTAATGGTCCTTCCCTACCCACCCTGGTAGCTGAAGACAAAGGGCATATACTTTTAGAAGTTCTAGGGCCCTGCCCACTGCCTCTTCCTCCCCATACTACCACAGCTGATGCTGTCTTGAAAGAGCCACCTCCCTGGCAGAAGGCCAACCAGCACGAAAATAGTGCATTAATCAACCAAAGCTAAGGACCCTCACAGAGTCCATTTCACACCCCTGCCACCTCCATTGGAGTGGGTGCCAGTATCCAAGACTGAGAGACCCACAGATGGTTCACATCACAGGACTCTGTGCAGACAACCTCCAGTACCAGTCTGGAGCCTGGTAGATTTGCTGGGTGGCTAGATCCAGAAAAGAGATTAACAACCACGACAGCTAGACAGTTCAGCTCTCAGGTAGCCACATCCCTAGGAAAAGGGGGAGAGTACTACATCAAAGAAATACCTCATGGGACAGAAGAACTGAACAACAGCCTTGAGCCCTAGACTGTCCCCCTGATAGCCTACCCAAATGAGAAGGAACCAGAAAACCAACTCTGGTAACATGACAAAACAAGGTTCTTTAACATCCCCAAAAAAATCACACTAGCTCTCCAGCAATGGATCCAAACCAAGAAGAAACCCCTGATCTAACTGAAACAGAATTCAGAAGGTTTGTTATTAAGCCAATCAGGGAGGCACCAGAGAAAGGTGAAACCCAATGTAAGGAAATTAAAAAAAAATGATATAAGAAGTGAAGGGAGGAATATTCAATGAAATAGCATAAATAATGAAAACTTCAGGAAACAATGGATGCACTTATAGAAATGCAAAATGCTCTGGAAAGTCTCAGTAATAGAATCAAACAAGCAGAAGAACTTCAGAGCTCAAAGACAAGGTTTTTGAATTAACCGAATCCAACAAAGACAAAAAAGGATAAGAAAATACGAACAAAGCCTCCAAGAAGTCTGAGATTATGTTAAATGACCAAACCTGAGAATAATCAGCATTCTTAAAGAGAAATCTAACAGTTTGGGAAATATATTTGGGGGAATATTCGAGGAAAACTTCCCTGGCCTTGAAAGAGAACTAGACATCCGAATACAAGACACTAGAGGAACACCTGGAAAATTCATCACAAAAAGGTCATTGCCTAGGCACATGGCCATCAGGTTTTCTAAAGTTAAGAAGAAGGAAAGAATCTTAAGAGTTATGAGGCAAAAACACCAGGAAACCTATAAAGGAAAACCTATCAGGTTAACAGCAGATTTCTCAGCAGAAACCCTACAAGCTAGAAGGGATTGGGGCCCTATTTTCAGCCTCCTTAAACAAAACAATTAGCCAAGAATTTTGTACCCAGTGAAACGAATTTCATAAGTGAAGGAAAGATAGTCTTTTTCAGACAAATGCTGAGAAAGTTTGCCACTACCAATCCATCATGAGAAGAATTGCTAAAGGGAGCTCTAAATCTTGAAACAAATCCTGGAAACACATCAAAACAGAACCTGTTTAAAGCATAAATCTCACAGGACCTACAAAACAAAAATACAATAAAAAAGCCCCCCAAAAACCAAGGTATATAGTCACCAAATAGGATGAATGCAATGGTACCTCACATCTCAATACTAACATTGAATGTAAATTACCTAAATGCTTTACTTAAAAGATACCAGAATTGCAGAATGGATAAGAATTCACCAACCAACTATCTGCTGCCTTCAAGAGGCACACCTAACACATAAGGAGTCACATAAACTTAAGGTAAAGGGATGGAAGGAGACATTCTATGCAAATGGAGACCAAAAGCAACAATAGTAGCTATTCTTATGAGGCAAAACAAACTTTAAAGCAACTGCAGTTAAAAAAAGACAAACAGCATCATTATATAATGATAAAAGGCCTTGTCCAACAGGAAAATATCACAATCCTAAATATATATGCACCTAACTCTGGAGCTCCCAAATTTATAAAACAATTACTAATAGACCTAAGAAATGAGATAGCAATACGTTAATAGTGGGGGACTTCAATACTCCACTGACAGCACTAGACAGGTCATCAAGACAGTCAAAGAAACAATGGGTTTAAACTATACCCTGGAACAAATGGACTTAACAGATATTTACAGAACATTCTACCCAACAACTGCAGAATATACATTCTATTCAACAGCACATAGAACTTTCTCTGAGATAGATCATATGATAGGCCACAAAACCTCAATAAATTCAAGAAAATTGAAATGATATCAAGTACTTTCTCAGGTTACAGTGGAATAAAACTGGAAATCAACTCCAAAAGGAACCTTCAAAACCATGAAAATGATGGAAATTAAATAACCTACTCCAGAATGATCATTGGGTCAAAAATGAAATCAAGATGGAAATTTTAAAAATCTTCAAACTGAATAACAATTGTGACACAACCTATTAAAACCTCTGGGATGCAGCAAAAGTGGTGCTAAGAGGAAAGTTCATAGCCCTGAACACCTACATCAAAAAGTCTGAAAGAGCACAGACAGACAATCTAAGGTCACACCTCAAGGAACTAGAGAAACAAGAACAAACAAAATCCAAACCCAGCAAAAGAAAGGAAATAATCAAGATCAGAGCAGAACTAAATGAAATTGAAATAAAAAAATACAAAAGATAAATAAAACAAAAAGCTGGTTCTTTGAAAACATAAATAAAATTGATAGGCCATTAGCAAGATTAACCAAGAAAAGAAGAGAGAAAATTCAAGCTCAGTTAGAAACAAAATGGGAGATATTACAACTGACACCACAGAAGCACAAAAGATCATTCAAGGCTACTATGAACACCTTTATGCACATAAACTAGAAAACCTAGAGGAGATGGATAAATTCCTGGAAAGATACTACCTTCCTAGCTTAAATCAAGAAAAATTAGATACTCTGAACAGACCAATGACAAGCAGCACAGGTGAAAGAGTAATACAACAATTACCAACAAAAAAGTCCAGGACCAGACAGATTCACAACAGAATTCTACCAGACATTCAAAGAATAATTGGTACCAATCCTATTGAAACTATTCCACAAGATAAAGAGGAAACCCTCCCTAAATCATTCTATGAAACCAGTATCACCGTAATACCAAAACCAGGAAGGGATATAACCAAAAAAGAAAACTACAGACTAACATCCCTGATGAACAAAGATGCTAAAATCCTTAACAAAATACTAGCTAACCAAATTCAAAATATCAAAAGATAATTCACCATGATCAAGTGAGTTTCTTACCAGGGATGCAGGGATGGTTTAAGATAACGCAAGTCAATAAACGTGACACACCACATAAACAGAATTAAAAACAAAAATCACATAGTCATCTCAATAGATGCAGAAAAAGCAGAGAAAAGCCAGCATCCCTTTATGATTAAAACTCTCAGCAAAATTGGCATACAAGGGACATATCTCAATGTAATAAAACCCACCTATGACAAACCCACAGCCAACATACTACTGAATGGGGAAGAGTTGAAAGCATTCGCTCTGAGAACTGGAACAAGATAAGGATACCCACTCTCACCAGTCCTCTTCAACATAGTACTGGGGTCCTAGCCAGAGCAATCAGATGAGAGAAAGAAAGGGCAGCCAAATTCATAAAGAGGAAGTCAAACCATCACTGTTTGCTAATGACATGATCATTTACCTAGAAAACCCTAAACACTCCTCCAGAAAGCTCCTAGACCTGATAAAAGAATTCAGCTATGTTTCCAGATACAAAATCAATGTACACACATCAGTAGCTTTTCTATATACCGACAGTGACCAAGCTGAGAGTCAAATCAAGATCTCAACCCCTTTTATAATAGCTGCAAAAAAAATAAAATACTTAGGAATATATCTAACCAAGGAGGTGAAAGAACTCTGCAAGGAAAACTACAAAACACTGTTGAAAGAAATCATAGATGACACAAACAAATGGAAATACATCCCATGCTCATGGATAGGTAGAATCAATATTGTGAAAATGACCGTATTGCCAAAAACAATCTACAAATTCAACACAATTCCTGTCAAAATAGCACCATCATTTTTCACAGAATTAGAAAAAACAATTCTAAAATTCATAAGGAACCAAAAAGGAGCCCACATAGCCAGAGCAAGACTAAGGAAAAAGAACAAATCTGGAGGCATCACACTACCTGATTTCAAACTATACTATAAGGCCGTAGTCACCAAAACAGCATGGTACTCACATAAAAATGGGCACATAGACAATGGAACAGAAACCCTAATACTTAACAGCCAACTGATCTTTGACAAAGCAAACAAAAACATAAAGTGGGAAAAGGACACCCTTTTCAACAAATAGTGCTGGGATAATTGGCTAGCCACATGTAGGAGAATGAAACTAGATCCACATCTAGGAGAATGAAACTAGATCCTCATCTCTCACCTTATACAAGAATCAACTCTAAGATGGATAAAGGACTTTAAGACCTGAAACTGTTAAAATTCTAGAAGATAACATTGGAAAAACCCTTCTAGACACTGGCTTAGGCAGGGATTTCATGACTAGGAATCCAAAAGCAAATGCAGTGAAAACAAAAGATAAATAGCTGGGACTTAATTAAACTAAAAAGCTTTTGCACAGCAAAAGGAACAGTCAGCAGAGTAAACAGAAAACCCACAGAGGGGGAGAAGATCTTCACAATCTATACATCTGACAAAGCACTAATATCCCAAATCTACAATGAAGTCAAACAAATTAGCAAGAAAAAACAATCCCATCAAAAAGTGGGCTAAGGACGTGAATAGATAATTGCAAATAGAGGATATACAAATGGCCAACAAACATATGAAAAAATGCTCAACATTACTAATGATTAGGGTTTTCATTTGCAAATGAAAACCACAATACCATACCACCTTACTCCTGCAAGAATAACCGTAATCAAAAATTTTAAAAATAGATGTTGGCATGGATGCGGTGAAGAGGGAACACTTCTACACTGCTGGTGGGAAGGTGAACTAGTACAACCACTATGGAAAACAGTGTGGAGTCTCCTTAAAGAACTAAAAGTAGAACTACCATTTGATCCAACAATCCCACAACTGGGTATCTACCCAGAGGAAAAGAAGTCACTATATGAAAAAGATACTTGCACACGCATGTTTACAGCAGCATAATTTGCAACTGCAAAAACATGGAACCAACCCAAATGCCCATCAATCAATGAGTGAATAAAGACTGTGGTGTATATATGCAGTGGAATGCTACTCAGCCATAAAAAGGAATTAAATTAATGGCATTCGTAGCGACCTGGGTGAGATTGGAGACTTATTCTAAGTGAAATAACTCAGGAATGGTAAACCGAACATTGTAGGTTCTCATATGTGGGAGCTAAGCTATGATGATGCAAAAGAATAAGAAAGATACAATGGACTTCGGGAATTCAGGGGGAAAGGGAGCAAAGGGGGCGAGGGATAAAAGACCACAGATTGGGTGCAGTGTGTACTGCTCGGGTGATAGGTGCACCAAAATCTCATAAATTACCACCAAAGAACTTACATAACCAAACACCACCTGTTCCGCAATAACCTGTGGGAAAAAATGAAAATAAAAAAATTAGGCCCAGATAGCCACCTGGGATTTATCTTGAAGTATTGGCTCTTTCAGGTTCATGTTTGTTCATGATTTTAAGAAACAGACCCACCCATGTTAACTCTTAGTGATAAGAAGTTAAGAACTTTATTGTAAGGATTCTACAAAATAACTTGGGGGAGAGGAATTGATGTGGGATTAAAACAAAGTTTATTCATATCTACATATATATGAAAGACATGGTATGTATGTATATTTATAATATACAACCTAAAGAATGACTGTAAGACTGTAATTAATACATAAAATATTTTAAAACTCCATGGGCAATTACACTCAATAAAATTTTAAAAACCCTCATTGGTCACTACTGAAAGTTGCTAGGGTGCCAATTTATTATTCTCAAAACAGTAAAGTGATAAATGTAAAATAATCCATCATTTATTCTGCCTTCCCTGTGTGCACTGTATTTGAAGTTAATGAAATGTTAATGAAGGAAATTTCCTTATAGAACAATTTCAGTTATGAAGAAGGGCTTAGAAAGTCACAAATAAATGGATCCTAGGCCATGTTCATCAATGGGTGCTAACACCATTGAGTGTAGAACTTTATGTGGGATGGATCAGTCTGACAACACCTGAACTCACTGATTAGTCAATCTCAGCATCACTCAAAGTATGAGGGGGTTCAGTATATTATTCTGTCTATTTTGTGATATTTGAAAATTTTCACAAGTTTTTAAAAGAAAAACACACATATACTTTGAAAAAATTTTAACTAAATAGAATTATACTCTATATACTGCTCTGCACTTTGATCTATTGAATTAATTTTTGTGGATTCAATATAGCTTGACTTACTGGCTTCTGGACTTTTATACAGGGCAGATTTGCTGAGTATTTATCAAGACTGGTAGTGAGTATAAGGAGGTGAAAAGATCAGGCAGGGACAGGTAAGCACGATTCTTCCCAGACAGGTTTGCAAAGTCCACTCTGGCAAAAACCTCTTGAATCCTAAGTAGTAAAAAGGAATCTTTATGTGAGCAATGTGAGGGAAAGCAAGAGTAATTGAAGTTGTTTTCCTGAGAGGAGGAAGGGATTCACATGATGCTGTTTGGTGCATGTAACCTTGGGAGCAGCTGGAAGGAGTGGGGAGGGGGCTGCCTCCTGACCTTGGGTCTGAGGTCTCCCCACCTCCAATATCTCCAGCTGTTTCATCAGCCAATTAGGTTAAACCCTTTTTCTTGGGTTCCATATCCAACCTTTGGAGTTGTTTCCAGAGGGTTTAATCTTTAGATCAGGGATCTGATATCCCAGAAAGTATAAATGTGGTCAAACACAAAGGGTGAGGCAGTGGATGGAAACATGCAGAGTCAGCTCTGCTGGAAGTTCTGACAGGTAAATGGGGAGAGCAGCCTGGTATGTGTGGAAAAGAGCAGGAACCTTGGAGTCAGATGTGGGTTTGAATGGTGGTCCTTATATTAGCTGTGTGTCTGTGGGCAAACCATTTAATCACTCTGTGCTCCTGTTTCATTCTGTAAACTGCTGACAATAAAAAATACTCTCCATGGCTGTGACAGGGCTCCATGATGCTGTGTAAGCAAAGCCCATGACACTGTCTGGCCCTCTGTAGATAAGTTACAAATGCCAGTCTCCATTTCCTTCTAAGAGCAGGGCTGTAGCTAATATCAGAAACAGTGCTACAGAGATGGGATCCTGAGTTGAAAGTCAAGAATCATGGTTTGGTCACTGAGAGAGTGGGTTGTATAGACTGAAACCTGGTTTCTGAAGGAGACTGAGTCCAGGGCAAGGGTTCTCAGAGCTGAGGATACTGCTTCAGGGGAGCTTAATATTTCCCACCCTCTTCTGTAATTGCTGGATCAGTGTGTCTGTCTGTCTTAGCCTGGAAGCTCCAGGAAGACCAGGGCCTGTGTTTCTCTTGCTCACCATGATATCCCACAATGGCTTAATATCTGTTACACAAGCAAAGTTGTGTTCCTGGGAGAAATTCTAGCAAATACAAATCAGAAGAAAGAAAAAATCATCCCTAACCTAATCATCTGTGACTAACATTATGGATTTGTATCCTTTCAGTCCTTTCTGTATGTAAAAGTAAAATATACACTTATTATTTACAAATCTGAGGTCATATTGTTTTATAATTTGTTTCTGTGAAAATATATTGTGAGCATTTTTCCAAATTGTGTATACTTTTGTATGACATTTTAATGACTGCATGATTTTTTTTGTATATACATGCCACACTTTATAATGAATTCCTTATCGTTAGACGTTTAGGTAGCTTATGCAATATTTTGCTGATATAAACAGCATTGCAGTAAACATCCATGTAGTTAAATCCTTGACCCAAATAACTGATTAGCTTCTCCTCCTTGAAACCTATTTTTTCTCTCTATTTTGAGATAATTGTAGATTCAAATGCAGTTGTAAGGACGTATACAGAGAGATCTCTCATGCCTTTCATCCAGTTTGCCTCAATGGTAAGATAACAGATCGCATATCTGTAGAACTATATCATAACCAGGAAGTTGATATTGATACAATCCTGCAATACTTAAGTTTTTTAGTTTGCCTTGGCCAGACAGATGTTTTAGATACACTATTGGGAAGCTCTAATTATGCATTTTCAAGCATGTTTCTTTCTTCTTTTATCAATCTTCCTCCTCTTTTCTCTGCTGAGCCCTGTCATAATAGTTATCCTGCCCTGATGGCAGTATTTCAGCTGTCTTTGTACAGGTGCATGAGTTCTAGATTTTCAGAATTCTAAGCACTAATGTTCTCCAGAGCCCCTGTGAAATAGGGTCAGAGACTGTTTCTTCTATCATAAAATTGTGGCCATCTGTTGGTTTATATTCTTTAATACCAATGCAGATAACACCTAGGGTATCAGAGCCTGCAGGCATAATAGATACAGTCTGCTGCTGATCAGATTCACTAATTAAAGGTGTGAGCCACTCTGTAAGGTTACATTTCCTTTGTTCTTATTTCAGATTCTCTCTAGCCACATTTTATGAATATATGAAAGTCAATGAAATAGCAATATTTCACCTTATGAACAAATAAAATACTGCAAACTTTAAATATCAAGAATTGTGTAATTTCAAAGCTAAAATGGCAGTTTGAAATGGCAGCTATGTTCACCTTTTGCTTCATACGGGCCCCACTTCAACACTGTAGATGGACAGACCCACAATGCTTTGTTAGAAGAGGAACTTCTGCAAATAATGTTGGTTACTATTGTGTTTTTATCTGGAATTCATTGCTAGTATAACTGACTCTTCTTGTAATTAGAAAATAATATCATACACGTATTCATTAATTGGTGGCACTGATGCTGGTTGTAGTTCTGAAAATATGCCTGAAAACCAACAACTGAAAAGGGAGGTAGATTGATAAAACACTATTGAGACAAATATGAGTTACAATACACTGTGCTGTTAATTTCAGAGAAAGCACTTTATGAAATATTACACATAACACTGAGGAAATAAAAGACTGCATTAAAGCCAAATATGCTACAATGATTGCAGATTTATGTGCCAGCATCCTCACACTTTATATTTATCCCAATGAAAAAATTAGTCATGAATTATGCAAGTTTTGATTTATGCAAGGTCTTCATTAATTTATCCCTTACATAAAATGTTTCCCTCTATGCTGGATTTACTCCATACTCTGCGCACAATTCAAGTAGTATGTACATTTAAGGTAAGAGTTTGAAACTTCCGAGTCCTAGTGGAATTGAATTTCTTTTTTAATTTTACGATTTATAAATGAGATTTTTAAGTCAATTACTTGAAATTTATGAGTACATTTCTCAAAGTAAGAGTCATTACTTAAGAACTCAAGAACTGAAGAATTGATTATATACTATATATGTGTCAGTGCTTTACATATTCATTCTATTTTAATATGGTCCCTACAGCAGTCTTGGGGCTATCACCTCACTGAATTTGTGAAAGAGGGAGAATTCAGATATCTGTCTGGCTCCAGAGTCCATGATATGTCTGGGAGCTCATAGGCAGCTGGCAAGTCAGTAGATGGGACACAGAAGTTCAACACCCTCCAAATTATAAGCAAACTTTTGTGGCGTGTGTATGCATTTTTCTGGGCTGAAGACCCAGGGCTTTCCATGTCCTTGAGGCTTGTGGACCCTGGCTCCATCCCTTCCAGTGTAACGCACTCCAGAGCCACATCAAATCCCTCCTAAATGACCCACAGAGTCCTCCCTAACTCTAACTGCATTTCAACCATTGCAGTCAGCATTGACGCCTATGGAAAAATATTTCACAGCATGCAGCAACTCTGGAATCGGGGTTTCTCTCTCTGCCTGACATTTTCTCTAGACTAGCTGGAGGGTAGGGTAGAATATATCATCTGCAGGAGGAAAATCTTAATGACCTTCTCAATGCTTTTGTTCCTTTGGTTTCTAAGGGGTCCTAGCCTTGTCCTCAGCATAGTGTTGGACATCTATTCAAATATAGAAGACTACTCAAACAAAAGTCCATCTCATTTTCTATTGCTCTTCATTTGTTTCTTTCTGGTGGCACTTCTCACACACTGTGTTGCCTTAAACTAATTATGTTCCTGCCTCATCTCTCCCTTCGAATTGGTAGCCTGTTGGTTTATCTTGAGATCCCCAGAATGCTCAGGATCATGTGGAACAGGAACAATAACACTTCAGTGTCAGATTCCTGGAGGCCTTTCTCTGGGGGTCCTGAACTCTGAGGAGGCCTCTTTGCCTGCTGCTGTGGCTCCTGAGCCTTTGTGGTGTGGATGTGGTAATGGGTAGGAGGTGCAGAATAGAAAGTGGGGTGGCAGGTCAACTTCAACTACCTATACAGAAAAAGGAAACAGCCAAGAGGCTGGAAGAAAGGGGGATGGGGTGAAGAAATGAGACAGCAAGTTAGTGCAGGCTGGAATTATGAAAGGAGGGCAAGGAGATGGGGGCCTCTCTGACAAGGGGGTTTTGGGGAGAGAGAAGGCAAAGAAGTTCATGTAATATTGTTCTGTGAATCTTGTGCACCCTTCTCACTGAGACCCCAGCTCCTTGCTCCTATCTAGTATTCGGGATCACACTGGTCTTCAAGCCTTTTGGGATCAGGCTTCCTGTTACATGTAAATGTGTAGCCAGGCTCATCCTGGTGGGGCCATGCAGATTGAAGTTAATTAATTACACATCATTTTTAAGCACAGAGGAAATACTATATGATAGAATTATTGAGCAAATTGATCAAGTTGAGTTTTATTAAATACGTTTGCATTTTTTAAATTAAAAAACTTAAACTATAGAATGTAGTCTTTTCATAAAATTTAAACGACAAAGTATATAAAATGAAAAGTAAAACTTCTGCTTCAGCCTCCTTCTTCTTTTCCTATGCCAGGTAACTCATGCTAATAATCTGAGTTTCCTCATCAGACCTTTTGGTACAGCATTTGTCTTTCTGTGGACAAAGCCCCACAGAATTTGGAGAAGGAGAAAAATCCCTTCTTGAGGAATATGAAGTCTGAATAGTGACAGCCATAAATTTCTTCACCCAGTTTGACCAGAAAAAGTAATTGCTGCTTCTATCACACTCTTGAGACCGCTCGAATCTCCCTTGCAGGAAACCATCTTTGTGAGTGGATCCAGAGTTCAGAGATGTGAACTCAGAGTGGCACATAGGAAATCCCTTAAGTCTTTGTCGTCCTCTCCTGACCACACAGTAATTGCCTTTTTCTACTGCCATTCATTTGGTTTAGCTATGGCTGCTCCTGCAGCTATTTTTCCTTTCTTCTCTTTTTTGTTTGACAGTGTCCTCTCAGTCAAAACGTCTTAGCCATGCTTTTCTTTGCTAAGCTCCCCAAGGCCATGTCAAATAGAGCACCAGGAACATCTGAAATAAAAACAGCATCCATCACGGTGTTGATGCTGGCTGTAAATCAGTGCATTGGCCAGGTTTACAAACCATGGCTGATGCTCCTCAGGGGCTGACAATACGCTGGGGTGCAGCATTTCTTACCAAGTGGTGCTCGGTGCATTGCTAGCACAGTCCCCACAGCTTTTCTGTAGGCATGCATTTGGCCTGTTGGGATCTCGTCTGGTTTTGACTTACCACCTACATCCTATGTTCTTGCTGTAGGTTCTTGAACCTCTGTGTCCTCCAGGGATGCTCTTATTCTGCTCTCCCTGTCTCCTACTCTTGTACTCATTTTGCCCATATATATAACTCTTTCTGATCCTTCAGGTCCCAGCTCAATGTAATTTCCTCAGCGCCTCCCACATCATGCTAGGCTGCTTTCCCCACCTTCCTCCCATCATGCCCATTTTGTACTTCATCTAACACTCTTCAAACTTACAATTTCTTGGCCAATGCCTCTTTTCCCTGCTAGGTGGCAAACCTTCATGACAGCTGGGACTGTGTTTCTCACCATCAGTCCTATATCCTCAGCATCTTTTCCAGAACTTGGTACTGAGAACGTGCTCAGTAAACAGGTTGTCAAATAATGGAATGAAGCAAGAGCAGGGTTTCCAGCTTGTTTAATCAAAAGCACTTGATGAAGCTTGGTTGAAATACAAATTCTTGGCCTCCTCTACCCTGGAAATTCTGTGGTAGCAAATCTGAGGTAGCATTTCAGAAATGTGTGTTTTTAACAAGAGTCACTTGTGATTCTTATGCTCCGTTTATCTCTGAGGACTGTGCTGGAGACCCCTGAGGGGCAGCAGAGAGAGGAGAGGGGAAGGAGCATTGGCCTGGAAGTCTGAATATCTGCCACTAGCTAACCTGTGTGCTCTGGGCCATGGAACTTCAACTTCCTCAGTCTTTATCTCCTTATCTGTAAATCCAGAGGTGTGATTGAATAATCTATGAAGTTCTTTCCAGCTCTGATAGTTTCTAAAACTTGTTGGACCCTTCAGAAAAATATCAGTATATGTCTTCTCCCTTCCCTACTTTCTTTTCTTACAGGCCCAAGCAATGGGTGTGTAGAGGGAGGTGTGACTGGTAGAAAAGCAGGCAGATAAGAAGGGTCTAGTAGCTTACATTATTTACTAAACTGTAGTAGAATCATTGACTTGGGAGGAAAGAGGATGATAATGCCTTACTTACTTTGGCCTATTATGGACAAATTTTAAGTTGATTCCCATGATCCCTGCTTCTTGGTGTTCATGTCCTTGTATAAGCCCCTCTTCTTGAATGTGGGTAGGACCTGTGACTTTCTTCTAACCAAGAGAATTTGCAAATATAATGAGATGTCACCCCTAGAATTACATTATGTCTAGTTATCAGACTGGCGCTAGAATCTTTCTTTCTGTTGCTGGTTTTGAAGAAGCAAGATGCAAAAAATACTATAGCCACAAACAATTCTGTGAATAGGCTGAGGAAGCTTGGAAGTGAACTCTTCCCTGGTCAAGCCCCTGATGAGAACCTGACTCTTCCTGATGCCTTGATTACAGCCTTGTGAGACTCTAAGCGGAAAACTCATCTAAGCTACATCTGAATTTCTGACCCAGTGAGACAATAAATATGTGTTGTTTTAAGCACTAAGTTTGTAATTTGTTATGCAGCATAGAAACTAATAGCAACTGATGCAACAATACTGTACAACAAACTATCTTCAGATTCAGTGACATACAATAAGCATTTATTCTCATGTTGATGAGTCTGCAGGTGAACTGTGGTGTGACTAATTTAGGCTGGGCTCAGTGAGTTTAACCCCTGGCCGTAGGTTGTGGTCAGGCCTGCTCCACATATGTTGGTCCTGGGGACCAGGCTGAAGGTCAGCATGTTCTTCTCATAGTGACTCACTGGCACTCCTGAAACAAGCCAAAATGTACATGTACATCAAAGGCCTATGCATGCGTCATATTCACTAACATTTCATTGGCCCAAATCAGTCACATGGCTAAGCCCAACATCAGTGGGAAATGAATATTTTCTGATCAATAATCAAAAATATAAAAATCAGTCTAACGACTTAGTTTTGTTTAAGGTGCCCTCATGTATACCAGGTCATTCTGTTCTCCTTAAAATCTTATGAAGGCGGAAGAATTTTTTTTTCATTTTCAAATGAGGAAAGAAGGGCTCCGAGAGGTTAGGTAAGTTTCGCAATATCTAATGGCTGGTTTTTGTCAGAGCTGGAACAAAAACAAAAGTCTTTTAACTCTGTTCAATGCTCTTCCCATGGCACTAGGATTTCCCAGATGTAGTTGATTTGTGGTAATAGTGAATAATAACACCATTTTAAGTGTTTTTAAAAGTCACGTATTTTAAACCATTCTGAACTGCTTCATTTCCTTGAACGCCCTGCTCCCTCATCTTGGGCCTTTGCAGTGGCCGCTGCTTCTGTCTTTAATGGGTTTCCCTGACCCTTCCCAACCCACAGTGCTCTGCACCCCAACAACCCCTACTTATGTTCAACTTTCAGATTTAGCTTAGACTTCCACTCTTTCAGGAAGCCTTCCTTGACTTGTGCTGTATTCATCTTCCCACATTGTGCTTGCATTTCTCTCAATTGTAGCAGTAAATCCACTGCTCGTAGTTCACTGTCTTCCCACTGGACCCTGAGGTCTCTGGAGGCAGGGGCTAAGCTATGCCCCCCGTCACCATGCCACTCAATATCTAGGACTAGTAGGCACATACCAAGTGTTTGCTTACTGAATGACCAATTCATGTTTTCTTTTTGTGGCCTCATAAGCCACAAATGCTACTACTTATCTGTGGTGACACCCTACTTTAATGCTTTTATACCATTGTTTTACTTACCTCGCATAATCCTTTGTTTGGCTTTGTTCCTCCCAGTTATGACATAAAACCTAGATAATTCTTAGGAGCTAATGAGGCCAACTAGCAATTTTCAAATAACTTGCGAAGTCTCTTGGACAAAGAATAATAGGGTGTTTAGTGCTGGGTGTGGCATGAAAGTTTAACCAAGTCCCATGATTTTTTGGGAAGAACCATGGCTTTAGGCCGTGAAAGCCCTTGAAGGTCATATTCAGAAATTTAGACTCTAATCTGAGGGCCGTGGGGATTCATTATCATTTTATAAGGAGATCAGTATAATCAAATGAGTGTTCTAGATACATCTAAATGGATGAACATGGGCGAATGAGGTGTATCTGTGAGAAGCTGCTGTCCTGCTAAGAAATCTTGGCGGCTTAGACCAGAGTAGCAGTGATGGGAAAGGAAGAGATGATCGATTCAGGAGTTAATAAAACACACTTACTAGAGCTTGGTGACTCTGTGAATATGGCTGTGAAGCCCCTGCTTGCCTGAAGCATCTTGGATTCTATGAAAAAATAAGCTGAGAAGCCCAGTTTAGAAAGCTGTGACCTAAGAACAGCTCTCATGTATAATGCAAATAGAATGAACTTTGCAGTCAGAGACTAAGCTGTGTCTACTTGGACAAGTTATCTAACCTTTCTGAGTTTCAGAATGCACAAAGAGGAAATTGAAGCTTCCATCAAAATCAAATGAAATATATATGTAAATATGATCAATGGATGGTAACCACGTTAAACTTTCAGAAATATCCCCCACTCTGCTCTACACACACACACTCACATTCACTCACTCCCTCAACTCCTTGTTTGTATCTTTTAAAAGTCTACACATTCTTCATGTATCAGCTGCCACCCCTTCCCTGACTTCAGCTCCCACCTGAAGTGGTTCCTACCTCAATGCCTGTAGCTTTATTTTATTTTATTTTATTTTTTTGAGACAGGGTATCGCTCTGTTGGTCAGGCTGGAGTGCAGTGGCACGAGCTTGGCTCACTGCAACCTCCGTCTCCTGGACTCAAGCAATTCTCCTGCCTCAGCCTCCCGAGTAGCTGGGATTACAGGCGCCCGCCACCACGCCCGGCTAATTTTTTATTTTTAGTAGAGACGGAGTTTCACCATGTTAGCCAGGCTGGTCTCAAACTCCTGACTTCAGGTAATCTGCCTGCCCTGGCCTCCCGAAGTGCTGGGATTACAGGTGCCTGTAGCATTATTATCTGTACCTTGCATGTAGTGTCTTTTTTGTTTTGTCTTCAGGAGCATACAGAGTTTATCCTTCTTTTCACATCCGGTATAATTGGTCCAAGTGAGACAACTCTCATGCTATATTCCTTTTTATTCCTCTACCTCCTCATGCTCTTTTCTCCACCCATCTAGGCAGCCATCCCAGTGTGTTTGGTTTTATATCCTTTTGTTCATTCATATGTATTCTTGCAAAATGTCTATTGTTCTGTGAAAATGTGTTGTTAATTTGCATAAATGAAACTGTATTCTATGCCTCACTCTGTTTCTTTCCTTTTTTTCAGAACTGTATTTTAAAGCTCCATTCATGTTGCCATGGTGTGTGTCTAATCTGTTGCATTTGACAGGTGCTTACTATTCCATGCTGGGCGTCCCTCACATTTCACCTATTCATTTTTCTAATGGCAGACACCAGGGTGGCTCTGGTTCCTCCTTTCACAAATGTTGCTGCAATGAACATCCTTAAGCATGTCCCTTTATGGCAATGGTTCTCAGCTGGGGATGATTTTGCACCCCCAGGGACAGTTGGCAATGTCAGGAAACATGTTTGGTTGTCACAACTGGAGGAGGACACTCCTGGCATCTAGTTGGTAGAGTCCAGGGGTGCTGTGGACCATCCTGCCATGCACAGGACAGCCTTTCTACAACAAAGAATTATTTGGTCTAAATGTCAGTAGTGCTGAGGTTGAGAAACTCTGCCTTAAGGCCATGCATGAGGATTTCTTTGGATAGATTCCCAAGAGTAGGCTTGCTGGGTCACAGTACATGTGTATACTTGATGTGAGTAAGTAATAGCAGACTGCTGTATAGCAAAGCTGCACCAGCTCATGCTCCCATCACAGTTCACAAGCCTTTGACAGCCCCGCATTCTACTAAGGCTTGGATTACCCAGCTTTTTAATTTTTGCCATGTAATATGTATAAAATGAGATTCACTGATGTTTTAGTTTACATTTCTCTGATTATTAAAGAGTTGGCTATGGTATGGTAAATTATTGGGAGGCTAAAATAACATACAGATGAAAAGCCTGAAGTCTGCCATTTTGCCTCATAAAAATTTTGACCAATTATTGGTCTTTTCGAGCATCAGTTTGCTCGTCTATAAAATCTGGAAGAAAAATAGTAACTTCCTAAGTTATCCCATTAGTATCTCATCATCATAATAAATGAATGAAATAATAAAGCCGCATCTGATACATAGTAAGCACTAAACTAAAATGCTATTATGATGATAATATGATACTTTTCATACTAATTTATTTACCTCCCCGTACTTGGCACATAAAAGTGCTTAAAACAGTGTTTTGAATAAAGAACTAATGTCTGAAGGGAGAAGGGAGGGAGGGAGGGAGAAGGAAAAAGATACTCTATAACTTGGCCCACCTTAAGAGTTAATAGTTTATTGCTTCGACAAATGCTGTAAATCTCAGGGCAGCCAAATTCAAGGCTGTAAGAGACAACTTCATTCCTCTCTTGATAACAGTCACAAAGACAAAAGAGCTTGCATCTTAAGGGCACTTTCTATTTATTAAATGCCTAACAAGTTCTAGGCATTTCACATACAAATGTGTCATTCAGTCCTCATGACTGCCCTACAAGATAGATATTTTTATCCCCGTTTCACTGGAAACTTATATAACATGCCTAAGCCACCTCGCTTCATAAGTAGTGACAGATTTGAACTTGGTACTTTCTGACTCCACTTGGCTATGTTCCTTCTGGCTCTGAACTCAAGTCTGCTCTCAGAGAACATGTAATTTATATATGCCAGGGATTATACCTCAGAGAACATGGCTGGGGAGTCCAATATCTCAAGTTCTTTCGTTTGCAAATTTATCAGATGTGTCTATGTGCCGGGGGAAGAACTCCTAGGAAACTTGTACCCTGAAGCTGGTGTGTGAAAACCTATGTGTGCTGTGATGTGAACTTCTCTAGTGGCTCCACACAAAACACAAAAACAATGTATATATTAGAGGCAGTGTTGTAATTCGGCCTTGGTTTTTGCAGCTATGCAAATGATCTCTGAGCCTGGTCTTGAATCATCCCAGATTCAATGCAAATGCCATGAGCAGTTCAAAAATAGATATGAATATTGTACATGGTTTGTATTCCCAATCTTCAAGTTCCCTTCTTCATAATTGGGTTAACAAAACACTTTTGTAATTCTGCTAGTCTGATGAAAATACTGTTTGCCTGATGTCCATAAAAATTGACTTCAAGAAAGGTTAATTCTGGGTTATAAAAAGACTAAATCTTTTCCTTAACAAGCTTATTTCCTGCCTAACAAATATAATGAGCTAATTAATAAACATGAGCTCAATTTTGGCCACTCTTCTTGAAGTCAGACAGTCAGTTTTACTTGGAGAGTTACAGTAGGACTAGGAGAGCCTCATTATTGTGTGCTAAGTGGAGTCACCTTCTTTTGTACCTGGTTCTTTGTAACATTCTTCTTATTTAAAGGCCAGAAGCTCAGGTCTAACACCTGGGAAGTTGAGAACTTGGCAACAATACCAAAAGGAAAAAGGGATACTTAATTTACTTTCTTGCACTTATCAGTTCCACAAGGAAGGCAGTCCCCAAGATAATGACACATGCACCCTGAAAATGGTGTCTTTGTGCTTCTCTTTGATGGCTATAAAATGCACTGACATGTTTCACTGCAAATTACTTCTTAAGCCATTAACCATAGCCCAATAAAGAGACATTTTGATAGAATAAAATGACAGAGGTTATTTTTGTATAATGAAAAAAAATTTATGAGTTGATGTAAAAATACAGTTTAAGTGACATAACATGTCTGGTTCAACATATAACATCTATAAGGCAGCCTCCTTCTCAGAACAGACTCAGTATTTTTGAATCTTTTGTGATGTGACCTGTGATGAATTTGGTTTCAGCAAATTTCCATGAACTTGGTTTTAGCACACGATTTTTTTTTGAAAGATTCTAGCAATAGGGTTAGTGAAGATATTGAGAATGACATGATAATAGAAACTTTGACCACTTCAGAGCTGACAAGGACAGTAGGACTTGAAAGTTGGAGCTTTGGGTGAACATTTTAGGGCTTCTTAGTAAGGTTCTCAGCGGTGGATTTGTTTTGGATTGGTCGGGCTGTCTGAGCACCCAGAGCCAACACTTTGGTAACTGTTCTGCAGAGAACATGGCCACTCTAAGGTGTGCAAAACCCCAGGCAAATATATTTTGCTGGACCCTTGATTATAGAAACAATTAGATTTATAATGTATGACAAAATTCATGGGCCCATGTAAGATAAAGTGATTTGTCAATGAAGTTTTAGAATTCTGGATAGAGAGGAAGTACTGGCTTCTGTATTGGTTTATTGTCCAATTGGTGTTGGTGAAGATCCTGTATCCTGGTACCATCTCCTCTTGTTCATTGCCAGAAATGATCTCTTTGTGTTCTTTATCGTGAAATGTGCTCTTCCTGGCTAATTTTATCTCTCTCACAACCAGGAGAAGGTAGTGGTGCTGTAATTGTGCATGCTGCTATGACTTCTTGCAATCTATGTATATTGAAATTACCATCAGCAGAAAGGGTAGAGGAGGGGCCTGAGGGCAGAGGGAAAAGAGGGCAAGGCCATGCCTCATCTGGCATGGAGGCATGGCATAGATTGGTTGTGCTATGTTGATGGGGTCAAGGAAGGACATGGATAGAAAAGGCTCATTAGCTTTGAAGAGCAATTGTATTGAATGTCCTTGAAGGAGATGGACACAGGCATACTTGAAGAATTGTATGGCATGTGATGCAGTCTGCAAGGATGGGGATAGAGGATGGTAGAGACTGGGTGGTCACCACCCTTAGCAGAGGGAGTTATATCGGGTGGTTATACCTGCCACCACCCTCATTGTACTGGGGCGTTTAGACTGGAGGTGGCATCTTGGTCCAAACACAGATGGACAAGAGCTGAAGAACTCTTCTGAAGATGTGGCTCCAGCTCACAGAACTGCAGTGACCCATCATAAGTGATGTGTCCAACATAAATGAGAGACACTCCAAATGTCAGCATTATCCATGGACCAGCACTCCACTGGCCAGATCCCTCTCTTAGAACTGGAGCTTCCCCAAGACAACCCAAATGCCAGAGCCCTTTGAACCATCTGGGGACTCCTTGAGCAGGGACTGGGAATAAATGGCCTGGGATCGCTCTGAAGAGGAGGAATGGGGACTGGGGCCCAGGTGGTCCTGGTTCGAATGCAAAGGATGGCATTGCTGGTCCTGCTATGTCCCAGGCAGCAGTGGGGAGGGCACTTCTACTGACCAGTATCCATGCAGGACCTGGTCTAGACCTGGGTGCTCCTCCAGGACAGCACTCCTCAAAGCATGAAGGAACCCTGAGGTCCAGGTCTAAGTTATTATGGTAGAGGGAGCACATAGCTGCAAGGAGACTGAGCATTGCATCTGTAAGGGAAACCTCGGAAAGATGGGGGCAAGAATGGGCGGCCTTTCAGCCTGAATCCCCTTATACCCACAGGCTGCCCTGCCAAGCCCCAGCCTGCCTTGATACTTGCATTTTTACCCCAGGAACAATGCTTCTACAATTGCATGCTCCAGCTCTGCAATATCTGCTTTTGGCTTTTTGCTTCTAGGTGATAAGTTAAAAAAATTATTTTTGCTTTCCCATATTCATGCATTCTTATTTTCGTAATTGTACCTCCATTTGCCTTTTATTTTTATTTTATTTTATTTTTTTTATTATACTTTAAGTTTTAGGGTACATGTGCACATTGTGCAGGTTAGTTACATATGTATACATGTGCCATGCTGGTGCGCTGCACCCACTAACTCGTCATCTAGCATTAGGTATATCTCCCAATGCTATCCCTCCCCCCTCCCCCCCACCCCACCACAGTCCTCAGAGTGTGATATTCCCCTTCCTGTGTCCATGTGATCTCATTGTTCAATTCCCACCTATGAGTGAGAATATGCGGTGTTTGGTTTTTTGTTCTTGTGATAGTTTACTGAGAATGATGATTTCCAATTTCATCCATGTCCCTACAAAGGACATGAACTCATCATTTTTTATGGCTGCATAGTATTCCATGGTGTATATGTGCCACATTTTCTTAATCCAGTCTATCATTATTGGACATTTGGGTTGGTTCCAAGTCTTTGCTATTGTGAATAATGCCGCAATAAACATACGTG
The DNA here is from genome assembly GCF_000001405.40 of Homo sapiens. Classification (NCBI taxonomy): domain Eukaryota; kingdom Metazoa; phylum Chordata; class Mammalia; order Primates; family Hominidae; genus Homo; species Homo sapiens. The sequence goes on from NC_000003.12 coordinate 158,957,759, forward strand.
TGCATGTGTCTTTATAGCAGCATGATTTAGAGTTCTTTGGGTATATACCCAGTAATGGGATGGCTGGGTCAAATGGTATTTCTAGTTCTAGATCCCTGAGGAATCGCCACACTGACTTCCACAATGGTTGAACTAGTTTACAGTCCCACCAACAGTGTAAAAGTGTTCCTGTTTCTCCACATCCTCTCCAGCACCTGTTGCTTCCTGACTTTTTAATGATTGCCATTCTAACTGATGTGAGATGGTATCTCATTGTGGTTTTGATTTGCATTTCTCTGATGGCCAGTGATGATGAGCATTTTTTCATGTGTTTTTTGGCTCCATTTGCCTTTTAATAACCAGCTGTCTTCTCAAACTCTCAGTCCACATTGTTAGAGCAGTGTTCAGCAAACTTGTTCTATAAAGGGCTAGATAGTAGTTTCAGCTTTGTAGGTTGTGTGGCTTCTGTTGTAACTGCTCCACACTGCCATTGTAGGGTGGAAGTAGCCATAGATAATACACAAATGATCAGGTACAGCTGTGTTCCAGTAAAACTGTATTTTCAAAAACAGTCCAGATTTGGTACTTTGGTCACAGTTTGCTGACCCCTGGCTTAGAATCTAGAATCCCAATGCAATAACTTTCAAATTTATTGAATATGAGTCATAGGAAATACATATTTTACTCAACAACCTAGTATATACACACATAATTGAAATAAACTTTTCATGAAATTCTACGTATTTTTCTACTTTTGATATACTCTGTTCTACTTCTATTTCTATCTTTATTCCACTCTATATTAGTCCATTCTCACATTGCTATGAAGAACTACCTGAGAACTGGGTAATTTATGAAGAAAAAAGGTTTAATTGCCTCAGTTTGTGCAGGTTGGACAGCAAGCATGGCTGGGAAGCCTCAGAAAACTTACTTACAATCATGGTGGAAGGTGAAGGGAAGCACGCACATATTACATGGCAGGAGCAGGAGGAAGAAACAGTGAAGGGGGAGGTGCTACACACTTTTAAACAATCAGATCTCAGGAGAACTCACTATCATGAGAACAGCAAGGGGGACGTCTGCCCCTGTGATCCAGTCACCTCCTACCAGGCCCCTCCTCCAAAATTGGGGATTACAATTTGACATGAGATTTGGGTGGGAACACAAATCCAAACCATATCATATTCCATTTTCCTCATCTTAATAACATGCTGGTCCTGACTTACTGATTTGATTTTATGACCCACTAAAGGTTGCAACCCACAATTTGAAAGTCAGTGCTGTATTGGAGCTTGGAGCTGACCCCGCTGTATAGGCCAGGAATGGGCACTTGGCAGTCTGCATATTCTATTTCTGTCTACTGTAGGACTCCTCTCGCATTTAGTCAGCTAGGTATTCTGAATTTGCTTCCCTAGGAAAGGGAAAATCACTGAACTGCTAAGAGAACCAATTATTGGCTTTTGACATATACTCTAGTTTAATGTAGATTTTGGAGACAAGACCAGACCAGGTATATGTTTTGTAGGGCCCAGGGCAAAATGAAATTGCAAAGGCCCCTGTTAAAAAGTTAAGAATTTCAAGATGGCAGCAGCAAAATGTTAAACTAAGCACAGGGCCCTTCTAAACTCTAGGTCTTCTGTGACTATACAGGCTGCCCACCCATAAAGGTACCCTTGTTTGGAGATAATGCAATGAGTTAGATAAAAGCTCTTTTCCAAGCATGGAGGAGTGAGTTGAAGGAGAAGGTGTCAAATGAAAGGGGGAGGAAGAGTCTGGGCGTGGAGTGTGATGCATGGATCAGGGTTAATTCAAGTCTCTGGATCCCTCCCAGGCTCTTCTTGAGCCATCCCCTAAGTGGAGCCCAGGTCATTGCTCTAACATGTGGTCTCCTCTTGAGTGAACACTATACTTTGCCTGAATGGCTGAGCTGGGCTAGTTGCTTTACCTGTCAGTATCAGGTCCAGTCACAGTTGGCCATCTAGTGAGAGAGATGCCTGCATGTGCTGGAGGCTTGGCTTTATCACCACTTGTCCGTAACAGCCCCTTCAAAATTCCAGGATGCAGGAGGTGCCCTGGTCACCAGGAGGAGTGGCTCCTGTGTTTGGAAGGGTGGGGCTTGTGTTAGTCTTCTAGGGCTGTCGTAACAAGGTACCACAGTCTGGGCGGCTTAAATGACAGAAGTTTATTGTCTCATAGTTCTAGAGCCTAGAAGTCTGAAATCAAGGTGCTGGCAGGTTGGTTTCTTCTGAGGGCTGTGAGGGAGAATCTGTTCCAGACCTTGTTCCTGGCCTCTGGTGTGTTGCTGGTAATCCTGAGTATTCCTTGGCTTCTGCCTCATCACCCTGATCTCTGCCTTCATCTTCCCATAGTGTTCTCCCTATGTGCATGTCTGTGTCCAAATTTCCCTTTTTTATGAGGGTACCAGTGATATTGGATTAGGGACCCATCCTACTCTGGTATGACCTCATGTTAACCAATTATACCCATGATTACTTTATTTACAAATAATATCACATTCTGAGGTCCTAGAAGTTAGAACTTCAGCATATTATTTTTGGGGGAACACAATTCCACTCATTCAGAGCTGAAAGAAACCAGACGGTCATCTTTCTCCTGAGTAACCACAGTGGTGAAACACCTATGTAACACTTAGAACAGTAACTCCAAGGGGAGCTGTGGCTATTGGTTACCTGCCCAACTGTTATTTGCAATCCCCTCCTCCCTTCCTCACCTCCCATTACAGAGGCTGGGAAAACCAGATATTCTCCAATATCTCAGGCTCCCTTGTAGTTAGGGGTGGCTGTGTGACCTATTTCTGGCTGAGATTTAAGGGGAAGTCAGTTGGTGGTCTCTGGGAAAGATTTTCTCCCAGGTAAAAATCAGAGGCCACTGGGGAGAGAATTTTTTCTGCTCTTGGAATGTTGCTGTATGAGACGGTGATGCTGCTCCAGTTTTTCTGCCACCATGAGAGAAGAAAGGTCAGCAGAATCACAGAGCCTCACACCCAGCACTGTGACCTCCATGAGTCCCTGGACCAAATCAGGAAAGCTGTTCTCTGCACAGCATGGTATCAGAAATGTTTAAATGTCTATATTGTTTAAGACATTGTTGGCTAGGTATTGTCAATCACAGCCAGTGTTCTGCAAAATGTGAACATATGGTTAAATAGATTAGAGAAGTATTGAATGTTATAATTTCCCTAATAGCATTACGGTACATAAAAGAAAATCAAAGGCTTTAGGAAGTTCTTTTAACCTCGGTGTTTCTCAAATATTTTTAACTGTGAAGACTTCTTTTTCTTTCCCTCTCCTCCTTCTTCCCTCCCATCCTCCCTTTCTCTCTCTCTCTGTCTCTCCCCACCCCTTTCTCCTTCTCTCCATGTCTTGATATGACATCTATTGATGTAACTGCTGGTTTTTTTTTTCAGTATAGCATCTCTTGATAGAAGTAATTTTGAAAAATGCTGAAGGTACAGTATCAGACATGTTCAAGTTTTTTCTTGAAGCCAAGAGCTTCTGACTTTTTACTGATGCCTATACTCTCTTTGTAAATTAGCACCTCCAGCACAGCCCTCTTCCAAGAACAGCCACCTCACTACTTCCCTTTCTCTGTGCCAGGGGGGAACAGGGCTGTACATCTTGGCCCATAACTTTAGAAAGATGGCTGACTTCACCAAAGGGCTCCTCATGCTCCAGAGTGACCTCCCTAAATGAAGCAGCAATCTCTCACCAGCTCCTCTACCACCTTTCTGTGTTTCTCTGAGACAAAAGACCATGAAAAATGTGGGAACCAGGACTGTGCTTTAAACTGTCAGCTTCAGAAGAGCCATCATCTTCCTGGAGCTAGCAGAGACTAAATTCGGGGAGAATGTATGTGCTCCCTCTCCGGGAGATGGAGTGGAGCAGATGGCCTATTAGCTAGAAAGGAGTTTCATTAGCATCAGCTAAAAACAACTACAAAGACGCAGCTCTGCTTACAACTACTTGCAGCTTCCAGGGGATACTTACTCATTTGGGTATGAAAAGAACAATTGCGTGTCTCATGCTTTGTTATCCCTGGGTTGGTAAGGTGGAAAACAAAAGGCAGTTTGCACTGCTTTATATTTGTATTATACTCCATGTTTATAAAGTTATTTTCATCTGCTCCGTGGGAGTGTTCTCTTTGCCATCCCCTTATCACAGGAAAGATGGCTTACCTTTTTACATTTCTTAAGCCTAGCAAGATTAGAATTTGCGTCATGTGATTTGCTTAGTGCATTGAGGGGTTAATTTCACAAGGCCAAACATTTGAATAACTGCAAAATGAAATTCACACACCTGGCACAATGAGACTACATTGAGTAATGCATCGTGACTCTAGATTTGGAATTAGACCAACAGGGTATGGATGATGAGCTGCTAACATGTGATGTTTAGGAAGTGGCTAGGCTTTTCTAAACCTGTGTCCTTGCCTGTATACGGGGAATGGCAGTATCTGCCCTGCACAGTCTATAGGATTGTTGTGAAGGTTCCATTGAGAAGGCTGAGCTCCTTGTCTTGTTTATTCCTCTGCATTGAGCTTGTTCCCTGGTATGTAAGAAAAATTCAACAAATGAATGTTGAATGAAAGAATGAATTAATGAGTAATGGTTACTTTTTTCCTCACTGCACTTTTAAGTCTTATTCCTAGCATATACAGAAGTTTGTAATTATAGATTTAGCTGTTTGGTTTGTGAAGTTATTTGTTAATATTTTGATTAATATTTTATGTAATATTTTGATGCCTACTTAACTCTAAAATGGCATATGATAAAGTAACAGTAATGATAATGCTATTTTAACACCAATTATCTAAAATCTAGATAATTAAAATAGATGCTAAAAGATGTAGATCCCCCACCATGTTCCAGTTAGATGTTTGTCATAATATAGACCCAGAACAATTCATGCCTTTTTTCCCATCATATCACACAGTTTTCTGTGCACTATCAAATATGTAAAGAAGCTTTCCTGAGGTTCAGAAGATAATGGTGATAACAGAGTAACTGTGAGGAGATATGACTTAATACTTTTGGGTGATCATGGGGAAGGAAGGAGTGGCATTATTTCTTTTTGACATGAAGGTAGAAGTTCTAGCTTTTTATATATTTAAAAATATTTACTGAGCACATACCATGCCAGGCACCATGCTAGGTGCTGGGGAGAGAATGATGAACAATATAGACATTCTTGCCTCTGTAATGCATGGAGTCTAGTGGGAGGATAAATATTAAGCAAATATCGGCATAAAGAAGTGTATTCACAAATTATGGTAACAAGCTAGGAAGGATATCTAAACAGTACATTATAATTGGGAGAGAGAACAGAAATTATAATTGGGAGAGAGATTTAGATTAGGGGACAGAGAGAGCTTCTGTGAGAGAGTGGAATAAGCCGAGACCTAAGCTGACATCTAAAGGGTGAATAGGCATAGCCAGGTGAAGAGGAGGGAGAAGAGCATTGCAGGCAGGCGGAAACTGCAAAGACCCTGAGGTGGCCCAGGGGCATGCCTGCAGCCCAGAAAGCAGATGACAGTGGTGGAGGTAAGTCTGGAGAGGTGGGCAGGACCAGGCGATGTGGAGCTTTGTAGGCAAAATGAAAGGTCTGACATTTTATCTTAACTGTAATGAAAAGCTATTGAATGATTTACAACAAAGAATAAGATTTACATTTTTCAAAGATCAATGTTGTTCAATGTATGGAGGATAAATTGGAGTCAAGTAAGTGACCAATCAAGAGGCTATTGCTGTAAATTAGACAAGGGATTATGGTGTTTTGGGTGAGAGAAGTGGAGGTGGAGAAAATGAAGGAATTCAAAATGTATTTTGGATGAAGCATTTTCATGACTGTTGAGGAATTGGGCATTTTGGGGTTGAAGGAGATGGTTCATGCTTGAGCAATTGGCTGGTTGGAGGAGCTGTTTGCTGAAATGGGGACCATTGAAGGAGAAGCAAAATTTGATGGGAAGATTTAAAAATATGAACTCAGGATATCCTTTCTTTAATATTTAGAAATATACCAGGATTGTTTTTCTGATTCAACTTTCCATATTTTCTAAGCAGCTGCAGAATATATTGAGAAGGGAAATGAAATTTACATTTGTAATCCTCATGTTTTGATTTTTAAAAACAAACTTGTCATTGGCTATGTTATGTTCCTTAGTAGCTATCATGCAGATCTTGAGACAGATAGAATATATTAACCGCCACACATTCATTTTGCGGAGCTATGTCAAGAGAAGTATGGAGAAACCGGTTGCACTTTATAATAAAAGCAAGTCTACTTGGCATTGTGTGACAGAGATGTTGGTTAGATTTCTCAGATTGTAGGATATAAAGGGCAATTAGAGTGGAAATCTCTATTTACCTCTCCAGAGTGGAAGGGAGATCATTAAGAGTCATTCATATTGGGAGGTGGAGCTTGCAGTGAGCCGAGATCATGCCACTGCACTCTAGCCTGGGGGACAGAGTGAGACTCGGTCTCAAAAAAAAAAAAAAGAGTCGTTCATATTAGAAACTTTTTTCCCAGTGGGAGGAAAGGTGGAAGGCCTATTAAGTGTGCAAACCTGCCAGTTTTTTCAAGTCTCTGTTGAGATTTCACTGATTTTTCCATACTTGGCAGCATTAGGCAAATGCCAATGGGCCCCGTTCACATAAGGTTATGGTGCTTATCTCTTAGTGTTTAAAGAGGCTGTAAGACCCTTTCAAATTCTACTAATGTGTTTATTTTGGCACAGAATGGTTTAATTTCTAGACCTATAGGCCAATGCTTATTTACTTGGTAGAGATAACATATATACTCTTACATTTCATAGATAATTTAAAAAGATTTTATTTGAATAAAAATTATCTAACTCTATAGTTGGAGTGAAGTGATGGATTCAAAGGATATCTTAAACAGAATCATGTAGTTTAACTTATGTACTAGTCAGGGTTCTTTAGAGGGACAGAACTAATAGGATAGATGTATATATAAAGGGGATTTTATTAAGGAGTATTGACTCACACAATACTGAAGTCCCACAACAGGCTATCTGCAAGCTGAGAAGCAAGGACGCCAGTCCAATTCCCAAAGCTGAAGACCTTGGAGGCTGATGTTGAGGGTGGGAAGCATCCAGCATGGGAGAAAGACGTAGGCTGGGAGGCTAAGCCAGTCTAGTCTTTTCACATTCTGCCTGTTTTTATTCTGGCTGTGCTGGCAGCTGATTAGATTGTGCCCACTCAGATTGAGGGTGGGTCTGCCTTTCCCAGTCCACTGACTCAAATGTTAATCTCCTTTGGCAACAACCTTACAGACACACCCAGGAATAATACTTTGCATCCTTCAATCCAATTGAGTTGACACTCAGTATTAACCATCACAACCTATTTGCTCTAATTGGTAATCTGTATCAAATGACATCAAAACACATTGCTAATCATACATTGAAGTGTCAAAATTGGACACCAGTCACCAGCAGCTCCACAATCATCATACTTTGGATGATTTGGCAGGTGTATATCAGGTTGCCTGTTTATGAATTGTACATCAAACACATAGGTAAAAAATATCAAGTTTATGATCTATTCTTCACTTGCTATTTATGAAATGTAAAAGTTAAATCATTGTTCAAAATTTCATTAACTTAATATCTAGTAGGAGGATGTTGAGAATGTCATGCACATTTAAAATTATTTAACATGAAAATCCATCTGTGTTACTGTTTACTTAAAAAAGCTTTGCCTAGTTCCTTGGCTGTTAGAGATTAAGCTTTATTTTCCATGTCAAACTTAATCACAAAATATGGTGTGTATACTCAATACATGTTCTTATGAAGGATACTGAGTGCCCCTTGATCAGTTAATTATCTTTGAAACCCTCCTCCATGGAAATGAGAAATTTCAGATATGTAAAAGCCCACTTAAATAGTAAGGTTGGATAGAGGAGACGAAAGTGTAGTTGTGAGACATAGGCCAAGGTAAAAAATAGTTTTGCAATTAACCAGATTTTTTACTGGGAGTAAGCACAGGTCATTCTATTTGGAAATGACAGACAATATTCGTTTTATTTATTGTTACCTAGATGTATTCATTTTATAGAGATGCTTTTACAAAGTACCACAAACTGGGCTTAAAACAACAGAAATGTATTCTGTCACATTTCTGTAGTCCAAAAGTCATAATCAAGGCAGGTTTGATTCCTTCCTGAAAATTCTGAAATACAAAATTCCTTCCTTAACTTCTTCAGCTTCTGATGGCTCCAGGTGTCCCTTGATTTGTGGCAGCATCACTCCAATTTCTGCCTCCGTCTTCATGTGGTTTCTCCTCTTATGTGTCTTCTTTTTTTTTCTTTTTTACAGAACACTTGTCATTGAGTTTAGAGATCATGTGGTTAATCCAAGATGATCACATATTGAGACCTTCATTTGATTACATCTAGAAAGATTATTTTTCCAAATACGGTCATATTCACAGCTAAGAGGGGGTTCAGACTTGGAGATATTCAACCCACTACAATTAGGAACACTGTATAAATGTTAATTTTCTGTTTTTGATAATTGTACTATGGTTGTCAAAGATGCTGATATTAGAGAAACCATATGTGTTTCACAACTTACTGGAAAGTCTAAAACAACAGTAATAATAGTCTAAAATAGTAGTAATAATATTACCTCAAAATGAAGTTTTTAAAAAAGAAAACAAGTTCCTTAAATAAGGCTTTCTAAACTTACTGAATTCAAATTTCCATGGGAGAGGATGGGCAAATTTAATAAGTTCTCCAGATGATCATTGTATAGAATCAGAAATTATAATTCCCCTCTTAGAGAAAAGGAATGCAAAATGAAATAAGTCTCTTTTCTCACCCAGTATTGGTTAAAGGATAATTATGGGTCACAGTTCAGTATATGGCTATTACACATGAAAGTCTGGGTGCTGCTCCTGCTGGTTTGCATGGTGGCCCTGGGTTCCAAGAGGTTGTCCAAGGCTAGCACTTCAACATTGCAATGCATTTGAGCTTAACAACTCCTTTATAAACTTTCATCATTTTTGCAGTACTGGAATCCACTCCACAATCTCTTGTATAAAGACTTCTGTTTACTTCATTTTATGTCATGGTCATTGATTGTATTTGAGATGGGTTTTCAAACATTACAGAGGGAAGTGTAATTTTACTTCATTTTAGTTGCTAAAGGGTAATTTTCATTTAAATGCTTTACATTGCTGCCTGTCTGATACGTAGTCCTTTAACAATCTGATTCACTAATTATTGTGATGACTGCTTCTGCAAATTTACTAGTTGGAAAGTGAAAAAGTTTAAGACTTAACTAGCTGTTTTGTGGACTTGACATCAACACAATATTGATGTTTTCATTTGGGATAACTAAATTTCTTTATGTCAATTGGCTGGTGGTTGTGTCTATAAGCTAAAGTTCAATCTACTCTAAAGGTGTGTACCATTTAAGTCCCTTGCTGTAACTTGTCACAAAAGCCTATCTGGGCTGGGTGTGGTGGCTCACGCCTGTAATCCCAGCACTTTGGGAAGCCAAGGCAGGTGTATCTCAAGGTCAGGAGTTCAAGACCAGCCTGGCCAATATGGTGAAACCCCGTCTCTACTAAAAATACAAAAGTTTAGCTGGACGTGGTGACGGGTGCCTGTAGTCCTAGCTACTTGGGAGGCTGAGGCAGGATAATTGCTTGAACCCGGGAAGTGGAGGTTGCAGTGAGCTGAGATCGTACCACTGCACTCCAGCCTGGGCAACAGAGCTAGACTCCATCTCAAAAAAAAAAAAAAATCCTATTTGAAGAATAGATAGCACAAGGGGTGCCACAATTGCTCATGTCACTCAGTGAAGCCCTTCCAAAATCCTGGAGGAGGCCACCAAGGGAAAGAACCTCTGCATCTGCATGGACTGATGTGATAGCCAAATTGGCATCATTGTGACAAGGAAAGTAAAATAAATAGTAATAAGCTTCCAGTACCACATCAAGGGATAATGTGAAAGGAAGGAATAAAACAATTTTGCTTTTTGGGGATGTGTGCATGTATTTTCCCCTTGGAGTATAGGTTTAGTTTGGAGCCAGCATCTTGCAAGTGAGGAAATACATGGGGCTAGAATAATAAAGATGAAGGGAGTCTAGGAGACACAAGGAGAGAGAGGGAGAGAAATTAGGGCAAAAGAGAGCAGGAAAGAGGGGAATCTTCCCAAATCTGCCAAGGTATTCTTACTGGGAGTACTGAGATAAACTCAAGACTTTAAACTGTATTAGTATTTGGCCCCTACTCTTAAATTTCAGCCATAAATTCATTGCTTACTTATATATTTAATCTATTTGATTATTCCTAATATCCCAGCTTCACATGTAGTTGTCAGTAACGAAGTTAGATCCCATGTGTGGCGAAAACCAGAAGGCTTCGTAATGCTCCTACGAGTACTCAAGTTCTAATCTTTAATCCTGAACTCTAACACAGATTGTAAGTAACAGAATATTTTACTCACACACAATACACTTATGTTATGCCTTCTTCCCTAAATATCTATGAAGCTCAGAGTTGGCAGCATCAAAGTCCCCCCCGGCCTCCGTAAGACACAGCCTACGATAACTATTAAGGCTTTCTGGGATGTCTGTCCAAAATTTCACTTTTTATGCCTGTTACAAAGTGATGACATGTATTCATTTATGATTGAAGTTGAATTATGTTAACAATTTGGCTATAAATATTGGCTTCTGTAAAAATAATTACTTTCATATTTTGAGTCAATCACCTCAAATAAACTTATTTTTCTATTTATTCCTTCCTATAGTACTTCTCTCCTCTTCGCTTCCTGTCACAGTACCCTGAGTGTGGTAGTTAATAAATAAGTGCTTAGGAAAAAAAAAGTGTTTGGTAACAAAAGTTTTTCAAACTTTCACCTACTACAGAAGGGCATGCTTTTAGGGGGGCAGCAAGTAATTTGCCTTTAGATATAATTCAACAAACACTATGTACGTATTACATTCTATATATTGTCCTAGTAAGGGAGATGAATATTGGTACAGGGCTGTCACCAACCATGGTCCCACTGGTAGGTCTCTAGTCTGTTCAGTTAGTTCCCTCTCTCCACTCCCTAGCAGAGGGATTTCCTGGAGTGTGGGGAAGTTTGATGGAATAAGAACCAAGTAATGTCTGGTGGTAAGGGGAGAAACCTGTGGTTTTAGGCAGTCAGGGTGATCTATACTCGCAGAGATGGGGTGAAGGGAAGAAGGGAGGGGAAAGGAGTATTGTCTCTGGTACTGAAGAGGGATCAGATGGCACAGGCCCAGAGTGCAGGAGATAGGAAGCTCTCCTTGAAGATGAAAGCTGATTGATCAAAGGCAAGGATTCAGTTCTGACATGGCTCCCATCACTTCTCAGGCTTCAGGGGTACCATCTCTTTTTCCTTTCTTCTCCTTACTTGCTCCTTTTTTTCCTAGTCCTCCCTAGAGTCTCACCCTTCCCTCCCTTCTGTATTCTGCCACATACATTATCCTCTGTTCTCTTTGTTCATAATAGAACTTATTGGCAAGACATCTATCCCCCATTTCCCCCCAAAGTTTCTTGATGTCAGGAAGAAAATCTTCAAACACCCCCAAATAGTGAGGGAATATATATTTTCTTTCATTTTTTCACTGCAGTAAAAGAGTGGAAGAAAACAGAGCATTTCCATTTCCATAGGAAAACAGCACATTGATACACACACACACACACACACACACACACACACACACACAAATGATCATGAGATGAAGCCACGTGAGCTTTAGTAGAGGCATATAGAAAAGTCCATGAGAGCAAAGGGAAGAAAGCCAAGGGCAAGCACAGCCTTCCCAGTGGAAGTGATGCTGGAGCTGAGCCTTGGAAGATGTGTGGGATATCTGGAAGGGAATGCCAGTGGGAAGGGTGTCCAGGGAGTTGTAAGAGCTTTGGGCAGCCTGGGGCAGGCTCAGTGGCAGAATGGTGGGCAATGAGGTGGGCAGCTGAGGCAGCCCTGGATTGGAGTCAGCTCTGTAAGATTTGCTAGTGAGTTGGGCCTTGACCTTCCAGGTGATGGAAAACTATTACCTAAAACTCAGAGTCACCTCTTCCTGTCCTCTCTCTAAATGAGTCTAGACATTAATAGCATTCTGCAGCCTCACAGTAAATATGGGATTATCCTGCCAACTTGGGCCCACCCCAGGAAGCCAGTGAGAAGCTATCATTTAGTAAGTGATCCATAGGTTTAGCATTCCTTTTCCTATTCCTCCTCCTCCTATTCCTCCCAGCCTGTCTAGGTAATCAATACTTATATATCAACAGAGAGCTAAAAGAAAGGAAGATAAATTATAGTTGAGTAAGATGGAGTCTTCAGATTCATAGACGCCTTAGAGGAAGAAGCAAGGTCTAATCAGCATTTCTTATCTTGGCTTTGGCTCCAGTGATGAATGAAAATGGATTGATGGACACAGGTGACAGGCCTGCCACTCCCAGAGTGAAGAGCTCTTGGCATCCACTCACAGCCGTCTCATACCCATCCACTCACTTTCCAGGAAAACAGAAACAAGGAGTTGGTTTCACTTTTTTCCTTTGTTTGCTTCTTGCTGTCAAGTAATAAAAGCCTCATTTTAAAAAAGAATTAAATAATTATCACTTGTCATGTTATGCTGGTCAAAATAATAAATTTAAATCCAAAAATAGTTCTTAAGACTTAAGTAATCCATTTAGAAGTAAACGAAAAAGGTTAAAATTTACCAGGAGAGACATATAAACATTCAAGTTTTACCCTTTTCAGATATCACCTGGGGGAATATTTGTCCTTTCAGGTCTCACTTTATCTACACAATTTTCATCTTTAAACCTCCCTGGAGCCTCTCAGGCTGACCTGGTGTATTTACTGTGGTGAAGATTCTGTAAATCTCCTCCACTGATGGGTACAGCCAGCCATGGCCTGGATGAGTTATTATGTATGTGAGAGTTGAAAATCAGCTACTTACTTGAAGGGCAAAGATGCTGGGAGTTACCTGAGGGCATTTTGAGAATGGTAAGTGTCTGTAATTGTGACTTCAAAAAGGACATTACATCTAATTAAAAGCAGTGGGCATTACTTGGGATTTCATTTAGAATTCTGCTTGACATTACATTTAGAAAGTTTACCAGGATGATTGAATCTGGGTGAGGGGAGAGATGCCTCTGGATCCTGTATTTTTAAGGGAAAATCCATCTGCTTCCATTTTAGTAATTCCTATACTTTCCCCAGTAGAATTTTTTCAGAACTTTCCCTCTCCTTCTGTCCATTTCTTCTCTCAGTGGCTGGGGGACCAGGTGTTGTCAGTGACAGGGTGGAGACAGTTGGGTTGTCAGAGTCATTGCTGTAATTGAAGGTGGTAGGATAAGAAGCCTAGAAGTAAACAGAATTGTTGCCATTTCCTTTTCTTTTTCCATTTCCTTTTCCTCTCCTCCCCTCCTCCCTTCCTCCCTTCCTCTCCTTTCCTGTTTCTCAACTTCAAGAAAAACATTCTTCAAACTGACTAACACAGACCTGTCTCATAATTTATGTAGATTTGATAATGGTTTTGTGGTACTGGGAAATCGAAGTTCATAGACTACATTCAGTTTTTTTCCTAAGCGTTGTAGGATATTGCTCAGGGGGTGTCATTACAGGCGTAATCCTCATTCGGAATTCTACCATCTTAGAATCTTATATGCCCAGGCATATAAGAGATTTGGATAAGTTGAGATTTGGATTCATGAGTTTTGAATGGGAAGCCTGGAAATCTGATTTTTAGGCGACATTTCTGGTGATTATTTTTAATGAAATGTTTATTATTATTTGTTAATTGCTTATTCAACTTTATTTTTATACAGAAATTTTCAAGTAGCCACAAAACCAAAATTAAGTAATAAACTTCCATATACCCATCACCCAGTTTCAGCAATTATCAGTATCTTTTTGTTTCATTTATTTTCCAATTAAATTTTTTTCCTTATATATTTTAAAGTGAATCCAGGCACAGGTTATTTCATGAGTAAATATTTAAATATGTTTCTCTAACAGCCCTTCTTGTTTTTACATAATCACTATGGCATGTCACATCGAATGAAATAAATAATTCTGTAATATCAATTAATATTCAGTTATATTCAAATTTCCTTGATTATTTCAAAAACATCTTTCTTTGGCTGGTTTGTTTACATCTACCCACCCAAGGGCCATACGTTGCACTTTAATGCTGTGCCTCTTAAATCTCTGTATTCTATAATTTTCTTTATGGCATTGAAATGTAGAGAGACCAGACCTTTTCCAACTTTAAAGTGCGTATGAGTTGCCTGTGGAAGTTGTTTAAATGTAGATTCTGACTGAGTAGATTTGGGATAGGGCCTGAGATTCTACATTTCTAACAAGCTTTCAGCTGATGCTAAAGCTTCGGGGGTTGGGGAGGCAGAGGACCAAATTTTGAGTAGAAAGTTGCTATGAATGTTTCACATTCTGGATTTGGCTGATTCCATCCTTTGGTGTAGAATTTGTTCTTCTAACCCCTATAGTACCTATAAATGAGAATTAGACAAAGAGACTTGAGAGGATTGTTTCAATTGTAAAAAATTTGACATGGATTTTCTAAATACGTGGAGTTATCTACTTATTGCATCATATAATAAGACATATAATGACCTGTTATTGTTATAGGAGCAAGAGGTTCATATGCGCGCTCTGCAGTAACAGACTTATTACACTGAGACTGCAGGGTTTGTAACAGAGAAAGAGTTTAATGATCGCAGGGCACTGATCGAGGAGATGGGAGGAGACTCTCAAATCTATTTCCCCCATGAGTTCTGGGCTGAGATTTTTTTAGGGAATCATGGAGGCTGAGGGGATGGAAAATTGGGGTTGTTGATTGATAAGGGATAAATCATCGGGATGTGGAAACTGCATTCTTTGAGTCAGCTCCTTGTGGGCCCTTCAGACCAGCTGGCATCAGTAGAGTCCTTCAGATCAGAAGGCAAGTCAGTGGGGTTCTTTCTCCCAGCTGAGTCAGTAGTTTTATTGGTATGCAGGACCTGAAGGAATATTTCCAAGGGAAAACTTAATGTTTCATAATGTTCAACTTGTTATCAATAGAACAATTAAGGAGAACTATAGTAACAGGGTATGCATGATTCTAGAACAATAGGCATCAAACAACTATGAGGGCACAGGCAGGAACCTGACTTAATGATTAATGCTGAATATGCTGCAAGCTTGGTTTATTTTTGTTTCGTCCCCTCGTTTCTTCTCTGATTACTTTTGTAAAGTTTATAGCGGGTGGTTTTATTATTTGATTTTTAGAAATGCCAAAATTGACCAGTGGGTTGAGATGCCAGGTGATTCTGATTCAATAATTCTGTAAATAATATTATGAGAAAACTTAAGAATAACCTTCTGGTTAAAAATGGTAGTAATAGGTAATGTTCATCAAGTACTTAATGTGTCAGGCACTATTTTTAAGTATTTAAAGGTATTAAATTACTTAGTTCTAATAGCAACCCTAGGAGGTAGATACTGCTGTCAGTTCTCTATTTTAAAATTGGGAAACTGAGTCTTAGATAAGTTAACTAATTTGCTCAAGATCACACAGCCAGTAACTGGCAAAGCACAATGCTAACCCATGCAGTTTGAGGCTATTTAATGCAATTAAACCCGAAAAGCCCTGAGGATGAGGTAACCATCATTTATACCACCTGGTCTGACCACTTGACTCATCCATATTCCTCAAGCTAGTATCAATTTGTACACCTTCATATAAACAGATTGTCTTTCAGAGTAGATTTTAGTAGGTGGGGAGGAGAAAGATGGCTGTAAAGTTGGAAGTAAGGAAAAAATATGGAGTAACTAAGAAGGAGGATAGGAGAAGGGAGAGAAAATGGGGACACAGTGTTAGGGAAGGTAGGACTTGGTCGGGTCTACCTAATTCAAATCAATTGATAGCTCTAACCATGCCCTGACCTTCTACGTAAGTTAGCCAACTGCAAAGTTAGATGGAATACAGCCACATAAGAACACCCTCACTTCTGGAAGTAGAGGGAGTTCCAAAACCAGTCTCGTGTTTGATAATTTTCTAGAGGAACTCACAGAACTCACTGAATCCATACTCATGTTTATGGTTATTATAGAGAATGGTTACAGATTAGGATGAACCAAGGGAAGAGATGGATAGGGCAAAGTCCAGGAGTCCCAAACGTGACTTTTGGTGTATCTACTCATCCTTTCCCCATAGAGTCAGTGGGTAATACTCTTCTGGTATCAATGTGTGACTATATACCAGGAGTAGGGAAGCTCACCTGAACCTCAGTGTTTGGGGTTTTTATTGGGTCTCCATGCTATAATGATTGATTCAGTCATCAATACATGGTTGACTGCTCAGAGAGGCTGATCTCAGTCTCCAATCTCCAGCCTTTCTGGAGGTTGACTGATAATAACTAACACCAAGCCCCCATCCTAAATCATATTGTTACTACCTGCTGTGGCCAGCCTCCTCCCCACAACACATTGCTAGGCTATCCAGTGTGAACTAAGGCCAAGGAGAAAAAAGACACTCTCATCAGACATGGTCTTCTAAGGGCTTAGAGACTATATCCCAGAAACTGAGGACAAAGGCCAGACCTCTTTTTGGATAAGGTTAAATTCTTTACTCCACACCTTCCATTGTAGCAGGAGAAGCCAAATTTGTATATCTGGCTCCACTTGGGGTACCTTAGGGGGCAAGTTCATTCCTCCCCAGTGGGTGAGAGACCATTCTGGGGCCTACTCCAGAGCCAACCCAACTCATGGGGTAGAAGATGAGCCCTGTGAGAGAAGGGATTCCTCTTACTTTGCATCTTAATTCTATCAGCACATTGGGCATATGATGTGTAATAAACATGGGGTGAAATTCCGAATTCTGTTTAATAAATTTATTTTCCTCAGAGGCCCCATGGGCTATTAATCCAAGGAAAGCCAATGCTATGCTTGATCTTAGCAAAAGTGATGAAAAGCAGCTATATTATAAGAAATAATTAGGCTTGAGTTGAGGGATTATAAAATAAATGGACATGTGGAATCTTAATTTCCTTCCTGAGCCTTCAGAAAAGTTGAGATGCAGATTCTGCAACTGGAATTTAAAAAGAATTCAAGGTCATTTAACTCTTCCTCTTGCTAGAACTTCATGTAACCATCTCAGGCAGACAGCAACATCTCCTATTAAAGAAACTCTCAGGAGAGTCTGTAGATAGGGTTCCTTGTCACCTCATCAGAGATAACTGCAAAAACATCCATTAACCATAGGCCACTGAGCAAATACTCCATTGCCTGCTGGGGTAGTAGCATTCTGGCACCCAGATGGGAAAGTTAATCCCAAATATCTGCCTTTGGCTAGAGAAGGGAGCTTTGATGACTGATCCTTATCACCAGAAATCTTTTCTTACTCATCTGTATCCCCAATATGCAGCCCAGAGCTTGGCAGACAGCAGGCATTATTTATGAGCCTTCCGAAGGAACCCTGAAGATAATGGCTTCTATGTAAGCACTTTCTGTCCCCAGGTTGGAATCCATTTGGAAAATCATTTTCAACAAACTCATTTTATTAATTACTGTAACAATCCAGGACTATATAGAGAAAACAAAATGGAAAGAAATTAAAACACAGAACCTATCAAGGCATAAAATGTTTGGAAACAATAGTTTGAATTTGTTCTCAAGGTACTTCAGTGCCTCTGAAATCACAGTCAATAATGCAGCTGGTGTGAAGATTGAATAAGATGACTTTATTGTTAGAACAAAATAAAAACACTTATCAAGTGATGTGGCATTGTAGACTTTACTGTTTTACTACTTAAATTTTTTTCTTAACAGCTTCCATGAGATATAATTTACATACCATATAATCTACACATTTAAAGTGTACAATTATCTAGTTTTTCATATAGTTACAGATATGTGCAACCATCACCTTAAGTTTTAGAATGTTTTCATCACTTCAAATGGAAACCCAGTATCATCTCCCTATCTCTTCATCTCTTCCCTAGCCCTAAGCAACTGTGAAACTATTTTCTGTCTCTGTAGTTTCCCTGTTCTGGATATTTTATATGAATGTAATCATATAGTATGTGGTCTTTGCGTTTTGCTCCTTTTACTTTGCACAATGTTTTCAAGGTTTATGCGTGTTGTAGCATGCACCAAATCTTCATTCCTTTTGATAGTGGCATAATATTCCATTGCATGGATATACTGCATTTTGTTTAAACATTTATCAGTTGATGGACATTTGGGTTGTTTCTACCTTTTGGCTATTATGAATAATGTTGCCATAAACATTTATAAACAATTTTTTTTTGTGGAAATATGGTTTTATATCTCTTAGGTGTATACCTAGGTGTAGAATTGATGGGTCACATGGCAGTTCTCTGTTCAATTATTTGAGGAACTGCCAGACTGTTTCCCAGAATAGCTGCACAATTTTACATTTCCATCAGCAATGTGTGAGAATTCTAATTCTCCACATCCTTCCCAACATTTATTATTTTCCATTTTTGTTTTTTAAAATATTTTATTATAGCATTAAAGTGGATAGAAAGTGATCTGTCATTTGTGGTTTTGATTTGAATTTCCCTAATGACTAATGAGATTGGACATCTTTTCATGTGCTTATTGTCCGTTTGTATATCTTCCTTGTAAAAATGTCTATTGTTCTTTTATTTTTAATATTTAATTTTCTTAAGCCTCATCTAAAAAGAGGTTGTAATGACTACTTGCTAATAGGAGTAAATGAAATAGTACATACATTTAGCTTGCATTCAGCTCCCAACTGACAATTCTAATTATTATGATTACACACAACATCTCTGAGCCTCTGTTTTCTTACCTCTATTGTTCTGAAGTCCTTTAATTATTCTCCTATTATATCACAATTATAATATAAAAGTAATCACTGGTATTTAACATTAAAGAATGTTTTGTGCTAAATCTTAATATATAGAATTACTTGATTTCTGCCAATTATGATCTTGGTACTTGATATTGACCCTCCCTTACCTGAAGCATTAATGACAGTGAAATGGACATCCTGGGACTTCACGTGGAGGCACAGTGTGCAAAGCTCAGATTTCATATAGTATGAGGCTGGTATTATAAAAACAATCACTTATATACCACTTACT
Source organism: Homo sapiens (assembly GCF_000001405.40). Classification (NCBI taxonomy): domain Eukaryota; kingdom Metazoa; phylum Chordata; class Mammalia; order Primates; family Hominidae; genus Homo; species Homo sapiens. The sequence goes on from NC_000003.12 coordinate 158,976,898, forward strand.
GTATGCCATGCTGTAAGTGCTCTCTCTCTCTGTCTCTCCCTGTATATGCACACACACGCGCGCACGCACACACACACACACACAATCATCACACAGTGTTCATGGGAATAATGAACACATAATTACTGAGTACCTGCTATGTGCCGGTCCCAGTGCCATATGCTGGTGATTTAATGGTGAGTGAAAAGAACAAGGTTTCTTTCTGCCCTCAGAGCCTGCAATGTAGAGGGGAAGTGACATTGTTCACATACTCCCACCAATGAATGTAAATTACACTGAGATAGAAGCTGTGGGGGAGTGGACATGGTGCCATGCTTATGCATGCTGAAGGGAATTGCTTTTCTGGGGAAATAATAATTAAGCTGAGAGGCAAAAGGAGTGCCTGTTAGGGATTGAGAAGTGAGGTGCCAGAGGGAAGAGCAGGAGACAATGTCCTTAGCTGGAGGACAGTTGCAGCGCAGGGCTGTTGGAGTATAGACACCAAGAGAGAAAGTGCAATGTATGATGTGGGCAACTGCCCTGTAAGCCTCCTGAGGGATCTTGATCTTTATTCTAAGAGCAATAGAAAGTGATTAAAAGATTGTGATTAGAGGGGTTACATGATGAGTTTTCTGTTACGCTGGCTGTAGTGTGGGAAACAAAGAGGAAGGGCCCTGAGGGGCCTGGGGAGACCAGTATAGCAGAGACTCAAGCAAGTTGGAGAGGTCCAAGTTAATAAGGCAGATGACTCTGTGCTGGCATGATTTGCCTTTGTAAGGCCTGGGTATTTGTCTTCCCAGTCGTGCTGTGGGCTGCTTTCCAGGTGCCAGCCAGCACCTGACAAGGCAAATCAATTTCCCAGACACGCATGCATGTGATGCAGAGGTATTAACGTGGAAAAACTGAGCCCATCCTGAATGCTATTCTGTTATAAATCATAGAATGCCTGGGATGCAGCTCCCTCTTGTTGCCATTTTATCCCTTGGTGTCCTGCAGGACCTAACCTTATGTCCCATCTCTTTCTTGATGTCTTTTTCCACCACTTTGCCCCCTTTGATCTTCCTTTTTCTGGACTCTTACTGGATTTTGTCATCTTTTCCTAGTTTGAGCTTTGCAAGGTCAGTGCTTAGAGTCTTTATTGCATTTGGGCCGCCTGCTGTCCCCAGGTGAATATACCTCCTTATGACCTAATGTTTCCAACAGCTGGGCTCTCCACGGGGAAGGTTAAGAGCAAAAGATAGTAGCATTCACTTCTATTAAATAATACTCAAGACTAAAAGATGTTAGAATTACTTTTACTAGAAATACTGAACTGACACATTAGCTTACATAAATAATCATTGGATTTAAATAGATAATTACCACTGCTATTGAGAGGGGCTATTTTTGTGTGTTGTTTTACCTATTTTTTTTGGTCTATTCTCAATGCTATAGCCCAAGCATCTAGAGGAGTGCCCAACACATAGTAATTACGTTTGTTGGCTGGATGAGGGGAAATAACTGAATACTTCTTACATGTCAAGCATTGTTCTAGGTGTTTAATTGGATAATTTCACATAGTCTTTACAGCAACCCTAAGAGCTGCGTTTATTATTATCCCTCTAAAGTATTGCTGCCCCATAGAAATATAATGTGAGGTGAGTATGAAATTTCAAATTTTATGGTATACACATTAAAAAGTAAAATGAAACAGGTAAAATGTTTATAGTATACCTTATTTAAATCTAAACTATTATTATTTGAACATGTAATCAACATAAAAATTTAATATTTTACATTCTTTTTTTGTAGTAAGCCTTTGAAACTGCGTATTTCACAATTCCAGCACGTCTCAATTCAGAGTAGCTGCATTTCTAGTGCTCTATAGTCACATGGCTACTAGTAGGCTGCCGTATTGGCCAGCAAAGCTCTAGAGCTTAGGATAGTTAACGTGCCCAAAGTCCCAAGGTAGCAAGTTGCAGACCTGGAATTCAAATCTAGGCCACTTGGCTCTAGAACTCTGGTCTTAATCACCATGCATGCTGCCTCCTAATGAGCTACAATTTGGAGCAGATTTAAGGAACACCTAGATATAATTGGCAACTTATTAATCTTTAATCATTATCAAGTTGCAGTCAATATAACCTTGTGGTTTTCTGAGACTTGAATAGAAGATATTTTTCCAGTTTCTGCTCAACCTTTTCTTGGAGTTGGCTTCCTCTGGGGTTTGTTGCCTGTTCCAGGTGTTCAGGCCAGCTTGCTGTCAAAGCCCTTCCAAGGGGATGCCATGAGCACAATTTCTCTCTGTAATAGGTGCAAATGGCAGAAAGGGTCTGCCCACTTTGCTTAGACTGTTTGAAGAAAGGGAAAGCATGGCCTTCATCTTGCCCATTTTTGACCATGAGATTCCTGCTGTGCTCTCCTTGGCTTCCTTGCTGTTTCCAAAACTTTATGATCAAACTGAACTGGGAAGAAAACCAGAGTTCTCCTGAAAGCCTTTTCCATCAGCCTTTTCTATCACTTTGAACTTAGAGTTATATTACTTCAGCATTTAAGCTGACTACTTCTTTGTAAACCATTGCAACTCCGGATATCATATTTTGTTTTGGAAAATCTGGTTTTTAAAAGGGAGAATCTTATCTTTTTTTTCTGTTACAAATTCGCAGATATAAGAAATCATCACCATTTCTACCATTTAGCACTTGGTCATTGTTTAGTTTTTTATTGCTGTGAAACAGAACAACCACCAAATTTAGGATCTTAAAACATCCATTTTATTTCACTCATGATTTTGCAGGTCAGGAATTGTAAAAGGACTGGACTGGGCAATTCATCTCTGAATGAATGTGGCATCGCTGGGGACAGGCCTCCAGTCATCTGCTGCATAACAGTGTTTCAGTCAATAACAGACCACATAGACAGTGATGGACTTCTGGGAAGCTAAAGTTAACTTACTACTGAGAAAAATATTTTAAAAAATAAATGTAGTGTAGCCTAAGTGTACAGTGTTTATAAGATCTACAGTAGTGTACAGTAATGTCCTAGATCATCACATTTGCTCACCACTCACTTACCCAGAGCACTTGCAGTCCTGAAAGCTCCATGGTAAGTGCTCTATACAATTGTTCCATTTTTAATCCTTTTATACTATATTTTTACCATACTTTCATATGTTTTGGTACACAAACATTTATCATTGTGTTACAATTACCTACAAACTCAATACAGTAACATACTATACAAGTTTGTTGCCTAGGAGCAATAGGCTATACCACATACCATCTAGGTCTGTGGGTGTACACTCTATGGTGTTGCTACAACAACAAAATTGCCTAACAACACATTTTTCAGAATGTCCCTGTTGTTATGTGACGCATGACTGTGCTTCCAGGACAGCTTCATCATCCGTATGTCTGGTTCTCAGTACTTGCTTTCCACATGTTATCTTACCCTCTAGGGTCTCTCCAATGTTGCTTAGGTGTCACAAAATGGTGGTTACATGGTTTCATGGTGGTCACTGTTCTTAAATGGTGACTGACTTCCAAGAGGTAGGAAGCAGAAACTATCAAGCCAGCTAAGGAACATGCCTGAAAATGGTGCAACATCACTTCTGCTATATTCTGTTGATGAGAAAGCAGGTTCAGAATCTTGGCCCAACCAGATTCAAGGGGATGGAGAAATAGATTCTACCTCTTGATGAAGATGTGTCAACCTGCATTGCATAAGAGCTTGTGGGGTGGGAAATATTCTTTGGAAAATGCAACTAACCAAATATATGCCATTTGGGGTGGTGTTTGTCTCATATCAGCCTATCTTTTCTGCCATTGAGATAATAAACATCTCCTTATACCTTCTTTTCTAACTTGTAGTCTGTAAAGGCCAATATCATCCTAATATGCACTAAATAATTATTATTGATTCGATGATATGGCATCCAAAGATAAATTCATAGTTGAAATTTTAGGAAAAAATATAATACCTATTTTTACCATATATGAAAACTGGCTTTAGCCAAATGGTTTACTTATATTGCCCAAATGTTTTGTTGTTCCCTTTCTGTACCTACCTTTACCATTTCTTTTTACCTTTCTAAATCATCCTTTAAGATTCGTCTTATAATAATCCTCCTCCACAATATCTTTCAGATTAATGAGGGATGGCAGCTGCTCCTTGTTCTGTCTCTGTGTTATATCAGCATTCTCTTTTTGTTTTCACCCTCCAACACCAATTCCCTATGTTACATTTTCTCTGTTGAAATACCTAGTGTGGTGTCTGTGTTCCTGACTGGACCCTGACTGGTACACTGTCTGTCTTAGTCCATTTTGTGCTGCTCTAATAGAATTCCACTGACTGGGTAATTTGTAATAAACAGAAATTTACTTGGCTTACAGTTCTGGAGGCTGGGAAGTCCAAGAGCATGGCACCAGCATCTGGCAAGGGCCTTTGTGCTGCATCATCCCATGGTGGAAAGCAAAAGGGCAAGAGGGGGTGAGAGTGAGAAAGCAAGAGGGGTTCAAATTTACTTTTATAGCAAACCTAAACACAATGGGTAAAGTTACCCATGCCTGCAATAACTAACTCCTAAAATGACATTAATCTATTCATAAGGGCTGAGTCCTCATGACCTAATCACCTCTTATTAGGCCTCATCTCCCAACACTGTTGCACTGGGGATTAAGTCTCCCACAAATCAACTTTGGGGGCCATATTCAAACCATGGCACCATCCATACCACTGATTTAATAATTGTGTATGGCTTTGCGACATGTCCTGTAGATGCCCTGAGCTGTTATTTATATTTTTATTACTATCTTCTCACATTTTTCTTGCTTTTCCTGTTTGTATTTTAAACTCCTTGAGACAAGAGATTATATGTTATGTTTCTTTGTGTTTCACATAACATTTTGCAAGGCATCATGTACTTAGTGTGTGTTCCTGTCTCACAGCAAGCAATACATGTTTGTCAGAGTTTTGAGTGGATTTGGCCATCAGGGATAGCAGATGTGGGGTCCAAGCCCTTCCTGAATGGTCAGGGCAAAGGGATTGATTGCTTATAGGGCTGGATATGTTTTCCTCCTGAGCTGTCATTAATTGATGAGCTGATGGTGGATGGGACACAGTTATAAAATGTTTACTCCATGGTTGTTAGTTTAGGAGATGACATTCTGTGTCAGCTGAAACACTTTAAACTGATATTTGGAAACACTATTCCTCGAAGTAATTTTCTCCTCAAGTTGAGGTAATTCTGGTTGTTCCTAGGGTTACTGAAATGACTTGTTTTATTCGTTCAAGTCAATTTTGAAAGTAGTTTGTCTTGAACACATACCTAGGTTATCAAGATTGAACTTAAATAAAGTTGTTTAAATTTGGAGTAGCGAAATGGATGTGAGATGATTTTTGCTTTGATGTTTGTGACATTGTCTCTATATGACCTTGAAGGTTTAAGAAAAAAATATCTTTACAGTGTATTTAAAGATTTTTTTTTTTGGGACAATATCTGTGATTGTTTATGCTTCAGCATTTTATGGTAAAGTAGGAATTACTCTGCTAAACTACATGACTGGTTTTCATCTTTCCCCCCAAGCAACCCAAACGTTTCATTTTATCAGAGTTTAATTTCTCCATAACATTACTTTGCTGCATTGAAGAACTTCCATGGCCTAGCCTTTTCAATTTCTCCTAGACTGTCACATACGCAAAGGAATGGACTGAACAGGTAAGTCCTGCCTGATTCTTGTCCTTGCTTTGCTCACCTGGTTGTGAGTTTGGGTAAAATAATTTATTTATTCAGGTGTCAGAATCTGGATAATGGGGATTTTTGTGATATCTTTTACTTTCTTTTTGATCAAACAAATGTATTGATTAATGTATTACATTTGGTTGCAAGATAGAATCCATTAGAACAAATCTTTCTTTCTTCTTTCTTGGTAATGGTTCTTGTCCAGACATGTGTGTCATTTGGAGAAGGGTTAAAGACCACAGTAGCCTCAATGCTAATGGGAAGCCCAGTCATCTGGAATGCTTCTCTACTGAATATCAAAATAAGTGGTTAAAATTTAAAACTCTCACCTACATGGCTTGTCTCTGTGTTAAAAAGTACAGATTTGCAGAATCTGCTAAGGAGTATGTAAAAACGCACCTGCCAAAGCAATTAAGAAAAATACATAAAACATTAAAAAATAAGTACAAATTGAATTATCCATTTCTTAAAGTTGGCAGTATTAAGGATTGTGTTTTGTTTGTTTTCATTTTGTTTAAATTACATTTTAACTTGAACTATGTCCATGAAATGAAACTCATTATCAATTGTCATTATCCAGTTTTATGCAGTTGACTACACAACCATTCCAGCACCTCTCTTTTTTGTCATTTTTCTTGTGTTCATAAATAATTTGAATCCTTTAATAATGTTTGATGCTTTCTGATTCTGGGGTGATTTAAGATAAGTGTAATTTATTAAGAATTTCAGATGCTTGCACAAGTGTTTGTGGATCGGGTTAGTAGTGTATCCATGAAGGGATAAATCAAGGCACTGAGGCAAAATCCATGGGCTGTTTTAAAGAAGGGATGCCTTTATTGCTCTCAAAAGTGCTTGAAAATTAAATGTTTGATTTATTATGGCTGTGTACACATAGAGCTCAAATTATTCATGTATCATTTGGAAAATGTAAAATGCTTAATGTTCTGACATTATGTGATAATTGCTATTCTAATATATAGTGTCTACTAAATCTTTCTGGGAGCGGCTGACGGTGGCATTGATATACAGGAGCACATGCTTTGTGTACAAGTAAATCATTCTTCCATTGAATTAAGGCCAAGGAGGGAGCATTGAGTGGAACTTAAAGTGATATTACAGTGTCTGGTGCTGTTCTAATCAAGAAATATGTAGCAGTGCTAGTGAAAAATTGGCAGAAATACACAAAAATCCACTAAGGAGAAAATGCAATCAAAGATTTATCAGTGCTGCTTTTGCAAAGTTTCCAGGAATTATGGCCATCACTCAGCAGAGTTGCTTTTCAAGGTTGATGCAATCTTAATTCTCGCTTTTTTGTTGGTCTCCCTCTCATGACAGGCATTGGAGTCATTCCCTTTTTGTGGGTGCTTATTCATTAGTGGGTTACAGTCCTGCCATTATTCACCTTCTGCGGATACCTGTCCACATTGACAAAAGGTAAAAGGGTCCACTGTAAAAGTGACTAGGGAAATAATTAAGGAAGAGGTACAGAATTGGTAATTTTATCTCCGAAATGCTAATGTATGTAAACAGAACTCTCCAAGCAGGCATAAAGATGTAAGAAGCCCAATAGAATTCTTGTAGGAACTGGTTGACTAATTTTGAGTCTTCTCTTTAAGTTGTAGAAAGAAACTGCAGATACACTATTTTAGTACAGATTTAGTACAGATACACTATTTAGTGCAGATACACTATTTAGTATTTAGTTTGGCCTGTATCTGGGCACTCAATTCCTGCCATTGACAATATAGAGCTCAGTAACCAGGGGAAAGAGGAGTGTTCTGACCTACAAACACACCTCTTTTCTTTTCTGAAAATCAGAAGTAGTGGGACAGGCAGGACATTTCACTTGAAGAAAGTTATATATGAATGTGTTTTGGGGGTGTAGAGGTGAGGGATGGGGGAAGATAAATTAGGCTAGGTACTCTATGTTGATACTGGGATGGTGAATTCACTAAGCATCTTCAAGAACCAACTGTATAAGGAGTGTTTATTAATTAGTAATACTAGAGAATGACCAAAGATCCATGAAAACATGGATCCTTTGCTCTTGAGATTCTTACTAACTAGAGGCTGGAGGTTCTGAGGAGTTCCAGAGGACACACACACACACACACACACACACACACACACACGTGAAATGACCTACCAGTGTGTGTGTCTGGTGAAGGTTGCAGCACTACTCACACTCATCTGAATTTCTTCATACTCATTGTCCCTTCCTTATTCTTTGACACCAGAGTTTTGAAGCCCTGGTGTCTTATTGGTCTAAGCTGGTGCCGAAGGGAGGGAGATCCCAGATTCCAGAGGAGCTAACATTAGTACCAGATATTCTAAAACAGTGGTTCTCAAACATTTTATTCACAAGACCCATTTACACTCTTATTGAGGACTTCAAAGAGCTTTTGTTTATGAATGTTGTCTTTACTGATATTTACCATGTTTAAAAATTAAAATATTCATTTAAGAATAATATCAGTAAACTCACTACTTATTAACACAAATAACACAGTCTTAATGAAAATATTACGTTTTTCAAAACAAAAAAATTGGAAGAGTGGCGTTGTTTTACTTTTTTTTTGCAAATCTCTTTAATGTCTGGCTTGATAGACAGCTGGATTCTCAGATTAGTTTCTGCATTCAGTTTGTTGTGATCTCAGATATCACACTGACTCTGGAAAGCTCCACTGTATACTTGTAAAAAAAAAAGTGACTACAAAAAGCAAATCACGTCTCAGTATTAGTATGAAAATACTTGTGACCTTACAGCTTCCTGTGATGAAGACTTGAATCATATTACTTCACCTAATTTCTAACGAAGAAAGAAAGAGTGCTGTGATCTGATAGTTTGGGGAAACTGGCAGGCAGAGTCACAGATTGGAAGCCATAGTCTAGAATTAGAGCCTTGGTTCTGCCAATTACATACTAGCTGTGTGACCTTGGCAAGTTAGTTAACCTCCTTATGCCTCAGTTTTTCCATCTTTATTTTATTTTAATTTAATTTAATTTAATTTTTTATTATACTTTAAGTTCTGGGGTACATGTGCAGAACGTGCAGTTTTGTTACATAGGTATACACGTGCCATGGTGGTTTGCTGCACCCATCAACCCGTCACCTACATTGGTTATTTCTCCTAATGCTATCCCTCCCCCAGCCCCCAACCCCCCAACAGGCCCTGGTGTGTGATGTTCCCCTCCCTGTGCCCATGTGTTCTCATTGTTCAACTCCCCCTTATGAGTGAGAACGTGCAGGTTTGGTTTTCTGTTCTTGTGTTAGTTTGCTGAGAATGATGGTTTCCAGCTTCATCCATGTTCCTGCAAAAGACATGAACTCATCCTTTTTAATGGCTGCATAGTCTTCCATGGTGTATATGTGCCACATTTTCTTTATCCAGTCTATCAATGATGGACATATGGGTTGGTTCCAAGTCTTTGCTATTGTGAATAGTGCTGCAATTACATACGCGTGCATGTGTCTTCATAGTAGAATGATTTACAATCCTTTGGGTATATACCCAGTAATGGGATTGCTGGGTCAAATATTATTTCTAGTTCTGGATCCTTGAGGAATCGCCACACTGTCTTCCACAATGGTTGAACTAATTTACACTCCCACCAACAGTGTAAAAGTGTTCCTATTTCTCCACATCCTCTCCAGCACCTGTTGTTTCCTGACTTTTTAATGATTGTCATTCTAACTGGAGTGAGATGGTATCTCATTGTGGTTTTGATTTGCATTTCTCTAATGACCAGTGATGGTGAGCATTTTTTCATGTGTCTGTTGGCTGCATAAATGTCTTCTTTTGAGAAGTGTCTGTTCATATCCTTCACCCACTTTTTGATAGGGTTGTTTGTTTCTATCTTGTAAATTTTGTTTAAGTTCTTTGTAGATTCTGCATATTAGCCCTTTGTCAGAAGAATAGATTGCAAAAATTTTCTCCCATTCTGTAGGTTGCCTGTTAATGCTCATGATATTTTGCTGTGCAGAAGCTCTTTAGTTTAATTAGATCCCACTTGTCAATTTTGGCTTTTGTTGCCATGCTTTTGGTGTTTTAGATATGAAGTCTTTGCCCATGCCTATGTCCTGAATGGTGTTGCCTAGGTTTTCTTCTAGGGTTTTTATGGTTTTAGGTCTTATGTTTAAGTCTTTAATCCACCTTGAGTTGATTTTTGTATAAGGTGTAATGAAGGGGTCCAGTTTCAGTTTTCTGCATATGGCTAGCCAGTTTTCCCAACACCATTTATTAAATAGGGAATCCTTTCCCCATTGCTTGTTTTTGTCAGGTTTGTCAAAGTTCAGATGGTTGTAGATGTGTGGTGTTATTTCTGAGGCCTCTGTTCTTTTCCATTGGTCTAGATATTTGTTTTGGTACCAGTACCATACTGTTTTGGTTACTGTAGCCTTGTAGTATAGTTTGAAGTCAGGTAGCATGATGCCTCCAGCTTTGTTCTTTTTGCTTAGAATGCTTTTGGCTATGCAGGCTCTTTTTTGGTTCCATATGAACTTTCAAGTAGTTTTTTTCAATTCTGTGAAGAACATCAATGGTAGCTTGATGGGGATAGCATTGAATCTATAAATTACCTTGGGCAGTATGGCCATTTTCACGATATTGATTCACTCCATGAGCATGGGATGTTTTTCCCTTTGTTTGTATTCTCTCTTATTTCCTTGAGCAGTGGTTTAAAGTTCTCCTTGAAGAGGTCCTTCACATCCCTTTTAAGTTGTATTTCTAGGTATTTTATTCTCTTAATAGCAATTGTGAATGGGAGTTCACTCATGATTTGGCTCTCTGTTTGTCTGTTATTGGTGTACAGGAATGCTTGTGATTTTTGCACATTGATTTTGTGTCCTGAGACTTTGCTGAAGTTGCTTCTCAGCTTAAGGAGACTTTGGGCTGAGATGATAGGGTTTTCTAAATATGCAATCATACCATCTGCAAACAAAGGGAATTTGACTTCCTCTCTTCCTATTTGAATACCCTTTATTTCTTCCTCTTGCCTGACTGCCCTGGCCAGAACTTCCAATACTATGTTGAATAGGAGTGGTGAGAGAGGGCATCCTTGTCTTGTGCCAGGTTTCAAAAGGAATGCTTCCAGGTTTTGCCCATTCAGTATGATATTGGCTGTGGGTTTATCATAAATAGCTCTTATTATTTTGAGATACATTCCATTAATACCTAGTTTATTGAGAGTTTTTAGCATGAAGGGGTGTTGAATTTTGTCAAAGGCCTTTTTGGCATCTGTTGAAATAATCTTGTGGTTTTTGTCATTGGTTCTGTTTATGTGATAGATTACGTCTATTAATTTGTGTATGTTGAACCAGCCTTGCTTCCCAGGGATGAAGCCCACTTGATCACGTGGATAAGCTTTTTGATGTGCTGCTGGATTCAGTTTGCCAGTATTTTATTGAGGATTTTTGCATCGATGTTCACCAGAAATATTGGCCTGAAATGTTCTTTTTTTGTTGTGTCTCTGCCAGGTTTTGGTATCAGGATGCTGCTGACCTCATAAAATGAGTTAGGGAGGAGTCCCTCTTTTTCTGTTGTTTGGAATAGTTTCAGAAGAAATGGTACCAGCTCCTATTTGTACCTCTGGTAGAATTTGGCTGTGAATCCGTCTGGTCCTGGACTTTTTTTGGTTGGTAGGCTATTAATTACTGCCTCAATTTCAGAACTTGTTATTGGTCTATTCAGGGATTCAGCTTCTTCCTAGTTTAGACTTGGGAGGGTGTATATGTCCAGGAATTCATCTATTTTTATAGATTTTCTAGTTTATTTGCATAAAAGTGTTTATAGTATTCTGATGGTAGTTTGTATTTCTCTGGGATCAGTGATGATAGCCCCTTTATCATTTTTTATTGCCTCTATTTGATTCTTCTCTCTTTTCTTCTTTATTAGTCTGGCTAGCAGTCTATCTATGTTGTTGATCTTTTCAAAAAACCAGCTCCTGGATTCATTGACTTTCTGAAGGGTTTTTTGTGTCTCTATCTCCTTCAGTTCTGTTCTGATCTTAATTATTTCTTGTCTTCTGTTAGCTTTTGAATTTGTTTGCTGTTGCTTCTCTAGTTCCTTTAATTCTGGTGTTAAGGTGTCAATTTTAGATCTTTCCTGCTTTCTCTTATGGGCATTTAGTGCTATAAATTTCCCTTTAAATACTGCTTTAAATGTGTCCCAGAGATTGTGGTACATTGTGTCTTTGTTCTCATTGGTTTCAAAGAACATCTTTATTTCTGCCTTAATTTCGTTATTTACCCAGAAGTCATTCAGGAGCAAGTTGTTCAGTTTCCATGTAGTTGTGCGGTTTTGAGTAAGCTTCTTAATCCTGGGTTCTAATTTGATTGAACTGTGGTCTGAGAGACTGTTTGTTATGATTTCCGTTCTTTTGCATTTGCTGAGAAGCGTTTTACTTCCAATTATGTGTCAATTTTAGAATTAGTGCGATGAGGTTCTGAGAAGTAAGTATATTCTGTTGATTTGGGATTGAGAGTTCTGTAGATGTCTACTAGGTCTGCTTGGTCCAGAACGAAATTCAAGTCCTGAATATCCTTGTTAATTTTCTGTCTCGTTGATCTGTCCAATATTGACAGTGGGTTGTTAAAATCTCCCACTATTATTGTGTGGGAGTCTACATCTCTTTGTAGGTCTCTAAGAACTTGGTTTATGAATCTGGGTGCTCCTGTATTGGGTGCATATATATTTAGGATAGTTAGCTCTTCTTGTTGAATTGATCCCTTTACCATTATTTAATGGCCTTCTTTGTCACTTTTGATCTTTGTTGGTTTAAAGTCTGTTTTATCAGAGATTAGGATTGCAACTCCTGCTTTTCTTTGCTTTCCGTTTTCTTGGTAAATATTCCTCCATCCCTTTATTTTGAGCCTATGTGTGTCTTTGCACACAAGATGGGTCTCCTGAATACAGCACACTGATGGGTCTTGACTCTATCCAATTTGCCAGTCTGTGTCTTTTAACTGGGGCACTTAGCCCTTTTTCATTTAAGATTAATGTTGTTATATGTGAATGTGACCCTGTCATTATGATGCTAGCTGGTTATTTTGCTCTTTAGTTGATGCAGTTTCTTCATAGTGTTGATGGTCTTTACAATTTGGTATGTTTTTGCAGTGACTGGTACTGTTTGTTCCTTTCCATGTTTAGTGTTTCCTTCAGGAGCTCTTGTAAGGCAGGCCTGGTGGTTACAAAAATCTCTTAGCATTTGCTTGTCTGTAAAGGATTTTATTTCTCCTTAGCTTATGAAGCTTAGTTTGGCTGGATATGAAATTCTGGGTTGAAAATTCTTTTCTTTAAGAATGTTGAATATTGGCCCCCACTCTCTTCTGGCTTGTTAGGGTTTCTGCAGAGAGATCCGCTGTTAGTCTGATGGGCTTCCCTTTGTGGGTAACCCGACCTTTCTCTCTGGCTGCCCTTAACATTTTTTCCTTCATTTCAACCTTGGTGAATCTGACAATTATGTGTCTTGGGGTTACTCTTCTTGAGGAGTACCTTTGTGGTGGTTTCTGTATTTCCTGAATTTGAATGTTGGCCTCCCTTGCTAGATTGGGGAAGTTCTCCTGGATAATATCCTACAGAGTGTTTTCCAGCTTGGTTCCATTCTCCCGTCACTTTCAGGTACATCAATCAAATGTAGATTTAGTCTTTTCACATAGTCCCATATTTCTTAGAGTCTTCGTTTGTTCCTTTTTATTCTTTTTTCTCTAATCTTGTCTTCTCACTTTTTTCATTAAGTTGATCTTCAATCTCTGATATCCTTTCTTCCACTTGATTAATTCAGCTGTTGACACTTGTGTATTCTTCATGAAGTTCTTGTGCTGTGTTTTTAAGCTCCAGCCGGTCATTTATGTTCTTCTGTAAACTGGTTATTCTAGTTAGCAATTCGTCTAACCTTTTTTCGAGGTTCTTAGCTTCCTTGCATTGGGTTAGAACATGCTTCTTTAGCTAGGAGGAGTTTGTTATTACCCACCTTCTGAAGCCTACTTCTGTCAATTTGTCAAACTCATTCTCCATGCAGTTTTGTTCCGTTGCTGATGAGGAGTTGTGATCCTTTGGAGGAGAAGAGGTGTTCTGGTTTTTGGAATTTTCAGCCTTTTTGTGCTGGTTTCTCCACATCTTTGTGGATTTATCTACCATTGGTCTTTGATGTTGGTGACCTTCGGATGGGGTCTTTGAGTCGACATGCTATCCCTTTCTGTTTGTTAGTTTTCCTTCTAACAGTCAGGCCCCTCTGCTGCAGGTCTGCTAGAGTTTGCTGGAGGTCCTCTCCAGACCCTGTTTGCCTGGGTATCACCAGTGGAGGCTGCAGAACAGCAAAGATTGCTGCCTGTTCTTTCCTCTGGAAGCTTTGTCCCAGAGGGGCACCTGCCAGATGCAAGCCAGAGCTCTTCTGTATGATGTGTCTGTCAGCCCCTACTGGGAGGTGTCTCCCACTCAGGATACACAGGCATCAGGGACCCACTTGAGGAGGCAGTCTGACCCTTAGCAGAGCTTGAATGCTGTGCTGGGAAGTCCGCTGCTCTCTTCAGAGCCATCAGGCAGGGATGTTTAAGTCTGCTGAAGCTGTGCCTACAGCTCTCCCTTCCCCCAGGTGTTCTGTCCCAGGGAGTTGGGGTTTTTTATCTATAAGTCCCTGACTGGGGCTGCAGCCTTTTTTTTCAGAGATGCCCCGCCCAGAGAGGAGGAATCTGGCAGTCTGCCTTGGTGAGCTGCAGTGGGCCCCACCCAGTTCGAACTTCCAGGTGGCTTTGTTTACATTGTAAGGGTAAAACCACCTACTCAAGCCTCAGCAATGGCGGATGCCCCTCCCCCCACCGCGCTTGAGCATCCCAGGTCAATCTCAGGCTGCTGCTGTGCTGGTAGTGAGAATTTCAAGCCAGTGGCCCTTAGTTTGCTAGGCTCCTTGGTGGTGGGACCCACCAAGCCAGGCCATTTGGCTCCCTGACTTCAGCACCCCTTTCCAGGGGAGTGAACAGTCTGTCTCGCTGGCCTTCCAGGTAACACTGGGGTATGGAAAACAAACAAACAAACAAAACTGCAACTAGTTTGGTGTGTGCCCAGATGGCCACCCAGTTTTGTGCTTGAAACCCTGGGCCCTGGTGGAGTAGGCACCAGAGGGGGTCTCCTGGTCTGTGGGTTGTGAAGACTGTGGGACAAGTGCAGTATATGGGCTGGAGTGCACGTTTCCTCAGGCTCATTCCCTCACGGCTTCCCTTGGGTAGGGGAGAAAATTCCCCAACCCCTTGTGCTTCCCGGGTGAGGCGATGCCCCACCCTGCTTCAGCTTGCCCTCTGTGGGCTGCACCCACTGTCCAACCAGTCCCAAAGAGATGAACTGGGTACCTCAGTTGGAAATGCAGAAATCACCTGCCTTCTAAGTCAGTCTTGCTGGGAACTGCAGACTGGAGCTGTTCCTATTTGGCCATCTTGCCAGCAAAAAGACAGAGTTTTTCCATCTTTAAAATGGAGCTTGTGATAGTACTCATCTCTGATGGCTGTTAATGAGGCTTAGTGAGATACTGTAGGCAAAGTTTTTGTTTAGCTAATAGTAAGTGCACAATAGTGGCTTTTGTTTCCTTGGTTATTATTACTGTTAAGGCACCCATCCATTATGAACCTCAGTTTCCTCATTTGGCAAATGAGGCTGGTATGAATGGTTCCAAGTTCTAACATAATATGACTTTGCTTCAAAGCCTTCCTTTCCCATATTAGAGGTGGAGAGTATGGGAGAGGTGTATATGATTCTAATGGTGAGAAAAGCATTTATTTTTGGTTACATTTAGTAATAACTCCATTCTCCCCCTCCCCCCACTATCCCCTTATAACTCTATTTAAAACTTTCTAGGGCTTTAAGAATAAAACTTGGTTTAAAAAATTGTTGTTTCCTTGGAAAAAAAATTAAGTTTAGCCTTTTCAATTGGAACCAATATGTGTATTAGAGCAAATAAAAGTTTAAAAATTTGTTTCCAGGTCTCATGGTGGTTTCAGGTCAAAGTCATAATAGGGTTTATCTCATGTCTAAACTTAATTGAAGGGTAAATGAAACTGTGTTAAAAGATTTTGCTGACTCCTCAGTTTAAAGAACACACAGAGTAGGTAATAACCTTTTAATGGAACAGGAAAATAAGGAGCCTGGATTCATGGGACAGGGGTAGAGGAGAAAAAACAGGGGCTAAAAAGCATCTTGAAAACACAAGTGTTGGACCTGCAGTTTGATTGAAGACCCAGATCAAAATAAATCAATACAAATGCTTTGGTTTATTTTTTCCTCCATTTTCACTTAAGTACTAGCCTCTAATACAATGAAAAGCAGGCACAAAGCATATTAGAAAGGAAATAAGACAAATGGTCTCGGAAGTAATAGGAAGGACTGCATGTGTTGCATGCCACTTATTTTAAATTTACCAGAGCCTTGCTATAGAGCCATGTGGGAAGGCATGAAGATTTGCATATAGAGACTTCACTGGAGGGGATTCTTTTTATTTTTTGTTTTGGAGATGGAATCTCACTCTGTCGCCCAGGCTGGAGTGCAGTGGCACGATCTTGGCTAACTGCAACCTCCACATCCCGGGTTCAAGTGATTCTCCTCCCTCAGCCTCCCAAGTGGCTGGGATTACAGGCGATCACCACCACGCCTGGCTAATTTTTGTATTTTTAGTAGAGACATGGTTTCACCATGTCGGCCAGGCTGGTCTTGAACTCCTGATGTCAGGTGACCCACCTGCCTTGGCCTCCCAAAGTGCTGGGATTACAGGTGTGAGCCACTGCACCCGGCCTCACTGGAGGGGATTCTTAGAGGAAATATTGAGAATACCATGGCTAAGCACGATTCTTTGCCATGGGTTCTCAAGGACAGTATGATAACAAGACTTGACTTTGGTGTGAAAATGTGCTAGAATTCAAGTCACAGAGAGTTGTGTTGATAGCAAGAGATTATATACCAGTGGCAAACATAATGGAATAAAATTAAAATTTTACAGTGAGAGATAACTGTCAGATTAGTAGTAATATAGCTTATAGATAGAATGGTTTACATGAAATAAAATTATATTGGTAGTTTTGATGCTACTGACACTAGTAGAGTTATGCTTAATGTTGACTTTTCCATCAAAAGCCATTAGATAAAATAATGGAAAGCATGGGGTATTGTGGGCAGAGGTGAGCTCAGATTGAACCAGTAAACTGCTTCTGACAAAGAGGGATGTGTTTGTGCTCAAAGGAAAAGGGTAACGGCTGTAATAAGATATATTAAGAATTATGTTACTTGTGGTAATCACTGGAAAAATGAATAATATTTTTATCCTTTTCAAAAAATTTGTAGGTTTGAAGAAGCAGAGTCTGGTTTGTTGCCATTTGCAACCTGCAATAATTATCTATATACCTTATGTCATATGTAACTAGAATTCATCCACTTGCAATTTGTTCAAGCATCAAAGCAGTTATCTGCCATCTATCCCAGGAAGTATAAGGCAAAGGTCCTAACATGGCAGAGGGGCACAGATACACCACATGGATCTTTCCTTTTGTGCTTGAGCAAATCTATTCCTGATTATAGGCTCAAACAGCTCTCCCAAGTTGAAGATTTGACAACTCTGATTGATGCTTACAGAGAGCTGGGAAGTGGTTCCATGGTTCCATGGTACTATGGCAGGTTTGTGCTCTGTGGCTGTGGATGTCTGGGGTTAGGTGTCTGACCAGGGGGCCCATCAAAATGGCAAGGGAAGATGAATAGCAAGAAAAACAGGAACAACATTTCTCTTTGAAGAACTGGCTGAGCTGATCTGTGGGCCAGACAAAATTCTGTTGATGCTATTAGAGAGTGCCTAGCATCGCTCTGGGCACATAGTAGGTATTCACGTAACAGTTTGATTGAAGTCCTTAGACAGTACAGCTAGCAGGACACATCCATGTAATATGTTTATCTGATGA
Source organism: Homo sapiens (assembly GCF_000001405.40). NCBI lineage: Eukaryota > Metazoa > Chordata > Mammalia > Primates > Hominidae > Homo > Homo sapiens. Next base: position 158,994,525 of record NC_000003.12, read on the forward strand.
TTAATTCAGCTGCAAACTGGTTTCTTTTATCTGTTTATATACGAGGCAATCTGCTTCAGAAAGAAAATGACATTTAAATTCGAATACCATCTGTCCTTTGTGTTAACTGGCACTTTAGCAAAACTGAAATAGGAAAGATTTTAAGGGTGTCTACCCCCTTGACACAGGTGGAAAGAATGAAGAAAGGAGGGTTTCCAATATTGACTTCAGTATGGATTTGTGCAAAGAGCTTTACTTCTCTGTCCCTCACTATTATTCTTTGAAAAAATAGAGATGCTTCCCTGTGGTAGAAATCTCTATTGCTCAGCTCACTCATATCTAGTTCTTTTCACCTTTTGGGCTTGTGGGAGGTTTGCAGTTTCCACCCAATTTTGCAATTTGGTGGGACCATGAGACCAGTATTGGCCAATGAGCCATGGGCAAAAGTAATGTGTGTCACTTTACTGCTAGTGGGAGACCTCCAGCATTCTTACACCCATGCTGCTGTAACCAGGTATGTTCCAGATGGTGCAGCCTCCATCTGCATGGATTCCAGTGAGAGGATATGGAGCAGAGCTCTCTCTTCACCTTCACCTGCACCACCACCAATGCCTGCTGGGCATATAATGTCAGCAAATAATAAAGTATTGTTTCAAGTCCCTGAAATGTGAAGGAAAGTTGTCACTATAACATAACTTTACTCTGACTGATACATGCCTACTGCATGATTCTTCAACCAGAGCATTATTTGATTTGTTTTAAACCCCTTTTCAACACACAAGCCTCTCAAGACTTTAGAGTACATCAGCGTCACATCCTGTTGGTTCGATTTGCAGATTTCTGGGTCTCTTCCCCTGACAGTTATACCTCAGTAAATTTGGTGTGAGTTCCACACATCTCTTTTTTTCCCTTTATTTTTCCGTAGGATTTTTATGCCATTCTGATTGAGGAGGAGTGATCTCACTTCAAGAAATGTTGTAAATCTATATCATGCTATAAAGACTGGTTATTATTTTTCAAGTTCTGCTAGTCAGACACGTTCAGATATTAGTAAAAGGTTACAAGCATTTAGGGAAGGTTTAAGTGTAATAAATACAAAGTTCACCAGCTCTGTTTCAAAGCTGCATGAAGCAGAGATAAAGTGAAGACAAATAATAGGTGATTAATAGATGCAACCACTTTCTAAATGAGAATTTTAAAGATTGTAAATCATTTGGAAATTGAAGTGATGGCCTGGAAAACAAGTAAAAATTAAGAAATATCAAGTAAAAATGGATTTGAAGAAATAAAAATAGAAAAGGTGAGGCAATCCCCTCATAGTTGATTTGGGAGGGAGCTGGGAGAACAGGAGCCTCAGGGACCTTGGAAGACTGTGGGCGGGGAGCCTGTGCTTACCTCCCTTTGTGGCTTTGGAATATCTGTCTAGAACTCTGGGACTGATTCAGCATCTTGATCTATTCCTGCCACTTGCAAAGATTATCATCGTCTATGGATTAAAAGGAGGAGGCATTCTGGCCCTCTGGAGGTGGATTCTACTGAGCTCACAGAAGAATTTGCTCCTTTAATTTTTTTTTAGAAATATATATATTTTTAGACATATACCTTGTAAAGATAATGATTTTTATTCCTTCCATCTACCTCCAGCTGTCTATTATTTCCCACAGACCCCCAAACCTGTGGGGTCTACTCACTTCAGAAATGTATGTCTAGAGCAGAGCTACCTGCCCATAGCAGGGCCATCCATGAAAAATAGGGACTCATACAGTTAGGATGGAGGGCAACAGTGAGTAATGCCAATCTGAGGCATTAAGTCAAGGAAACAGCCTGGCAAAGGTAGAAGTGGTTCTGCCAGCCAGTATTTGAGATGTCCTGAAATAATGGTTTTATACACTCAGTCAGCCCATCTCCCCATCCAGGGCTATCTATCTGTCCTGAACCATTGCTGATATATTGTTCAATCTGTCTTTGAGTGATTTCTTTTCCACTACAAGGCTGCTTTTGCTGTTGCTTATAAACAATTTGATTTGTTTGAACATTCTAGGGAGAGGAGTAGAAGCTGTGAGTAGCATAATTTTCCTGGTTCCATACTGAGTGGTTGAGGGGGGGACCTCAACCCTATACTCCCTCCTCTGCCCTGAAGGGGTTCAGAGTATGCCATCCAAAAATATGCCACCCTGGCACAAGGATTATTTGGAGCCGAGAGCAATTAAGGAAAAGCAAACATGGTATGCTCTCTCAGACCTCCCCCTATTCATTTAAAAATAGAATATAAATTCCCCCTGTGAAGGTGACCCCCACACTTCCCATACTAGGAAGAAGATGCAGTCTTATCACTGGAGATGAGAAGGCAGCAGGAAAGTATATGCAAATAAACCTTAGTAACTAGCCCTTATACCATTAGTTTCCCCATGTATATTCCTTTCCACAATTTGCTGCCCCTAGAAGCTCAAAATTCTTTTCCTTTATCTTGCTGCTTCTCTATAAAATTGTTGTTCTTTGCTAAGATGCTAGACAAGCCCAGGTTCTAACTACCCCTTTGAGTTACTCATCACTGAGTGTTCCCATGTGTATGTATGATGCATAAATTATAAATTTATATATTTTTCTTGTTAATCTGTCTTTTGTCAATCTCATTTATGGGGCCCAGCCAATAAACCTGAGATTTGTAGAGGAATTTTGTCTCCTCTACAACTTCATGTCCTATTTTTCATGCCATCATTTTAATGATTTTTGACAGGTAATTTAGAAGGAAGATTTTTGTTGCAAGGGAGAGAAAGCCAAGGTGAAGTAGCTAATGTAGAAAAGAAAGTGAGCATGAGTATATTCACATGTATTCTGTGTGCATGTTGTGTGCAGGTGTCATTTATCTGAAGAGTCCAGGGGTATCTGAGTTCAAGTATGGCTGGACCTAGGTACGCAAATTATGTTGCCAGGAGTCTTTCTATGCTTTCCTTAATCTTCCTTCTGTGTTGGTTTTATTTTCATGCAGATTCTCCTTAAGCCACAGCAAATGTTCTCTTGACTTGCATTCTTTCTTCTAGATTAGCAGCATTAGTGGCAGGAGTGTATCTATTTCTCTAGAGTTCCAGCAGAAGTTCTAGAGCTGATGTTCATTGACTCTGACTGGCTTGCCTTGGGATGCTATCCTTGAACCAGTTACTGAGAATGTTGAGATGGAGTATGCTAATTGGCCAGACCTTGGTCATGTACCCCCAGATATTACAGGTGGGGTAAACCATGCCTGAACCATACGAAAAGAGAAGAGGGAAGGGGGTAGTGCCCCAAAAGGAAATCAGAACATTTTTGCCAGAAAGAGAAGTAACTGCTGAAGCCAAACCCTACAGCTGTCTACTGCAGAAGGCATATTGTTGTGTCCTGGCTAACCCTGACATTTGAAGTTTGTAGGTTCTAATAAGCAGCTAGGCAACAGAGGATAAGAATTAGATTTACTTCTTTCTCATTCACTCCATCAACCAATCAGTATATGAAGTGAAACATGCAGTTCTCAGGGAGTAACATCATTTATTAGACCTGTTTTAGGAACCATGAGAGAATTTGCATAAGTAGAATTAGTGTTGCTTCTTATTAGTGCCACATACTCAAGCCCTTCAGGATTTCTATTATAAACTCCCATTTTACTATGATATCCAACCTTGTCATTTGTGTCAATGAGAAGTATATTGTCACATGCACAGCTCACCATATATTTAATTATCTTATATTTGGCACAAGATTCTTCATTACTTTCTGTAACGAAAGTCACTAGTTGTCGTTCTTGCAGATGTGAAGCAAAGTTCACCTTGACATTGAGGAGATTTCACTGGAAATAAAAACTCCCCAAGTTGTGTGGCAGAATCCTTTATATGCTGAGTGGTATAAGTCTAATGGTTTAGAAGGTCAGCTGTGGTCAAAGCCCAGCACCACCACTGAATGAGCTGGGTGATCTTGGGGCCCCATCTATAAAATGAGATAATAAGAAAATCCCTCTCATAGTGTTTTGTGAAGATTAAATAAGTGAACACATGTAAGGACCTTAGAACAGTGTCTAGCACATTGTTGGAGTTCAATAAATTTAAATATTCATATGTATTAGATGTAGATGACCTGAATCATTAGGTCCCTTCAGGTAAGTTCTTTGACAATTTTATCTGCAGGTTGAAAGTAGGAGTTGTGGTTTGGGATTTGTAGTCTAAATATTTCTAACCTCATTCTTTATTTAAAAAAAAAAAAAAGAAACAACAAAAAACTCCACACTGGGGTGAAGTTTTAAATGAGGCAAATTCTAACTTTTAAAAGGTTATAGTTAGCATAATAAAAATAAAGTAGCTATAAAAATTGTGAAAAGAATCCAAAATTATTTACCCCTCCACCAAAAAAAGAGAAAAAGCCTAGGTATTTAAGCATATAAGCAATTGGAGAAAATGATTAATAAAATTTTTAAGATACCCAACGTTCAAAAGCTCACACATTATAAACTTCTCATATGAGCAATTTTCCATGATCATGGGGGAGAGATGGGGAGGAGGAAAGGGAAGAGAGTGGCTGGAACATTGTGTTAGATCTATGCTGAGGCCTGGTTAAATCTGCACTGCTGTGCTTTCTTCATTTCAGAGTCTACTCTCTAATATCTCTGATCCCAGTTTTGTGATCTGAGTTGACTTCTTAGGTTTTCCTTTTTTAGCTTAATGAATCTGATTTATTCTGACATGACACCTTGGGCCTGTCCCTCAAAGTGGGAGTTTCAACCCAGGATCCAGCCTTGTTGAAACAAGGAGTACATACGGTCAATTAAGAGAGAGGAAATAATTCCTTTTTAGTTGTCTAAATTGAACTTTCAATCTACGAGAATGGTGGGCCTGGTATTTCCATCAGGACATAATCTTATGTGACCAACAGACCAGTGAAAATACTGTGCTTTAAGAATTCATCTGACATCAACATAGCATTACAAATAATAGGATAATCCTTCAGTTGGTTAGTTCAGTCAAAACATCAGTTGGACTGTGCGTTTAACCAAATTGGCCCATGTGATGTTTGCTCTTATCTTTTTTCCACCAGAGTTTTATGTTTAAAATTTGTGAAATTGCTCCAGGAGGATTTGCTATCCTGGCACCAATGACCAGGTTTTTGTAAAATCTGTATAAAAGCAGAGTACAATCCCCCAAAATTTGCTAAAATGAAACAATTATCAATGAGTCTCTAATTTCTTATGTGGAAAAGTGATTTGTAATATAGACCAAAATTCTAAAAACTGCCTAATATGACGGACTTCAATTGTTATCTATTCTTACTTGTTTTACCCAAAATTCGCTTTTTTTAAAAAAAGCTTTTAAAGGTCTTTTAAAAGTTTTTTTTTTAAATTATAAAAGTGATATATGTGTAACACTGTTAAGTTGTTAGAAGCACGGAACAAGATTTGCATGTAACATTATGGATAGATCTTAATATAGTCATGGATGAAAAAAGTAAAAGTGAGATTTAAAAAAATCATAGTACCATTTATATAATTAAAATTACATATATTAAAGCAACACATTTTACAACATGGTATCATAATTTCCTATAGGGAAAAAATGGGCATGAAAGGGAATAAAACAATCAAGCAGACAAGAGAAAGGCCTGTAAGAATAAATGATAATGTACATGTTCCTGAGGACCAATAAAAATAAAAGAAAAATTTAAGTATAAAGGATACTTACCATAAAAAGATAAATAAAAACACTCTCGGTCCTACTGCTCTACCGAATAATCACTCTATGCATGCTTATCTACTTAATGATAGACTTTTCTTCATTTTTTAAGAGAAAAATCTTGAATGCTGCCTATATGATTTCCTGAGGGACAAAACAGTATGGACTTATTCATAGCAACTTGAATTTGTGAGCCTGTGGAACCAACTCATGCTTTCTTATTCCATTACCTATTTTCACCTCTTCTGATTTACTGGCTTCCACTTCTGTCTGCGTGCAGAGCATCTGAGTTGAAATGTCCAGTGGATGGTTGGAACTATGGTTCAGCTATCAGGGGAGGGGCCAGTGTGATGATAATAATGTGGGAGGTGTCATCTTTTAAAGGCCATTCTTTTCGCAAATAGTTATTTTTATTTTATTTTATTATTATTTTTGAGACGTAGTCTCACTCTGTCATCCTGGCTAGAGTGCAGTGGCGTGATCTCAGCTCACTGCAACCTTTGCCTCCCAGGTTCAAGTGATTCTCCTGTCTCCACCTTCCGAGTAGCTGGGATTACAGGTGCGCATCACCATGCCCGGCTAATTTTTGCATTTTTAGTAGAGATGGGATTTCGCCATGTTGGCCAGGCTGATCTCGAACTCCTGACTCCTGGTGATCTACCCACCTCAGCCTCCCAAAGTGCTGGGATTACAGGCATGAGCCACAACGTGTGGCTTAGCAAATAGTTATTAAGCACTGAATTAACTAATACAATTAATTATACAATCATTTATTGAGAGCCAACTATGTGCTAAGCACTATATTGGAACTAGAAGAAGACGAAGAATCCTACAATGGATTGATTCTTTGTATTTATTGTATGCCTGCCATGTGCATAGCCTGCTAACTTGTAATTTTATTTTTAAAGGTAAAATGTTTGGGAGTACAGTGAATATAAAGCATATTTTCTTGCCAGAAACTTTCCAGGTAGAAGACTTTCTTTCTGAGCTCTAAAACAGTTCAGGCTCTACAGTGGGCTATAGAATTACCTTAAGGGAGTCTATGTGGACTTTCACCTCTACTTAAACTATGAAGAAAGGATTAAGTAAAAAAAATTAACCTATACACAATACCGTGAGGGCATATTTAAAGCTACTAAAAGGACATTTTCCAGGCGTCTTTCAAGTACAACTTAGAAGCATGCGTTACATGGAAACATAAAATTCAAATGTGTGAATTTTATTCTCTCAAAAAACTGAATGATTAACCTCTCCATTAAATTCTGATTGAATTTCCTTCCTTAAAAAAAACCACTACACTTCCACATTCAAAAGTCATTGTTGTGCCTCTCTGATGCTTAGATAAAATAGAAATAAAAAGGACATTTTCAAGCATCTTTCAAGTATCTTTAATACAACTTGGAAGCATGTATTTATATGGAAATACCTGACACTCACTTAGGCAAAGAGATGGGAGAAAGGGGACTTCATTCTACAGTTTCTCATAATTAAGCTAAGAGGAGGTAGATAAACAGATAATAAGAAAACAATGTGGTAAGGAACATCAAAAGTCTGAGAATGCAGAGAGAAAAAAACTTTATTAAACGTAAACTATTCATATCTGTTCATTAAAGGAGTTCTCCCCAAGACCTCCACTGGATGGATTTCTCACTTATCCAGGGTATCCACAAATACTCATATGCTGATGACTCAGATCCCTATTCTGAGGGTGAGAACCTGATTTCCACTTCTAGATTGAGCATCTCTTCCTGAATGTCTTGCAGGTGTGTCATGACACATAATTAAAATTAAATGTATGAATCTTATTCTCTCAAAAAGTTGAATGATTCACCTCTCCATCAAATTCTGATTGAATTTCCTTTCTTGAAAAAAATCACTGCTCTTCTACATTTAAAAGTCATTTTTGAGTTTATATGATGCTTAGGTAATATAGAATAAACTAAAACAAAGTAATTTTGAGCTTACTTTGTCATTGCCACATTTTTAAAGTTTGATCAAATGTGAAACATTCATACATGATATTTAGAATGTCAGCAAGAAGGTTAGTATAAATTTCCTGTGACTCTGGGTTTTCGTTTTTAATATTCTAGATTTTTGATAAAGTAAATATTTCACTATTTTAAAAGCTGATAAGATCTGTTGGTCATAAAAAACTCCATGATTCCGAACTTGGACTTAAATTTTAATCTTATTCTTAATTTATTTTAGTCATTGGACATTCCATTTGCACATCCATTTAATAATTGATTTTGGTTAGCACTATTTTTCAAAGAGACCAAAACAGGGGAGAAAAGTCAGATTCTTCCAGTGCGTAAGCACTTCCTTATGAATATATTAGATGTTCAGAATCTATACAAATGCTTTCTATAAAGCTGCTTATTATTCATAGATGATGATAAAAATGATTAACAGTTATGTGTTTTTTATAGTTTACAAAGCACTTCTGCATACATTATCTCATTTTTTTCTCATAGAAGCCCTGTGAAACAGGCATTATTATCATCATCATTTCCACTTTGTAAATGAAGACATAGAGGCAGGGAAAATTTGAGTGACTTGCCCAAGGTCATTGGGCAAGCACTGGCTTCCAACCCAAGCCTGCTAACTGCAAATTTGTATCCTTTGCATCAATTGCACATCTTCTCTCATTTCTCTCAGTACATGAGTTTCTTTTTCTTTAAAGTTTACAGCAGCCACTATTAATCTGAAAAAAAAATCACTTGTGATAGCCTCCAAAGGCATCTCACATGAAGAAGCTGACCCATGTCATTTATGGGGGAATTTTGGCTATTATTATAGAAGGAATGAATTCCCAATACATCAATTGGATGACTTAATTTCTAGTTCATGGTTCCATGTTGCCTGATGGGAAAAGCTCACGTCAACCTGGAATACACTTATTCTTTATTTTCTCAGTCAATTCAGCATTTTCTTCCACTACCATCCTTCTCATGAAAGCTGCTTTGGAATTCCCAGAGGCCTTACAGAGTCAGGCACCTAGGGTTGTTGGGGTGGGCTAAAGAGAAGCACCAGGTCTATGGGGTTCATTTGTCCAGGCTGACATCTGCTGAGCAGAACATCCTCCCATCTGGTCCTCAAGCATCATCACCTCTCTGTGCCAGCATCTGCTGAGATATCTGAGCTCCCAGCTAGCCTCTGGTAGTCAGTCTTCTCTGGCATTTTCTGTAGGATCTTTTTTGTTCTTACCATAGGCCACTGGGTCTGCTGTCCTTTGTGGCATGTCTTTGTGGCTCTTGGTCACAGAGGGGAAAATGTTTCTTGGTTCTTAGGTCTTGCTCAGAGGCTATGAACTTGTGGCAGGCTTTCTGTAGACATTGCTATGAAACTGCTCACTAGCCCTGCAAGGCAGGAGAGTGTCTCTACAAGGCTTGCTTCCTTCCTGTGCTTGGGAAGAGTGCTGTTTTACCTATTATTTCCTCCCTTGTCCACATGTGGGCTCTGCCTGGGGGTGGGTAATGTCCAGGGTTCCTTTCTGTAACACTCATCATTGAGCATCTATCTTGGTTCCCCCAAGAATCTGTTCCATTCTCCAGACCAAGGACTTTTTCACTCCAAATTCCCTTGACTGCTGAATTTAATTGCTACTTAGGTATTAATTTATATACTGATTGCTTAATTGATAATTTCCTTTTATCCCTATGTTCTACTCCCTTCTCCTTACCTATAGACAATGATTTCAACATGTTTAATATGTATATTTTAGTTAGTTTTTAAAAAGTATCCATTATTTTGTGTGCATGCATTTAAATAAACTAATATTCATATAATAATGCATAGTAATGATAATGGTATAATTGACATTATTAAAATATCTTCTTTATCTGTTTCATCCTCATAGTGAGTAGGTGCTGATGGGGGATTGGGATGAGAAAGAGATTATTTCAACACACATGGGAACATCTGAAATGTTCTTCTGTTTTTGCTTATTTGGATAATTTATTCATTTTAAACAGATATTGAGGGCTTTGTTAGCTGGAGGATGGTGGAAAAACAAATGCCATCTCAGCTTTCAAGGAGTTTCTAATCTTGAGGATTTCAGTGTAGTTGGGTGTCATGTTGACTATCTGTGAGAAAAGCTGCATGGCTTATCTCAAATCCCATTTCAGGAGGCAACAGAGGCACCAGGACAGAGTTACCTAGTTTAGGTTGAGATGGGATGCCATCACTGCAGATCTGCAAACTCCCTCTCTGCAGAGCTCACGTAAGTCAGTTCTTGTCAGAACCGCTGCTACCGCCATGTAAGAAAGCCAGGACTCAGTCCTGGCTTAAGTGGCAGTAAAATATTCCAAGAATCAGCAAGAAATCTAAAAAGGCATAGTGTACATAAAAATTCTTTACTATCCTCAAATTGTATACTAAGCCCCACACTTGAAATCTGTTGTGCTTTATAAATCTGTTGTACTTTGTGGGTTGAACATATTCTCATTCTGCTGCTGTGAATGACATTCCAAGGCTACGTGTGAGTGTGGGGTTGAGTGCTGGGATGGTTGGTCATTCTGGCTTTAGTTTCTAGCTGCCAATACCATGCCGGTCAACATATGGCTTTCTATCTTCTTTAAGGTTAATTGTCAGCACAGGGATGGCCAGAAAGCTAGAGAGGGCAAATTCCTGTAAAAACACAACATGTACATACACACAACTTCCTAAGACCAGGAGATGGGCACGGAATGGGGATGCGTATGAGATGGGGGTGATGCTAAGAAAAGGTGATGAAAAGGAGAGACTAGAGCTGTTTTTATCTTAAGTCAATCTAGCTTCAGTCTCCTAGTCTTAGAAGAATTTTTTTTTATTCCTTCCTTTGCTCAGAGTATTTTCCACGCTCCTCACCCCTTTGTGCCCCCTTCTAACATTCTGTGTGCCTGTATTCAGGCAACGCTTAAGACATAGTGGATCATGCCTTGCAAAAATCAAACTGATTTCTCCTTCCATTCTAGGAGAGTTTACATTGTTATCTTAGGAAATGGAGATGAAGAGGCCTTAGTCTATGGTTATTTGATTTGCATAAAACTCAATCACTTGGCTGTTTCTGACATATTATGCTCTGGTAAAAAAGTGTAGTCTCTATCTGGGAGCACAGGGTGGTTCCTGTAATAAGTTTCTAAATTTCTTGTGAAATTCAATTGCAGGGCCATCTGGTTCAGGGGGTTTATGTCCTTGTCATGAGATAATTGTATTATCTATACATCAGCAGTGATATCCTCCTTTTAACTGAGTCATCTCACAATTTCTGAAAGTATTTTTATTTGACCATTATTTTTAATTAAAGGAGTAGAGCAGTGCAGCATATCAAAGAATGTTCACAAAAAGGTTGAATATGGTATTTTATGGTTTAGTTTCTTAAACGGCTAAGGTGGGTCTCTCCTGCTTTTTTGTTTCTCTCCTTCCCCAACTATAATCCTCTAGAAAATTTTAGTAGGAATATACACAGCAGAAGTGCAAACTGGTAAAAGGATAAAACGATTATTTCTTTTTAAATTTGTAGGTGGAAGTAGCGATGGGGTAAATGTTAGAAGAATGTAAGAGGAGTTTTTAGACATTTAAGGAGTTGTGCCAAAAGAGTAAGAGAGACAAACGTATGTGTGGAAGTTTGCTGGGGTGACAGAATGAATTACAGTGGACAGACCTAGATAAAGGAGAGGAAGTAAGTGTGGGGAAGGTAAACAAGTAAAAGACATTTAGAGAGTGAGAGTGAAAAACAGGGGAGGTTACTATGAGCATCCTGAGCCTAACACAGAGGGGAGAAAAATCTACAACAATAATCATATAGTGGAAATTTTATTTTATTTTATTTTAAATAAAAATTTATCAATTTTTATAAAAATTATATTGTCGAAGTAATGAAACAGTACAGACAGATAAAACATACAAAATGGAGGTCCTATCACAATCTAACCACATAGGTTACCACTTCCATACAACATAATTCTATGCATATATTAAATGAATTAGTTAGATCTCATTAGTAAGATAAGATTGTACATTTAAAATACAGAAAATATGTTCTTAAGTGGAAAAAAGCAAGTGTGGAAGAGTATGTTCATTATTACTTTCCAGTTAAAATATATACATATATAGACATAGAAAAAGTTCTAGGAAATTTTAATTTAACATTTGTAATTTGTTGTGGAAGAATGTAGAAACACAGATGAATGAGCTTAGGAAGGAAATGAACTAGAGGAGAATACGTAACCACGGTGATTGTCTAGTCATTTATTTTCTATAAGAAACACTGCTTGGCTCACACCTGTAATCCAAGCACTTTGGGAGGCTAAAGCGGGCGGATCACAAGGTCAGGAGTTCGAGACCAGCCTGATGGTGAAACCCTGTCTCTACTAAAAATACAAAAATTAGCTGGGCGTGATGGCGGTTGCCTGTAATCCCAGCTACTCAGGAGACTGAGGCAGGAGAATCGCTTGAACCGGGAGGAGGAGGTTGCAGTGAGCTGAGATTGCACCACTACTCTCCAGCCTGGGTGGCAGAGCAAGACCCTGTCTCAAAAACAAAATTAATAAAAAAGGAAACACTGCTATGGGACTCACTGACATGAAAACCAGTGACCTAGAGTCTAAAGCCATTGCATCCCATTAGCAATTTTGTCAGTCATCTTAAAGAAAATCTGAAGGGCAAATGAACATGGTCCAGGGTACTCTGGAACTATGAACTGAATGAGAAAATGGAACGAGAAATTTGACTTGCTGAAATGAAGAAGCTGACACCTCACATACTTTTCTCTGAGAGTTGTACCATTGGCATGAAAAATGTGAGTGCAGTCTGAATAAATTGTTTTGGTAATGTTTTGGAGTTCTGTTCTCCCACACAATTTCAAAGACTTTCACTTCTTCCCACTCATCTTCACCTAACTTTCCATTTTGTGTTTTAAGTTTTGCAAACGTTATATATAAATACAAAGTTTGAGCAATTCTGTATCTAGGATTTTATCTTATTGACATACTTACACATGCAGGTAAGTATGTATGTTCATCCTTGCAGAAATATCTGTAATAGCAAAAGAAAGAAACGATGTAAACATCCATCACCCAGGTAGCATCTACAAGTCAGAGGGATAATATTTAAAATATTATTCCTGGGCATGCTTCTTTTCTCTGGGTCCATAAGCATTTCCAGTTAGTTTGAGAAGCCCATCTACCTGAGAGGAGAGCATTATTAGTTTCTGATATGCAAAGTAGGATCACCCAGCAAGGTGATAGCCTGGAAAGCCAGGCTGTTATCTGGAGAGAGGATTTTGAAAAGATCATTATCTCCCTCCTTCAACATAGGAAGGAACCAAAAATGATACTCCTGCCTATGACAGCAAAGCCACGGGGCTGCCTTCTATATCTTTCATGGTAGAAGAAGCCTGGAGAGCAGAGGAGATAAGAAAAAAGCCTGACCCTTTTCTACCTTGGGAAATTTGGGGAAGAGGAAGTAAAGGAAGGAAGCCAGTGAAATAAAATCTGTGTATCCCAGTTTTCCCCCTTGCTGATTTTTTTCCAGGCAGGGAACAGAAAGTTAGTTAAGGGAGGCTGACCCTGAAGGCAGGGGGTATTTTGCTTCCCCTTCTTTTTTTTTTTTTTTGCCCTACTCCCCTGCTTTCCCTTCTTATGTAGAATCTAGAGATCTCTTGTGGGACTCTGGCCCATGCATCTGGCTGAGGCCATCTCACTTTGATAGGTTCAACTTCCACATAGTTCCAGAAAACAGGGTAAAAAGCAAACACACAAAAACAAGCAAAAGAAAATCTGGAGGTTTTTTTTTAATTATTATTATTTTATTTCCTTTTTTTTTTTTTTAAAGAATTCCTTGGTGAAAGCAGAGTGCAAGCTCATTCTTATCTAAAAGCATTCTGCCTTGTGGCCAATGAAGCTGAGCTTGGGCCACTGACTACTGATGTGAAATTCCAGAAAAAAACAGCAAACTACCCAAACCTCATTAGTGACTGTCTAGGTTCATTGCCTACCCTTAAAAGGATTATCTGGGAGTCTGAGGCAGGAGAATCGCTTGAACCCAGGAGACAGAGACTGTGGTGAGCAGAGATCGCACCATTGCACTCCAGCCTGGGTAACAAGTGTGAAACTCTGTCTCAAGGATTATCAAAGAGATATGGATAAAATATTCATACTGGTAATCATTCTGCTAAACATCAGGTTATCCTGAGGAATCTTGCCCCTAGCTAGGACTCCTCTCATGCCAAAACAGGCTGTGCTGACAATGTCGTGTGTCAGGAGAATGAAGATAAGTTACCACTTAGAACACTCTGGCTATTTAGAGCATCACCATTCTAAGTAACTAAAAGGTTTACACTTAGAAATAAATGGTGGTTTATCTTCCCTTTCTTCTGCTGTGGGATGGTACCAGCGTGCAGGCCCAACAGCAGCTTCTCTGTAAATGCCTGTACCCAGGAGTCTCAGAGCTGGGCTCAGTGCCCAAAAAAGTAAGAGCAAGAAAAATGAAAATACTGTACACACTGAAGAAAGCTGGGCGGGAAACAACCCTGCTCAGAATTAATGAGCTCCAGCAAATCCCTGCCCTAACAGGAGGATTTCACGTCTACTGTGTCTGAAGGTTGACTTTGTGTTTAAATAAAATCCCGATTTATTTTAAAGAGGACTTACAGATTATTTCTGAGACTTGTGAGCTCTCTGAGTCTAATCGCAAATTCTCCTCTTAATTCCTCCTCTTTTTCATCAGATTTTGAAAATAGAGGGAAAACACATACCTGTTGTTCACCCTCCCTACCCACCCCAAGTGAAATATAGATTTCAGTGTAAATGCTTAACTTCACTGACAAGTAGACTGCGATTCTACTTGCGGGTATCCCATGATCTAGTTCTGTGACCTTATGCAAGCCGTTTGACATCTCTGGGCTTTGGTTGCCTCACCTAAGTAATGGGTGTGGGTTTTGTTTAATTTACTTGAAGGTACCTTCCACCTCCAAGAACCTCCAGATTCATACCCACACCCCTTTCTGTGACCTTCTCAACCCTTGGGAAGCCTTCTTACCTTTCCAGACTTTCAGTAACCTCAGGCTTGGATCCTGTCCACATTCCTCCCCTTCCCACTTGCCATCAAATCTCTGTTAGCTGAGAAGCCAGAAAACCTCTGAGCATGGATGGCTTCTGTTGGTTTTAGCGCCTAGCTATTTCAGTTTGAATAAGTGCAGTTTCCTTTGTTGCACTTTTGGCAAAAGTCACCAGTGATAGCCCTTTATTTATTTGGCCGTTTACCTGGTTAAGGGCTACCTTCCTGCAGCATGTTTTGTTTTGGTTTCTTTCTGCTTACCCTGTATCCCTAATGCACAGCAGTGTCCAGTACACACTAGTCATGTCCAGCAGTACATTTTTGAATGAATAAATGGATGCGTCCTTTCCTGGCAGCGTATCTTAAATCACATTTAGCAGGCAGCCAAAGGTTGACCTTGCTGGAATCTTGGTTGGTGTATGTAGGTCCATCTTGACCCCCCTATCTAAAATAACCATCAGCCTCCTTCCCTCGCACCCCTGCCCATCCACCTTTGGACCTTTTCCATTCTTTTATCTTGCCTAATTTTATTTCCTAGCACTTACATTACCCGAGTTTATTTATTCCTAGCTTTTTAGGTCTCTTCGACTAGAATGTACACATCTGAGGGCAGGGACCTTCTTCACCTTATTTAAGGCTGTATCTTCAGCACCTAGAACAGTACCAGCACATAGTAGGCTTTTAATAAATGTTTGTTAGCTGAATTAATGAAAAATGACTTATCACTTGTAGCTTATTCAAATGATGTGGACGCTCTCTTCCTTGCAGTGTCCCAGGCTGTTCCCAGGTAATATTCTTCTCCCTGTTCCCAAGAACACATTGGACCGTCATATTTTTGTGATTTCTTCCACAAAGCCAGAGCAGAAGCCATGTTCTTTACTGACAGTCAATTCAGAATAGATCATCTTCTTCCTCACTTCACTCTCTTTGCCTTTGTTTTTAGTTTTCAGGACCTCTGAGAAGAAAGAGAAAGGAGACTTGAACAGAGTATACTAACTCTTCCATACAATAAAGTTTCCTTCGCTGGGCAGGCAGGCATGCGTGGTACCAAGACCTCTCTGGTGGCTAAGTAACATCTGTTCTAACGAAGTCTGATGGCTTGCGAAACACTGAAGGCTGCTAGCTGCCTCGAGCAGTACCCAGGGTACCTTCCCTACCTGGTGTTGCTGCTGCTGATTTGGTGGTTGCATTTCTCATCTTTTTATGCCTTTGGGCATGTGTTTGTTGTTGACATCTACAGAACCTCTGAGCTTTCTTATTGTAAAAGTGAAATAAAGGAGCTGGATTAACAGATGTTTTTGTTTTGTTGTATAGAGGAGAATTATGTCCTCTGTCAAAGAATATTTTCATACGGTTCAGTATCTTTTTCTTAATTATGTTTTAAAATCTAAAGTGTGTGTACGTGTGTGTTTGTTGTTTGGGCAGTTTGGTGAGTAAAGGATGGGATGGAAACAGTGGGACGTATGAAGTCATTTCTTTTTTTTATTATACTTTAAGTTTCAGGGTACATGTGCACAACGTGCAGGTTTGTTACATATGTATACATGTGCCATGTTGGTGTGCTGCACCCATTAACTCGTCATTTAACATTCGGTATATCTCCTAATGCTATCCGTCCCCCCTCTGCCTACCCCACAACAGGCCCCAGTATGTGATGTTCCCCTTCCTGTGTCCATGTGTTCTCATTGTTCAATTCCCATCTATGAGTGAGAACCTGCAGTGTTTTGTTTTTTGTTGTTGCGATAGTTTGCTGAGAATGATGGTTTCCAGCTTCATCCATGTCCCTACAAAGGACGTGAACACTTCATTTTTTATGGCTGGATAGTATTCCATGGTGTATATGTGCCACATTTTCTTAATCCAGTCTATCATTGTTGGACATTTGGGTTGGTTCCAAGTCTTTGCTATTGTGAATAGTGCTGCAGTAAACATAAGTATGCATGTGTCTTTATAGCAGCATGATTTATAGTCGTTTGGGTATATACCCAGTAATGGGATGGCTGGGTCAAATGGTATTTCTAGTTCTAGATCCCTGAGGAATCGCCACACTGACTTCCACAATGGTTGAACTAGTTTACAGTCCCACCAACAGTGTAAAAGTGTTCCTGTTTCCCCACATCCTCTCCAGCACCTGTTGTTTCCTGACTTTTTAATGATCGCCATTCTAACTGGTGTGAGATGGTATCTCATTGTGGTTTTGATTTGCATTTCTCTGATGGCCAGTGATGATGAGCATTTTTTCATATGTCTATTGGCTGCATAAATGTCTTCTTTTGAGAAGTGTCTGTTCATATCCTTCACCCACTTGTTGATGGGGTTGTTTGTTTTTTTCTTGTAAATTTGTTTGAGTTCATTGTAGATTCTGGATATTAGCCCTTTGTCAGATGATTAGATTGCAAAAATTTTCTCCCATTCTGTAGGCTGCCTGTTCACTCTGATGGTAGTTTCTTTTTCTGTGCAGAAGCTCTTTAATTTAATTAGATCCCGTTTGTCAATTTTGGCTTTTGTTGCCATTGCTTTTGGTGTTTTAGACATGAAGTCCTTGCTCATGCCTATGTCCTGAATGGTACTGCCTAGGTTTTCTTCTAGGGTTTTTATGGTTTTAGGTCTAAGATTTAAGTCTTTAATCCATCTTGAATTAATTTTTGTATAAGGTGTAAGGAAGGGATCCTGTTTCAGCTTTCTACATATGGCTAGCCAGTTTTCCCAGCACCATTTATTAAGTAGGGAATCATTTCCCCATTTCTTATTTTTGTCAGGTTTGTCAAAGATCAGATAGTTGTAGATATATGTGGCATTATTTCTGAGAGCTCTGTTCTGTTCCATTGGTCTATATCTCTGTTTTGGTACCAGTACCATACTGTTTTGGTTACTGTAGCCTTGTAGTATGCATATGAAGTCATGTCTATAGGAAAGACTTCTGGTTTCTATAAGAGATTATAAGCACATTTCTTCATGCTTCTAATAGACTTTTATGTTTGTTTGTGCAGCGGGCACAGATGAGCTTGAATTTAACCCAAAGTGGCTGACAGACTGACAGATACTGCTCCCTAAAAGCCTGATAAAGGGTTCTAAACATTGAGAAAATAAGTGAGAACAAATGAGGCAATAGAAAATGTTTATGTTGCAAAGCATTTATAATTTGTTTGATAGGATTAGAAGTCACTTGCTGACTGTTCTTCATATCATGTTGGCCTTTAATATTGGCTTTCTGGAGTAAAAATCAGATATAGTTTAGAAAAAATTCCAATTATAAAGTACAGTTAATGTTTATGAATGCTTAACTTTGTTAAAATGAGTTAGTCTTCTTAATAAAGTGAATATTGAAAACAATTTCTTATTAACATGATGTGGGTTTGATGAAAAAAGCACTGCTTCCCTATATAGTAGCACCTTGAAAAACAATTGTCTAACCTATTTACTCGTCTACTTTGTGTAGGAATTGTACCATATAAATTATTCCTACCAAGGATGTACTGTTTTATGTGACTTCATTGTTAGTCTTCTACTTTAGATCTCTTCTACCACTAATTTAGCAAAACTGCATTTAAATCAGTCCCCAATGAGAAGACCTGGAGTTCACATTTTTGCTTTTAATAGACACATTAGTCTTCCTACATGGTAAGATTTCATAAATGGCTTCTTGTTCTTTTCTTGGGAGATAGCTATTATATATCACTCAGTGCATTTCTGGTCTTCCCTTAGGGAATTTACAGGGGTTGTCATTGCTTTGGCTTCAGCAGAAACACAAGATGTTTTAAATTGAATCTTG
This sequence comes from Homo sapiens, assembly GCF_000001405.40. Taxonomy (NCBI): domain Eukaryota; kingdom Metazoa; phylum Chordata; class Mammalia; order Primates; family Hominidae; genus Homo; species Homo sapiens. The sequence goes on from NC_000003.12 coordinate 159,013,005, forward strand.
TATTTGTGCTTGGGATCGATAAAAGTCTTTGTGTACATTTTAACAAGAGTCCTGTAAAGGTTATATTGGCTAAACTAATTTGAATCACCAAATATTACTTTAATACCTAGTTATTTGCACTTTGCTTTCTCCTCAGCCCCAGTAAGGAGATCAGGGGAGGGATTAGAGGAAGGGATGAGGTGAGACTATTGGAAGGATTATTTACATGTTGGCACTGGGGCATAAAGGCCATGGGAGTCCATGAGTCAGGTATTATCCTTCCAGGTGAGAAGCTATGGTTTCAGTTAACCTTTTGTCTTATTTTGAAACATTATATAATGTAATTCGTGTTCATATTAGAAAACTAGGTAATATGAATTAATAAAAATAAAAAAAAATCCATAATTTCACCATCCAGAGATATTTACTCTTAAAATTTTGGTTATAACCTTTTATACTTTTATATTTATGTTTGCCTTTTTGAAAAACAATACATCCTTTATCAACTGCTTAACTGTCCTTGACTTATGCTACGTAATACAGAAAAGAAGAATGGCACTACCATCCCAGATCATCAACTCCCCAAGTGACTGGTCTGAGATAAATTAGAAGAACACATAGAAGCCCCAGAGAGCCTTCAGAAGAGAAAATAATATGCATAAGCTGCCTCAGTGAAGTCTTTAGTTGAAACAAAACAAAAAAATTCTGATTATGCATGTTTAGGAGTCACACAGCAGGTTGGGATATTTACATGAAGACTCATAAACAAAATATTTTGGTTGGAGAAAAGGTAGGGTGTTTTAGTATGTATAATTCTGACCAATTTACTTGCTATTTGTCAAGAACCGTACAGAGCCTGAGATTTTATCCTACTTGCAAGCTAATAAGCTTGCTACAGTTTTATGGATGCTGGCAGAAGACACAGGATGCCTGGATCAGAGACAAAGGACTTTACTAGTCATGGCCCAGCAAGAAATACCAGTTTCCTGTTTGTGTCAGTTTCCCTTGTTCCTCAAGTTCTATGAAGTGGCATGAGAAAGCCCACGTGGATGTCACCTGCGAAAGTGAGACACCTCTTTGGTCTTCCACACATAGATGTCTCATAAAACTCAGGCATATGTCCTCTTTCTGTGTCTTTCCACACACGTTCCCTCAAAAAACAATTCCTGCTCCATGTCCTTAACCATCATGTCCAGGCTGATGGCTCATCCATAATTCCTACCGTAGTAGAATTTCCCCTAAAAATCAGTATTGTTAAAATGTGGTTGCAGCCATCAGAACGGACAGTTTACCGAAAGATCAGTGAATGCAAACAAAACTGGGCAAACTCTTTCCTCCTTAAAGAGAATGTGCTGGGTGTTCAGGAGCTGGGCCTCCTGAATAGTTTAAGGGCTTATTTTCTGTCTTTGGTTGGGAGAATTAGTGATTAGGTTACTAGTTAACAGGATATCATATCATTAAGTCTCAGAGGAGACCTGAGTATTTTACATTTTAGGTTAACTGCTCTTTTTATGACTTCAGATGGCATCTAGTTTGGAGAATAAAGATCTTAGTAATTACCCTACAGACATGGAAAGGTATTTGATGTTTGCACCTAAGTTATCAAGATTCGGCTCTGCCAGCCCCAGTAAATTTTAAATCCTTAAAGGTAAAAAGCCTGAATCCATTCAGGAAATTCCATTAAGGCATCTGGTAATAAGGATTGATTTCCATCCTGGATTTCAGTTAATGTAATTAATATAGTATGTTGTAACTTGGTCCGAGGACATGGATTTTGGTATTTCTTATTTCACAATGTGAACGTGGAGAATGAAGTGGATTTGGGTAGGCTTAGAAGGTGTGGTTTCAGGCCTTCTGGATGTTTGTGAGCTTGACTGGATTCTACTTACTTACTTGGTGAGAGAATCTTAAAAAAATGGGCCTCAAACTCCAGTCCTAAACCTTCCTCCCTAACCTTATTGTAATTATTCCCATGGAGAGGATGTTCTCAACCAGACTGTCCACTTTCTGGCAACTGACAATGGGCCATTCCCGCCTTAGTGCCTTCTTCTTGCCCTACTTCATGAAGGTAAATCCCAGCCATCCTTCAAGAAATCTCAGTCATGTCCTGATCCTTCATAAACCTCTATTCATGTCATTCCTCAGTGATCATTCCCTCCTTTCAGATCCAAAAGTATCTGTTGTCTTTACTAATTCACTCACTCATTCATTCCGTAAATAATTTATGTTTGTTGTATTGAGGGAACAAGACAGATGATAGTCTTGTTTTATTCTGGAGTTAATTTTCTAATGGAGAAGACAGATTCTTAAAAACCTGTTAGAGAATTAATCATTTAATTTTTTTTTTTTTTTTGAGACAGTCTCACTTTGTCGCCCAGGCTGGAGTGCAGTGGTGTGATCTCGGCTCACTGCTAACTCCGCCTCCCGGGTTCACGTCATTTTCCTGCCTTAGCCTCCCGAGTAGCTAGGACTACAGGCGCCTGTCACCACACCCAGCTAATTTTTTGTATTTTTAGTAACGACGGGGTTTCACCATGTTACCCAGGATGGTCTCGATCTCCTTACCTCATGATCCGCCCGTCTCGGCCTCCCAAAGTGCTGGGATTACAGGCGTGAGCCACTGCGCCTGGCCTAATCATTTAATTATTATCCTTAGTTCTGGAAAGGAGAGAAACTGGACAATGAGAGGGTCCTACTCATTTTGCATTTGTTTGACTATCTTTAGGAGGGAATGGTTATAAAATGTATGAAAGATTCTACCAAATACTGGGCACATATTTGCTCATACCATCCTTCCAACAGCCCTATGCATGAGGTAACATTATCCCATTTTTCAGAAGAGGAGCCAGGAGCTTGGTGGAGTAAAGGAACTTCATCTTGCCAATAAATGGTGGAACTGAGATTTGACCATTGGTCTTCAAAGCATATGGATGTCTACTTGTACTTGTGAGTTTCTTTACCCCCTCAACTAGAGAGTATGAAATTTGGTGACAGGAACCTCACCTTGTACCTTCCCTAACATGTTGCCCTATAAATAGGAAGAAGACCTTAGTGGTCAGCTGGCTACTTGACTAAATTCAATCATGAAATGAAATAGTGTGTAGGAGATTGAGGGATTTGGAGTGTAATCTAGGAAAAAGATAACGACTGCAAGAGGCAGTAATATACAACCAGCTTTATTGTGTGGTACTTGGACAGGGTTGCATGAGAGGGGAAGCACCTTTCGGCATACAACCATTCAGAGGCTTATGGTGAGGGGAGTCACCCATTCCAAAGGGAAAGAGAACAAGGGAACTCCCAGGGTAGAGGGGGATCCGAGAAGGTGGTTACCCAGTGGTGTTGCTCAGCCACACCATGGGAGTTTCTTGGTCAGGGAGCTCTGACAGGCAGCAGGGTCTGGAGGTCTTATCATCACAAGATCCTTTCTTACCAACAGGTAATAGCTATTGGGTGAAGTTTCTTGGGGTCTGCAAAGGAGGCAGGCTCTTGATGGCTAAAAATTTGCTTATTTGGGTTGTTTTAAAAAAATAAATGGACGTGTAAAAATTTGAGTTTGGAGTTGACAGACGTTTGAGCTAATGGGTCTCCGGCTGCAGTGAAGAAATATGCAACCTAGAACCAATCCACAGAAGCCATCTTTTGCCCATTTATAGAACATGATGACATGTGGTCCACATGTTCTTCTGAAACTCAGATTTGGGCTATATGTAGTGGTTGCTTTTGAGAGAGGAGTTACTCCTGCTGTTGATTGCCAGCAGCACCAAAGCTTGTGTTTATTTTATAAACATACTAACCTGAATGAAGGCTTTGGTGGTTGTGACTTCTGCTGGTTCCAGGTCTTGTCATTTTTTGGTGATAATTCATTGAAGACCAAATAGAGGAGGAAGTGGAATAATTGTGGGCTCTGAAGGAAGCATCTGATCTTGAGATGTGAGTGGTCAGTGCAAGCCTGGTAGTGGTGACAGTGGGGTCTCGGTCTGTGATGGGCAGAGAGTACTGGAACAAAATTTGGATGTAAAAGATTCGTCTTCAGGTTGTTATTTATTTCTTGGCTGCTGCATACTTTTATCTGTTTCATTCTTGGACAATGAGTTGGACAATGCACTTGGCTTTCAAACTGTGGTCTCCTACTTTTTCAGTCTATTCGTTTCCAACCTTCTTTCAAGAAGGTTAAAGCATTCTGGCTTTGATAGCTGAGTATTACTGAGTCATGTTATTGACATTGCATGAATTAATCTTCCTAATCTTTATCGTGTATTTCTTCTGTGGGACATTAGAACTCAAAAAAAGACAATATTAAAGAATAACTCATTCTGTACTGAAATAAGCATTGGTTCTTTAAAAAAAACATGAACTGAATGATGACCATTTTAGTCTTGCTCCTCACCCCTCTAAGAGTTCCTAAGGATCTCTGCCAAAAAAATTTATATGGAAAAAAATTAATTTGTGTTAATCTGCTAAACTACTGATAGACAATATAATTTCTTCATATTAAAGGCAATGGACCTAATCCTATCACTGAACGAGGAGTAAAATGCTTACCATCTGAAAGTTAATTCTTTATGCCTTTAGGGTACTAGTTAAAATCAGTAATCTTTCCTTATGAGCGTATCCTCGTGGATCAAAAATCATATTTATTGGGCATCATTTCACACACTGTTCACTTTGCTAATAAGACTAATTCCTTGGAAAAGATCTGAGGTGGTGTGGTGGAGCTCAGCCATGAGATTTTGAGTAGGCAAAAAGGTTTTTATTCTCAAATTCATTATCAGCTCTGTATTGTATTCATCAATCATATTTAATATTCCTGCTCATCCCAAATCTCTCCCCTTATCTGTGTCTCTTCTCTTCTTCCTTTTCCTTTTCATATCAACTCCCTTCCTCCTAGTCATCATCTATGCCAGAATTCACACACCTAATCTTTAAGTTTGTAGTTCACTTTTTTTCTCTCATTCACCACTGATCAGAAGACACGTAGTTCAACTTGTAAAGAAAGAGAATGGGCAGTCTTTAGCCTGTCAATAGGTCAAGATGAGGCATGGGGGAGGAGGAGAAGCTTGGGGGTGATACATAGATTAAGAGTTGCTGCATTTCTTTTTTCCCTTTCCAAACCAATATATTGTGATATATTAAATCAATATATCTGGATTTCTCTTTCATTACATTACAAGTAGAATCTCAGAGGCTTAGATATGAAAATGGGGTAAAATCACAAAGGACAAAAGTGAAACAGGGAAGAGAGCAGTCAGTTACAACCTCAAAGAACACTAACAACCAAGAGAAGTAGAGCAGAAGAAGCCACCAAAGAAAACCAAGGAGATGGGAGGAACACTAGGAGAGCACGGTGTCATGGAGACCAAGGGAAAGGAGTATTGGGAAGGGTCAACAAAGGGTCGAGAGCTGCTGAGTGGTCAAGCATTGTGAATGTAGAGATGTCTTCATTCTGTTAGTTACATGGAGGCCATTAGTGATTTTGCTGAGTACAGTTCTGAGATATAATGGGGCAGAAGACTGTCTGGAGTGTGTTAAGTATGACAGCAAGTGAATAAATGGAGATGGCTAGTGTGATTATCTACACTGATTTCTTCCATTCTAAGACCTGCTCTTTCCCTTTCTTCTCCAACGCTTAGATATTTCAAGAGCTACCTTGCAATGGCTCTCAAGGACTCCTACCAGCAGCCAGGTAGAGGAGTGGGCTGAGATAGACTTGCCAAGGCCTGGGGCATGTGTGGACAGAGCCTGGGCAGAACCTGTTCATCCAATTATCACCTCAGCTGAGCTCTGGGATCTGATCATACCACACTCTGTTGAATTTTAACTCAGATTCCTATCTTTAGTTGTGGTTAAAATGTATTCTAAAAGGATGGTACTGTGATGCAGCATTGAAATCAAGCATTATTAGCAACCAGAAGTTGCTTATTCAAAGCCAAGCAATGATATCGAAGGCTATGAATATGGCCAATCCCAGTTCTAGAAAGCAAGATATTCAAAGGTGGAGAGGTTAGAGGGATGATTTGTGTTGTCACCCACCTATCTTTTAAACACATCTAGCTGACTTTTAAGGGAAGCTGCTTAGCACTACCTCAAATGTACTGTTTAAAATTAAATGAAAATAGCATACCTTTATTCATATTGTGACACTTTTTACATCTAGAATTTACATCTAGAAATTCTGAATCACTTTTAGCTGTTTTCTGAGTTATGTTTAGCCTCAGGAGGACATGCTAATTTCTATAAGCTAGCTCAAGATTTTGACTTCTTAATCATGTTTAAGTTTACCATACAATTTTTCATAGTATTTTACGTAAAATGATAAACTTTGTTGGGTAACATTTGTTCAAGTTTTTTAAAAAAATTACTTTTAAATTTATAACTTACATAAAGCATAGAACACAAATCTTAAGTGTACAGCTAATAGTTTATACATATACCTGTGTAACCACCATCCAGATCAAGGAACTTCAGAAGGGTCTCTCATACTCCCTCCTCATTATATAATCACCTGCTATTTCTCCGTAAGGTGATTCCTATTTTGACCTTTAGCACCACGGATTCACAGTGACTGTATAAATGTAAGGAACTCAATAATACCCCCCAAAAAAACTCAACCTCCAAAACAAACTAAAACAGGCTTCCATGTTTCCATGTACTTCTTTTTAAAAATATTTAATTTTAATGGGTACATGAGATATTTTGATATAGGCATACAATGTGTAATAATCACATCAGGGTAAATGGGGTATCCATCACCTCAAGTGTTTATCATTTATTTGTGTTACACTCTAACTATACTGTTGTTATTTTAAGATGTACAATAAATTTTTGTTGACTGTAGTATCCTATTGTCCTGTCAAACACTAGATTTTATTCATTAGATCTAATTATTTTTTGTACCCATTATCCATGCCCACTTCCCCTGCCCCACTATCCTTCCCAGCCTCTGGTAACCATTACTCTCTATCTTCAAGAGTTCAATTGTTGTAATTTTTAACTCCCACAAATGAGTGACAACATGAGAATCTTGTCTTTCTGTGCCTGGCTCATTTCACTTAACATAATGTTCTCCATTTCCATTCATGTTGTAAATGACAGGATATCATTCTTTTTATGGCTGAATGGTATTCCATTGTGTATATGTACCACATTAAAAAATAATATCAGCTTTTATTTTAGATTGGGAGGTATATGTGCAGGTTTGTTACATGGGGATACTGTGTGATGCTGAAGTTTGGGATATGAATGATCCTGTCACCTGGGTAGTGAGCAAAGTACCCAAGTTAGTTTTTCAAATCTTGCCTGCAACCCTCCCTCCCTCCCTCTAATAGTCCCCAGTGTCTATTGTTGCCATCTTTATGTCCACAAATACCCAATACAAGCTTCCACTTACAAGTAAGAACATGTGGTAGTTTTCTGTTTCTGTGTTAATTCACTTAGGATAATGGCCTCCAGCTGCATCCATGTTGCTGCAAAGGACATGATTTCGTTCTTTTTTATGGCTTCATAGTGTTCTATCATGTTTATGTACTACATTTTCTTTATCCAATCCAGTATTGATGGGTACCTAGGTTTATTCCACGTCTTTACTATTGTGAATAGTGCCGTGATGAAAATGAGTGCATGTGTCTTTTTGGTAGAGGGATTTATTTTCTTTTGGATATATACCTGGTAATGGGATTTGCTGGATCGAGTGGTAGTTCTAAGTTCTTTGAGAACTCTCCAAACTACTTTCCACAGTGGCTGAATTAATTTACATTCCCATCGACAGTATATAAGCATTCCCTTTTCTCTGCAGACTTATCAGCATCTGTTGTTGGTTTTTTTTTGACTTTTTATTAATAGCCATTCTAACTGGTGTGAGATGGTGCCTCATTGTCATTTTGGTCTGAATTTCTCTAATAATTAGTGATGTTGAGCATTTTTTATATGTTTGATGGTCACTTGTATTAATATGTCTTCTCTTGAGACATATCTGCTTATATTTTTTGCCCACTTTTTAATGGGGTTACTTGTTTATTGCTTGTTGAGTTGTTTAAGTTCCTTATAAATTCTGGATATCATGACTTTGTCAGATGCATAGTTTGCAAATATTTTCTCCCATTTTGTAGGTTGTCTGTCTACTCTGTAGATAGTTTCTTTTGCTGTGCAGAAGCTCTTTAGTTTAATTAGGTCCCATTTGTCAACTTCTGTTTTTGTTGCAATTGCTTTCAAGGACTTAGTTATAAATTATTTCCCAAGACCGATGTCCAGAATGGTGTTTCCTAGGTTTTCTTCTAGGATTCTTATAGTTTGAAGTCTTACATTTAAATCTTTAATTCACCTTGAGTTAGGTAAAAAGTATGGATCCAGTTTCATTTTTCTTCATTTTTTTCTTCATATGTCTAGCCAGCTAACTCAGCACCATTTATTTAATAGGGAGTCCTTTCCCCATTGCTTATTTTTGTTGACCTTGTCAAAGATCAGATAGTTGTAGGTGTGTGGCTCTTTTTTGGAGTTGTCTATTTTGTTCCTTTGGTTTATGTGTCTGTTTTTGTGCTAGAATCATGCTGTTTTGGTTACTGTAAGTTTGAAATCGGATCATGTCATGCCTCCAGGTTTGTTATTTTTGTTTAGGATTTCTTTGGCTATTCAGGCTCTTTTTTTGGTTCCATATGAATTTTAGAATAGTTTTTTTCTAATTCTATAAAAAAAGACATTGGTAATTTGATAGGAATAGCAATGAATCTGTTGATTGCTTTGGGCAGTATGGCCATTTTAATGATACTGATTCTTCCAATCCATGAGCATGGAATATTTTTCCATTTGTTTGTATCATCTCTGACTTCTTTCAGCAGTATTTTGCAGTTCTCCTTGCAGAGATCTTACACCTTATTTAGGTGTATTCCTAGGTCTTTTCTTTTGTGACTGTTGTAAATGGGAATATATTCTTGGTTTGGCTCTCTGCTTGGACATTATTAATGTATAGAAATGCTATTAATTTTTGTACATTAATTTTGTATCCTGAACCTTTACTGAAGTCATTTATTACTTCCAAGAGCCTTTTGGATGGGTCTTTAGGGTTTTCTAGGTATAGAATCATATCAGTGAAGAGAAATAATTTGACTTCTTAGTTTTCCTATATGAATAACTGCTGGGAAAAAGCTGAGTGTTGGGAAAAAAGCTGAGGCAGGGCTTGCATGTTTGACATAATGTCCAGGGCTCAGGGCATAAAACCCCTCGTGGCCTCTGGAATGAGTCCAGACTTGCTGGCTCCTTGCTTCTAGCTTAAACTAGAAGAACATGCTCCCCATTATCTCAAGTAGCAGAATATGTTCCATTTGCTTCAAAGGAAATGCTAAACCATCACAGCTGTAGATCATGCGCTTGCACTTTTGATCCCCACATTCTCACCACCTGTTTCTTTGTTTGCTCACCAATAAATAGTCTGGGCTTCCAGAGCTCAGAGCCTTTGCAGCCTCCATACTTGCATTGGCCCCCTGGACCCACTTTCTCTCTCAAACTGTCTTTTCTCATTCCTTTGACTCTGCCGGACTTCATCACCCCCATGACCTGGTGTTGGGTCTGATCACCCCAACAAATGACTTTTATTTCTTTCTCTTGCCTGATTGGTCTGGCTAGGACTTCCAGTACTATGTCAAACAGAAGTGAGAGTTGGCATCTTGTCTTATTCCAGTTCTTAGGGGAATGCTCTCAGTTTTTGCCCATTCAGTGTGATATTGGCTGTCAGTTTGTCATAGAGGGCTCTTATTATTTTGAGGTATGTTCCTTTGATGCCTGATTTGCTGAGGGTTTTCTCATAATGGATTGTTGGATTTTATTAAAGGCTTTTTCTGCATCTATTGAGATAATAATTTTTGTTTTTAATGCTGTTTATGTGGTGAATCCCATTTTTTGATTTGCACGTGTTGAATGAACCTTGTATCCTAGGAATGAAGCCTATTGATCATGATGAATTAACTTTTTGATATGCTGCTGGATTCAGTTTCCTAGTTATTTTGTTGAGGATTTTTTTTGTCTATGTTCATCAGGGATATTGGACTGTGACTTTCTTGTTTTGTTGTACCTTTGCCATATTTTGGTATTAGAGTGATGCTAGCTCTAATACTAGAAGGTAGCTTTGTAGAATGTATTAGTGGGGAGTCACTCCTCCTCAATTTTTTTGGAATAGTTTCAGTAGAATTGGTACCAGTTCTTTGTACATCTGGTAGAATTAGGCTATTCATCCATCTGGTCTGGGGCTCTTTTTGATTGGTAGGTTTTTTAAATGATGGATTCAATTTCAGAACTTGATATTGGTCTCTTCAGGGTTTCTGTTTCTTCCTGATCCAATCTTGAGTGGTTGTGTGTTTCCAGGAATGTATCCATTTCTAGATTTCTAGAAAAGTTTTTAGAAAATTTCTAGATTTGCTAGTTTGTGTGCACAGAGCTGATCGTAATAGTCTCTGAGGATCTTTTGTATTTCTATGGGATCCATTGTAATGTCATCTTTGTTGTTTCTGATTGTGCTTATTTGGATCTTTTTTTTTCTTTGTTAATCTAGCTAGCAGCCTATTGATCTTGTTTATCCTTTCAAAAAGCCACTTTTTGTTTCACTGATACTTGTGTGGACTTTGGCTCTCAATTTCATTCTGTTCTGCTCTGATTTTAGTTATTTCTTTTTTTTTCCTGCTGGTTTTGAGGTTAATTTTTTTCTGTTTTTCTAGTTCTAGGTGTGATGTTAGATCATGCATTTTAGGTCTTTCTAACTCTTTGAGGTAGGCATTTAGTGCTATAAACTTTCCTCTTAACACTGCTTTTGCTGCATTGCAAAGATTTTGGTATCTTGTGTCTCTGTTTTCATTAAGTTCAAAGAATTTTTTGATTTCTGCCTTAGTTTTGTTGTTTACCCAAAAGTCATTCAGGAGCAAGTTGTTTAATTTTCATGTAATTATGTGGTTTGGGGAGACCTTCCTGGTATTGATTTCTATTTTTGTTCTGCTATAGTTTAAGAGTATTCTTGGTATGATTTCAATTTTTTTAAATTTATTGAGACTTGCTTTATGGCTGAGCAAGTGGTCAATCTTGGAGTTATGTTCCGTGAGCAGATGGGAAGAATGTATATTCTGTGGTTGATGGGTAAAGTGTTTTGTAGATTTCTATTAGGTCAAATTGGTCAGGTATTAAAATTAAGTCTAAAATTTCCTCGTTAGCTTTTTGCCTCAGTGATCTAATGCTGTCAGTGGGGTATCGTGTGGCTGGCTGAATCTTTTTATAGATCTAGAAGTCACTGTTTTATGAACCTGGGTGCTCCAATATTAGGTGCGTATATATTTAGAATAGTTAAGTCTTCTTGTTGAATTAAACACTTTATCATTATGTAATGCCCTTCTTTGTTCTTTTTTACTGTTGCTCATTTAAAGTGTGTTTCATCTGATGTAGGAATACTAACCCCTGTTCTTTTTTGTTTTCCATTTGAATGATAGATTTTTCTTCAGCCTTTACTTGGAGCCTGTGGGTGTTATGTGTGAGACTCATCTCTTAAAGACAGCAGATGGATGAATCTTTTATTTTTTTTAATCCAACTAGCAAGTCTGTGCCTTTTAAGCGGGACATTTAGACCATTTACATGCATGGCTAATATTAACTTGCTGAGGTTTTGATTGTATCATGAAGTTGTTAGCTCTTTGCTTTGTAGTTTTTATTGTATGGTTGCTTTATGGGGTCTGTGGGATATGTACCTAAGAGTGTTTTTGTGGTAGCAGATATTGTTCTTTTGCTTCCATGTTTATAACTCTCTTATAGATCTCTTGGAGGGCTGGTTTTATGGTAACGAATTCTCAAGCTCTTAAATATCTGGAAATGATATTTCTCCTTTGCTTTATGAAGCTTAGTTTGATGAAATAGGAAATTCATGGTTGGAATTTATTTTCTCTAAGAATTCTAAAAATAGGCCTCCATTTTCTCCTGGCTTACAAGATTTCTGCTGAGAAGTCCACTGTTAGACGGATGGGGTTCCCTTTGTAAATGATCTGACCTTTTCCTTTAGCTGCCTTTAAGATTTCTGTTTAGTGTTGAGCTTGGATAGTCTGGTGTCTATATGCCTTGGTGATGTTCATTTTGTATACTATCTCACGGGTGTCCTCTGGATTTCTTATATCTGGATGCCTATGTCTCTAGCAAGATTAGGAAAATTTTCTTGAATTATTTCCTTAAATATGTTTTCCAGGTTGTTTATTTTTTCTCCTTCTCTCTCAGGAATACCAATCACTCACAGGTTTGGTCACTTTATGTAATCCCATATTTCTTAAAGACTTTGTTGATTTTTAAAGATTCTTTTTTCTTTATTTTTATCTGATTCAAAAGACCAGTCTTCAAGCTCCACAGTTCTTTCTTCTGCTTGGTCTAGTCTATTGATAAAGCTTTCAGTTGTATTTTGAAATTCCATAAGTGAGATCTTCAATTCCAGATGATTGACTGATTTCTTTTTAAGATGTTTATTTGTTCCTTCATTTCCTGGATTAATTTAGAAGTTTCTCTGTGTTGATTTTCCACCTTATCTTGGATCTCATTGAACTTCCTTGCAATCCATGCTTTGAATTCTCTCTGTCATTTCTGAGTTTCCATTTTGGTTATAGACCATTGCTGGAGAGCTGGTATGATCCTTTAGTAGTGTCACTACATTCAGATTTTTCTGTTTCTTCTTATCTGAAGATGCCAGTACTTCTAATTTTTGTAATTACTTTCATGCAGGCAGGATTTTTTTCTTTTTCTTTTTTTCCTTATAATATTATTGGTTTTTAAATTTCCATTTCCCTCCATATCCCCAGTCCTTAGGGGGTGTGACTATAGAGAATGCTAGGTAGGGTCTTTTGGCTTTGTTTCTATGGCCGTATGCACGTCTTTTGGCAGGTTTTATATTGAGTGATGCAGTTTAACCTACAAGCCAATAGGTGATGCTTATGAGTAATAGCCAGCTGTGGCTAATGTGGCTGGGTATATACTTGATCCTTGCTTATGGGGAAAAGCTTTCTCTTGCCTCAGGCAATGGACTACTCTCTGAAGTCCACAGTGGTCTGAGCTCTCTGTTCATCCCTGGGGGGTGGGGGGTGGGGGGTGGCAGTGGGTGTACAAAATGGGAAGGTCCAAACCTTGCAGATCCACTTACAGGTTCCCTGATGGCAGGCACCAGCACCAGAACTGAGGGAGAATCCAATGGACAGCCACCAAGCACCCAAAGGTATGCCTAGGCATGGTGCTGGGAAACCTCCTCAGCCCCTAGTTCTCTGCAGGGGCAGGGTGGTGGTCTAAATTCCCAATTCAGGAGAGAGTGTGTGCTCCAGATGCCTGTAGTATAGAGGACCCCGCTTCACCATAATCTCTGCACAGGAAAGGTAGGGAGGCTCAGGCTGGTAATCTATGCATACAGGTTCTCTAACTGCTTGGAGATACATATGGGCATGGTCTGGAGAGGACCCTGCTTCACCACAATCTCTGCACAAGAAGGGTAGGGCAGCTTAGGCTGCTGATCTGGGTGAATGGGTGTTCTGGCTGCCTAGAGATCTACCTGGGTGGTATCTGAGGAGGCCCTACTGCACAACAGTCTATGCACAGGAAGGATAGGGTGGCACAGCCTGCTGGTCTAGGTGAGTGGGTACTCTGAATGCCTAGACATATGCCTGGGGATGTGGCAGAGAAGGCCCTATTGTATCATGATCTATACCCAGGAAGCATGGGGCAACTCAGGCTGCTAGTCCAGGCAAGCATGTGCTCTGAATGCCTGGAGTTCTGCCTGTGGGTGGAGTAGAGTCAGCCCCACTGCACCGCAACCTCAGGGTAACAGGCTGAAGCACCCAGCAATAACATAGGGAGACTGGTTTCAGGTCACCAAGCTGGCCCTGACTGCAAGTCTCACCATCCAGGAGAAGGTGCTGCAGTAGCAGCTCTCCTCCTGCCCTGGGCCGGTGACAGGGGAGAGCATAATTCCAACAATAAGTACATGGAAGACTTTAAGACCTCAAACTATGAAACTACTAAAAGAAAACATTGGGAGAAACTCCCTAGGACATTGGTATGAGCAAATATTTCTTGAGTAAATACCCCAAAGACACAAGCAACCAAAGCAAAAATGGACAAATGGGATCACATCAAATTAAAAAGCTTCTGCACAGCAAAAAGATACAATCAACAAGGTGAAGAGACACCCACAGAATGGGAGAAAATATTTGCAAAGTATCTCTCTGACAAGGAATTAATAACCAGAATATATAAGGAACTCCACTCTATAGGAAAAAATTTAAATAATCCAATTTAAAATGGGCAAAAGATATAAATAGACATTTCTTAAAATGAAGACATATAAATGGCAAACAGGTATATGAAAATGTGCTCAACATCATTGATCATCAGAGAAAATCAAATTAAAACTACAATGAAATATCATCTCACCCTAGTTAAAACGGCTTTTATACAAAAGACATGCAATACAAATGCTAACAAAGATGTGGAGAAAAGGGAACCTTGTACGCTGTTTGTGGGTAATATGATTTGGATCTGTGTCCCCACCAAATCTCATGTGTAGTTGTAGTCCCCAGTGTTGGAGATGAGGCCTGGTGGGAGGTGATTAGATCATGGGGGTGGATTTCTAATGAATGGTTTAGCACTATTCTCTTTATGCAGTTCTTCTGATAATGAGTGAATTCTTATGAGATCTGGTTGTTTAAACATGTGCAGCACCTCCCCCTCATAGTTTCTTGCTCCCAATCCCACCATGTGAGACACCTCACTGCCCCTTTGCCTTCCATCATGACTGTAAGTTTCTAGAGGCCTCCCCAGAGCCAAGAAGATGCCAGCATCATGTTTCCTGTACAGCTGAAAGAACCATAAGCCAATTAAAACTCTTTTCTTTATAAATTACCCAGTCTTAAGTATGTCTTTATAGCAATGTGAGAATGGACAAATACAGTAGGAATGTAAATTAGTACAGCCACTATGGAGAACAGTATGAAGTTTCCCCAAAAAAACTAAAAATAGAACTGCCATATGACCCAGCAATCCCACTGTTAGGTATACACTCAAAAGAAGGAATCAGTTTATTGCAGCACTATTCACAATATCCAAGATTTGGAAGCAACGTAAGTGTCCATCAACAGCTGAGCAGATAAAGAAAAGGGCCTGTTTCCCTGAGGTTGCGGTGCAGTGGGGCTGTCTCTACTCCACCCACAGGCAGAACTCCAGGCATTCAGAGCACATGCTTGCCTGGAAGCTTTCATAGATTCATTTCTTATTTGAGTTGTCCATATTATAGCTTCTAGTTCCATCTCTCCTTTCCCTGTCCAATCATCTCCAGATGGAACGAAAAAAAGGAAGGGGATTATGTTCATAGAAGTTTAAGGATGCTGCTTTAGCAGAGGAATTTACCTTCCATTTATTCCTTGATGCCTAAAATCACTAAAATCTTCTTTCAATTGAATGGGTTGTCTCTGGATGGCAGTAGCATCAGGTTATCAGTGTAAAACAGCATTTTCCAATTCTCCCTCCTAGTGCAGCCAGGCAGAAGACACTGATTGAGAAGAGGTGAGGGAAAGTTGGGTGCTTGTCAAGGGAGGGCTGGAAGTAAACTACTTCAGAAGGAGGACAGAAGTTGATAAGGGAGCTGGACAGTAGCTAACTGTGAGTGACCCTTCCTCCAGTCAAGCCTCCTTTCTTTCCGTCTCTGATGATACTGCCACAGACCACCTTCCTCATGATCTTGGATCCCAGTCTCTCCTTAGACACCAAGTGCCTTCCATTCTGATTTTACAATGGCTTTGGAGGGCTGTGTGAGCTCTTCAATGCCTAAGAACCCTATGCTCTGCTACTCAGGGTTTGTAATGGCTCACCATTACTAACTAACCAGGAGGAATGTGGCTGGTGATTTGTGATCTTTTTTATTCACAACATTTGTTAACACCACTAGGGTGGGGAGATGGTTGGGATGTTTCTACCAGCAGTGTGATATCATTTGAGATGATTTTCTTTTGCTCTTCGGCTAAATGGATGTATCCTGTTTGGAGAGGATGCCTTAATACTACTTTGACCCAAGTTCTGCCTTATGGAGCCTGAAGAAAATGTCACACCTTTCTGGCTTGCATCACTGGTCATTTTGAGGACAGTTTATCTGTGGTTCTGGCTGTCCTTGGCTGGGGGAAGGGTTCGGAAAAATTCAGAACACATTCCTGCTTACTAATATCCCCTTTCTACCCATTTCCTCTCACATTTCTGTTTTGGTGAAGTATTATTAAAATTAAAGCTGAGGATAACCTGGAGAGAAAAAGAATATACCTGAAAAAGGTGTCAAACAACCCAGAAATCTGTGAAAGGAAAGGGAAGGAGATATTCTGGCACCCCAACACACTTCTTGCTGCGATTGTGTGAACATGAGCACTTCAGGTCTTACATTTTATGGTCAAGTCCTTACTATTTATTATTTTGTCTTGTCCCTGAAAACTCACAGAAGTTTCACATGACAGTTTGGGTATTAGTCATAGTCTTATTTTGTATCAGAGAAGAATAAGAATGAAAGCAGGGAGACCAGTTAAAAGCCCACGGTAATAATCTAATTCTAGAGAGGATGGTGTCTTGTATCGGGGTGGTTGTAGTGGAGACCAAGGTAAGAAGATAAGTTTAAATATTGTTTTAGATGTGAGAATCTAAAGGATTGCTCATGGATTTAATGTAAGAAAAGATGGAAAGGGATGAATCAGTGGTAACTCCAATATTTTGGTTGAGCAACAACTGGTTGGGTACTAGTTATTAAGATGAAGAAGACAGACTTTTTAGGGGGACCCCACATATACTATGGGTACAGTATACAGAAATTGAGAGTTCTGTTTTAGTCATAAGTGTGAGATGTCTATTAGACATTAAATAGCTGTGTGAAAATACCAAGTAGGCAGTTGGATACAGGATTTGACTCTCAGTGAAGATATCAGGACCAAAGACAGACATTTGAGAATCATTGGTATGTAGATGGCATTTAAAGCCTTAGGAATGGATGTGATCATGCAGGGAGAAGGTGTAGAGGAAGAAGAAAAAAGGGCTTATGTCTGGCCTCCAGCATTGAGAGGTCAAGCAGAAGAAAAGAAAAGAGAGAGAACTCAGCCATGGAGAAAAATAAAAGACAACCTAGAACCTGGCAGGTAATGGTAGGTACTATTACAACCCTTACTACTGCCACTGTTTTATAATAGAGATAAAATACATAAAATCTCTAATTTCACTTTGCCTTGTTGACATTATCTTTCATTATTCAGTGCCAGCATTTTCATGCATGTTCTTTAATTTTCTTATTTGCCTTCACAGTTGAAGGCACAGGCAGCTGGCTTCAGTCCAGTGAGCTTCCAGCTGAGCCCAAAGATTCACTGTTTCCAGCACACCTAGTGGTTTCCAACTTTGTACCAATTACATTAACTTTATGAGAATTGTGCTTCTAATCTAATTACCTATTCAAACTAGTATTTGCACTTTCATTTTTACATTTTCCACTCATCTTATAAACCAATCAAGACAAAATGCAGTAAAAGTATTCACATAATTGCACAAATTGCTATATAAAGATGGTGACTGCCAAAACGAAATGGGCTGTGAGCAGGCAGTGCCATTGTGTGATAGATTTACATGTTTATTACTCAAGTGAGGCATGAAAATGTGCATATAAAGGCAGTTTTGAGGGGGTCTATGTATCATCTACAAATGCATTTTTTCCAGAAGTCAAATATGAAAGACAAGACCCAGTTGTATTTTTTCACTGCCAAGTGGACCATCTTCTCTTTCATATATCTCTCTAGCCCCTTTCTTCACAGAAGCCACAGACTAAGAACTATGGCCCCTTTTTATAGTACTGGGGCTTGATTCAGTAATCAATAGCTCAAAATATCATTTAGTTGAATAGTCATCTTTCTTAATAAGGAGTTAGAGATTAACAAAAGACGTCACAGATGGTAAGCAACAGACTTGAAGGGAGTCATGCCAGCCACTAATTACTAAGACATATTTGGAGAGCATTGGTACTTGTCTTAACCCAAAAGCAAGAACTTTCATTACTTCAGGCTTCCTTCCATTTCTACAACATTTGAGGCATGGTTTAAAACCAAATACTTTAGCAATTGGCTTGGCTTTCCAAGTATCAGGCCAATTTTAATTCTAAAAAAAGAACTCTTCTTATTCCACAAGAGATTAAAGAATTTCTTTAATTTCTCTAAGAACTCTATTCCTTCAACTTTGATTTACCTGCCAAATACATACACACATATTTTCCCAGGCAGTGAGTGCTTACTGATGTACTGTTATTATCAGTGCAGACTTTCTTTTAGATCCTTGTAGTATTCACATTGGCGAAAGAAGCCCTCAAATATACATTAGTGATCCGTTTGTGAAGGCTGATCATTCATGAGGCTTATTTAATTTTATATATTTGGCTAGATTTAGTAGTGTTTATTTATAGATAGCGGGTGTGAGGTGATGATATCTTGGTGCTTCAAAAACTTGTAAAGGAAAGTTTGTAAGATATGCATCAAAAAGTACACTATAAAGCACAGTACTAGGGTGAACATTTATGAATCCACTCCCTAAGAGTGAGAACTTTACCAGTGATATCGAAATTTCCTGTGTGCACTTATTCATCTCATTCTCTGCCACCCAGAATATGGTAGACACTTCCTTGAATGTCGTTTTTCATTTCCTTGATTTTTCTTTTTAAATGTGAAAAACATGTGTATTCCTAAGCATTATATTGTTCAGCATTGCTTTTCTGAGCATTATACAAAATAGCATCAAATTGAATGTAACCTTTCCAAAGTGTCTTTTCTACTCAATATTATGCTTCTAAGATTTGTTCATGTTGTAAGAGTGTAAGAGTCTTGTGGCCCTTCTTTCTAGCAAACACTAAAACTGATAGACTTCTTCGTTAAAAAAATTAAGTATAAACTGATAACTTGTGGCTCTTAATTTTTATTCTCTCATTTACTTACATTAGGGCATACTTAAAAAAATCTATGGACCATTTATATTTACTTCTTGGAAACTCCTGTTTATTTCTTTTGTGTGTGTTTTTGTAAATATTGGATTTTTTGCCTTTAATTTGTTGTGCTTTAAAAATGCTAATTATTTGCCATTTATGGGTGCTGTAATGTCTTCTCCCATTAGTGGCTTATCTTTTCACTTTCTTTATGACATCTTTCGGTGAATTAAAGTTCTTAATCTTACCGCAACTGAATTTATCTTT
The DNA here is from genome assembly GCF_000001405.40 of Homo sapiens. Lineage (NCBI taxonomy): Eukaryota > Metazoa > Chordata > Mammalia > Primates > Hominidae > Homo > Homo sapiens. Next base: position 159,032,221 of record NC_000003.12, read on the forward strand.
TATGGTTAGAGCTATTTTGTATCTTTTTGTAAAAGATTTTGTAAGAAATTATTCTGTATACTGATATCATAAAGATATCTATATTTATTCTAAAAATGTTATGTTGCCTTTCACATTTAAGTCTTAAAACCATTCAGAATTGATTTTTTCCTCTGTGATATGAAGTATATGAAATTTGGCTCACATTTTTTTCTTTCTATATGGAAATCTATTATACTGATCTGTCATGCTAATGGAGAGGCTGGGGTGGGTGGATCACTTGAGCCCAGGAGTTTGAGATTGCAGTGAGTTATGATTGAGTCATTGCACTGGGTGACAAAGTAAGACCTTGTTTAGAAAAAAAATGCACAACCAGTTGGTTAATTCTAATCAGGATTCAAACAGGGCCTACATATTCCTTATAGTTAATATAGTTGTTAAGCTATTTTCTTTTTTTTTTTTTTTTTTTTTTTTTAGAGACGGAGTCTCCCTCTGTTGCTCAGGCTGGAGTGCAGTGGCGCTATCTTGACTCACTGCAAGCTCTGCCTCCCAGGTTCATGCCATTCTCCTGCCTTGGCCTCCCGAGTAGCTGGGACTATAGGCACCCACCACCACGCCCAGCTAATTTTTTGTATTTTTAGTAGAGACAGGATTTCACTGTGTTAGCCAGGATGATCTGGATCTCCTGACCTCATGATCCACCCGCCTCAGCCTCCCAAAGTGCTGGGATTACAGGCATGAGCCACTGTGCCCAGCCCTTGTTAAGCTTCTTTTTTAGAAAAACTTTTATTTTAGGTTTAGGGGTACATGTGAAGATTTGTTATATAGGTAAACTTATATCGCAGGAGTTTGTTGTACAGATTCTTTTGTCACCCAGGTATTAAGCCTAGTACCCAATAGTTATTTTTTTCTGATCCTCTCCCTCCTCCCACCTTCCATCTTCAAGTAGGCCCCAGTGTCTGTTGCCATGTGTTCTCATCATTTAGCTCCCAGTTATAGGTGATAACATGTAGATTTTTTTCTCTGTTCCTGTGTTAGTTGCTAAGGATGATGGCCTACTGCTCCATCCATGGACATGATCTTATTCTTTTTTATGGCTACATAGTATTCTGTGGTGTATATATACCACATTTTCTTTATTTTTTATTATTAAACTTCTGTATTATTATACTTTACGTTCTGGGGTACATGTGTAGAATGTGCAGGTTTGTTACATAGCTATACACATGCCATGGTGGTTTGCTGCACCCATCAACCCATCATCTACATTAGGTATTTCTCCTAATGCTATCTCTCCCTTAGCCCTTCACCCCCAACAGGCCCCAGTGTGTGATGTTCCCCTCTCTGTGTCCATGTGTTCTCACTGTTCAACTCCCACTTATGAGTGAGAACATGTGGTGTTTGGTTTTCTGTTCCTGTGCTATTTTTCTGAGAATGATGTTTTCCAGCTTCATCCCTGCAAAGGATGCCCTGCAAAGGACATGAACTCATCCTTTTTTATGGCTGCATAGTATTCCATGTTGTATATGTGCCACATTTTCTTTATCCAGTCTATCATTGATGGGAATTTGGGTTGGTTCCAAGTCTTTGCTATTGTGAACAGTGTCGCAATAAACCATGTGTCTTTATAGTCGAATGATTTATAATCCTTTGGGTATATACCATATTTTCTTTATCCAGTCTACCATTGATGGTCATTTAGGTTGATTCTATGTTTTTGCTATTGTGAATAGTGCTACACTGAACATAGGCATGCATGTGTCTTTATGGTAGAATGACTTATATTCCTTTGGGTATATACCCAGTAACGGGATTGCTGGGTCAAATGGTAATTCTGTTTTTAGCTTTTTGAGGAATCACCACACTGCTTTCCACAATGGTTGAACTAATTTACACTGCCACCAACAGTGGATAAGTGTTCCCTTTTCTCTGCAACCTTGCCAGTATCTGTTATTTTTGACATTTAAAAAGTAGCCATTCTGATTGGTGTGAGATAGTATCTCATTGTTGTTTTGATTAGCATTTCTCTAATGATTAGTGATGATGGGCAATTTTTCATGTGCTTGTTGGCTGCATGTATGTCTTTTGAAAAGTGTCTGTCCTTTGGTCTGCTGATGGTTTGCTGCACCCATCAACCCATCATCTACATTAGGTATTTCTCCTAATGCTAACCCTCCCCTAGCCCCCGACCCCCGAACAGGCCCCAGTGTGTGATGCTCCCCTCCCTGTGTCAATGTGTTCTCACTGTTTAATTCCCTTTTGTTGGCTGCATGTATGTCTTTTGAAAAGTGTCTGTCATGCCCTTTGCCCAATTTTTAATGGGGTTGTTTGTTTCTTACAAATTTGTTTAAGTTCCTTATAGATACTGGATATTAGACCTTTGTCAGATGCGTAGTTTGCAAATATATAGAACTGTTTCTTATTTTTCCCCACATCCTCCAAATGTGGCCCATTCTATAGTACACCTGTGCTATATTCATCTATTCATCTATTTGTCCCCTATGGTGTCATTTAACTTGTTCTTTCATTCTCCATACATTTGGTATGGTAAGAAGAATTTATTCTAAAGGCTTTACTAAGTTTAGGTCATTTTTTTGAAAAGCAAGTTTACTTCCTAGTTGATGCTAAGGTTGATTGGTGGTTTGAGGTGGTAACAGCCAGATTCCTCTCCTTACTGTTTTACCTAATGCTTTCATCCATTGATGATTTTGGTTTGAATCAATTATTTCATTTGAAATGTCAAAAGGGGGAATTTTTTAAATCATTTTTTCTACACTTCCTTCTGTGGAACTAAAATATGGTTTGTACAGGAAATGGAGAAAAAAACTTAATTCTTTCTTCTTGGTAATTTTCTGAGTATAGATTTGGTGCCCTTGTTCTCTCCTAAAATGACCAATAGGATGCTGTTTCTAATTTTTTCTTCATTTTTAATTCTCTTTTAAATGAGCACATGAACTTCTATACGTTTAACATGTTTCAATCTGTTGCTATCATAATTTTTTCTAGTGTCCAGTGGGAGTCTCTTCATGATGACTCATGTTCTTTGGGGTTACCATGGACATGACATTATTAGTCTTGGGTAGCTTATACATTTCCTACCCCAGACCTTTAATAAGACTTTCCTCTAAGAAGTTATCATTCCTGTTGATGGGAATAATACTTGATGATGGTAATCTAGACATTGGGAATTATCTTGGCTTCTAGTTCTTTTTGGTGGGCAGAACTAGGAAAGAGGTATTTTAAAAAAGAAAAAAATATGAATTCATACTGTTTACAATTCAAATTTAACCTTGAACTTTTTTTCTTATTTTGGTGTATGTGTGTATGTCTTCTCTTGGACATGAAACATTGGTTCCTAAAACCACTGACAAAAATTTAATCTAAAATATAAATAAAATACTTTCTAAATATTAATGTCAATTAATGTCAATATTACTACTAACATGATGCCTACTGAATAAAGTTTAAAATTTGTTTGTATCTCTCTCTATCAGAATATATTTTATAATGGAGGTACCTTCCAATGACTATGTATTAAAGTCACTAGAAAGAATTGTGTTCTCTGTTTGGTTATGCTACCATCTTATTATACAGCTAGGTTCATCTTTTCACTCTGTGTTTCAATCTCGGAGACTTTAAATTTTTTATTTCACTTTTATACAAAATCATATAATTTACGTGATTCCAAAGTGGGAACTATGTATTCAAGTATTTATTCTGGTATTGTTTCCATCTTTGTTCCCTCAACTGTGTTCCTTCTCCATTTTTATAAGTAACAGTTAAAAATTGTTTTTTGATTTATTCTTCTAATGTTTGTTTAAAAATACAAATAAATATGTGCACAAATTTATATGTCTTTTATGTGAAAAAGAACACACTATATAAATGAAAAAGTAGCATACAGCATAGTGGCTATATATGCTTTTAAAAAAACTTCAATTACACAAGATCTTGTAGTATGTGGTCTGCTGTCTTTTTTGCTCTCTCTTTCTCCCTTTCTTTCCGTCTCCTCCTCATATTTATTTAAGTATATTGTTGCAAACTTTTCTATTTTTGTAAGTAATAGTGGTGACTTTTATAGAAATATGTTTATAGTACCATCTTCATTTATATACTGAGTATTGTTACTGAACATGAGCAATACTGCAATTCTCTGCTTACAGTTTCTTCCTCCACCTGCCTTTTCTTCCTCCACCTGCCTTTTTTCCACTATCAGGTTTACTCACTATGGAGTTGTCTTGGTGTTAACACTTAATTATATGTAAGTTCTTAGTATATTGATTTGTCAGCTCCAATACTTACAAAATGGTCAGTAATCTTATTCTGCTTTCTATTGACTCTTTCCCTTTCCTGCTAGCTTTGTTAGCTGTATCATTTTTACATTATCAGAGTATATAACATTTTCATACTATCCTCATCTTTAATTTTAGTTATGTTGTTAAATATATTCTATGCTTAGTCCATTATTTATACCAAAGCTTTTGCAATAATTTCTTATTTGTCTGAAGCTCATTTTCTAGTAGAATACTCAAGAAGGGCTAATGGAATTAATATCCCTAAATTTTTGCATACTTACCACTGTTTGGCTGAAGAATTTATCATAGGTATATATAAAATCTTTGCCTTATATTTTCCTTTCCCAGAGTATATTTTAAAATGTTCCATAGTTTTCTACCACGAAATGTTGCTGTTGAAAAGTCTGATGTCAATTTGATTATATGACCCTGGTATGTAACCTGGTCTTTTTGTTTAATACCCAAATGACTTTTTTCCTTTTCTTTAAAGTCCAGTAGTTTTACTAGTGTATATCTTGGTGATAACTATTGTGGGATAATTTTTCTAGGTATACTGTATGGCTTTTTTTAAATGAAGATTTGAGTCTTTTTTTATTTCAGGCAAGTTTTCTTGAATTGTTAAATGTTTTTCTGTTCATCTTTTTTTATTTTTTATTTTTTTAGTTTCATTTAGTTTTTGGAACTCAAATTATATGCATATTGGAATATGTTTTTGCCTATATTTTCTTTTTCACAGGTTCTTTTAAAATTGCTTTTTCTAATTCTGTTTGTTTTATTTTACATTTTCCTTTTTATTGCATATTTTGCTCCCTGAATTTTTAGGGGATCTATTTTCTTCTGTTCCTTTCGTTTATTTATTTTCCAATTCTTTCTGAGTTCTGACAAATTTTAAATCTTATTCACCTCGTTTTACCATTTATTTATCATCTCATTTCTGACTTGTGACATTTTTCCAAAACTATTTTTTTTATTTCTTTTAGCTCATTTTCAAATATTACATTTTTCTGGTTTGTTCTTATTGTCTGTTAAGATATTTTGAAGTTTATTTTTCTGTTTTTTTGGCAATGATTTTGCTCGAAATTATAGAATATATTCCTTTTTCCCCCCATCGTGTTTAAGTGAGATGGGTTTTCTTGGGCTATGAGGAGAAGATTTCTGAGGAGGAGGTAGAAATTGCCCAAAGTAGCTTTCATCCCTTCAGAGATTAAAGACTCCTTCTTGTGTTGTTAATGTGAGACACTTAATACTTGGTTTCTCTGTTAATATTTCCCAGTCTCAGGGCAAACCCTAGTTTTGAAAGAAGAAGTTTTTCCATTTCCAGCCCTGTTTTTCCTAGCGCTGTAGACATCTTGTCTTCAAAGTAAGTGCTCTTACCTTTACATGTAGTATTTTTGCTGTTGTAGTACTTCTCGGGTTCTGCTTCCTCTGAATTCTCCCTCACTGTGTGTTTGAAACTTCTTTCTACATTATCACTAGTGTCCTGCCTACCAAATTTGTTAATTTTATTCCAGCAATTTTTCCTTAGGTGAGGCTTTGTCTGTCTAGAAGATAATTTGCTGTAAATGCTTTGTCTTAAAGTCTCTCTCTCTTTTTTTACTGAATTAATATAGCTACCTCAGCTTTCTCTTGGTTAGTACTTACATGACATATCTTATTCCATACTTTTATTTCAATCTTTCTGTAGCCTTATCTTTTAGGTATGTATCTTGTTAACAAGATATATTAATAGATTAATTTTTCTGTCGCAATTAGACAACTTCTGTTTTGTAACCAGCAAGTTAATTTTATTTATATTATTTTATTACTGATAATACCTGAAACTCTTTCAACCATCTTAGAGTTTATATGTGTATAGCTTCTACTTTGTCTATGCTATTTTTTCCTTCTACCTCTTTTTAAACTGCTTAGTTTGTTTTTCTTTTATAATTTTCCCCCTCCATGAGTTTGAGGGGGAAATAGTATATTCTACTATTTTAATGTTTTTTCTTGAAATCTTACCATGCATGTTTAACAATCCAACAAAGTCTGAGGTTTATTAGTATGTCAAGCCTCTGACAAAAATAAAACACACACATACACAGACATGCACGTGCATACAGTTATCTAAAAATACTCACAGTGTGGTCACTCTTTTCCTGACTGGTTCACATGCAAACATTGTCTGTTATAGAGTTCTTTCATTTTTGTTGTTAAAGCTGGACTTTATTTTCATGTTTTTGTTACTACAATATCGGTTTGGATTTTGATTTCTGTTTCCACTTGTTATGCTAAACATTCCTTCTTGCATCTTAGACCTTCCTTCCCAGGACTTTTTTTTTATGCAGCAAAAGATAACTTATACAATGTCTCTGATCAATTATGGAAAACTCTCAACTGTTATTTCTTGAAAAATTACTTCTACATCCTCTTCATTGTCTTTCTTAGGGATTCCAACTAAACATATTCTATGTAATCTCAATCTGTCCATTATGTCCTTTTTATGTTTTTCATCACTATCTCCAAGTTGCATTCTGTAATGACAATTGATCAATTATAAGTCATTAGTTTCAGCTGTATCATATATACTATATAGCTCCTCAACTGAGCTTTTAATTTCAAAAGTATGTTTTTTATTACTTAGAGTTCTATTTTCAAATTTCCTTGGTCATTTTTTATAGTCTTTTGTCCTGTGCTCATTTTTTATACTAATTTTTAAAGCATTTTTATACGCAGGTATTTTGTATTTAGTGTCTGATATCTCCCACTTTGGAAGCTTTTGGAGACTGAAAAAATCTATTCATTCTTATTCCTGAAGGTTTATTTTCTTGTGTGCTTGGTGGGTTTTGATTGTGAGCTCATGTATGACTGACTGTTCTGTGGAAGAACTGAGGGCATAAATTTTATTATTTCTCTGGAGAGAAATTTGAGTTTGCATCTGCTGAAAACCAGGAGGTACTGCCAATCTTGGATTTTTTTTTTTTTTTTAACACTGTGAGATCACTTTTTATTGTGATACACAATTTACTGGAGAGAGCACAGGTCGTGTGGTGATGAGTAGCATTACATGGCATTTTAAGCGGATACTCAAAACACTTGAGCTTACCACAATAGCAACAGGAGGTGTCTATGAAATTATTACAGTAGTACAGTGTATACTACAGTTAATTTTATGCATTATGATTTAATATTGCATCTTTACATTTGTTTACATTTTTCTCAACTGCAAATGATGCCATGTATAGTCTGTGTTTGTGCTTAACATGGGAATATCAGATTCAGCTCCTTCATCTTGCCATGGGCAAGATTCCAGATACCTGTGGGCATTTATTCCAAGACATTTCTCTGACTTTGCTTCTCCATCTGTGTTTGCTTACTGGTACCATGCAAAACTCATTTCACCATTTTTGTTTCCCTTTCTTGGTTCTTGAGAATACCTCCTGACCCTGAAAATGCTTTATAAGATACGTTTTTAAATCTATGATTTAGTTATATTTAATGGGAGGGTCATTCACAGTATCTACTTTTAGTCCATCATACTGCTGGAAAAGGATGTCAGGTTTACTCAATTTTCACTGAAGAAAATAACTTATCCTGTATGTTATACTTGAAATATGTAAAACTGAGGGCAAAGATATGATCTTTTCCATTAATAAACAAATACCTTAATATTAAGTCTTCAAGAAAAAGCATACCAGCTCATAACATTCTTTAATTTGTTCCTCTCTTCCAGCATTCCTCCAGGGAGTTAATTGAAAAATATAGTTTCACTGCAGTTTATTTATTAAGTAAACTTTTAAAAAATTAGATCTAGGCATGGTTCTATAAGACACCTGATTTCAAAATTTTTTGAAAATGTATTTTTAAATTTATTAATATAAAACATGACATAAAATTAGGAAAAATTACCTGTAACTCTGCCTTTTTAACTTTGAGCCAAGACATTTGTACAGCACAGTTAGAGGTACAAGCCCTAATGCAAGTGTTCCCTCAATTACAAATTCGTCTGCTGGGTAAGAGCACGAGAATCTGTGAAGCCTTGCAGAAGAAAAATCTAGAAGGAGAAAAAGACCTTTTTCTTGACCCATGGGGACCAAGAATGTCTGTTGAAGAATGTCCACTCTTGAACCTTTTCCCAGACCCACCAATTGGGATCTGAATTTTGAGAAACTCTCTGAGTGATGGGTTGTTCACAGGTGAAGTTTCACCACCATTGGCTTAACGGTTCTCATCAATTTCTTACTGAGCAGAAACTAGATGTTGATATCACACTCCCACCAGCTATGCTTTGGGTTGTTTTAATTATCTATGCTGAAGTTAATATGAGGTAGATGCTATGTAGTTATTCCAGATTGTGGGTGCGGTCACCCTTAAAAACATTGTTTATTACACTAATAAGCTTTTTAAGTTCATAGATTCTTGATGTAACTGTCATTTTTAACTCCAATATGATATCCTAATGAGAATAAATCACACTTTCTTTAGCCATTCCTTCATTGTTGTACATTTAAACTATTTCCAACTTGCTGCTATGATATGTAATACTGTAATAAACTTCTATATGCATAGACTTTTTTTCAGTTTTAGTATTTTCAGTTTTAGTATTATTTCTTTGCACTTACTTAGATTTGGAATTACTGGAAAGTCTGAAGTGTAAACACACTTAAGATTTTTGATGAGGATTGCCAAATTGCTTTCCAAAAATTTATACTAATTCAAACTGCTGCCAGCAATGTAAGAATATATTTCAGGGTATCCTAGCCAGCGCTGGGCATTATCATTCATCTATTAGGCAACTAGTGTTCTTATTGATTTTTGATTTTCTGCTTTTGGATTCTACCAAGTCTACTTAACAAGTCATCAGAAAGTGCTGGACTGAGTGAGGAGTGAAAAGATGTAGGGATGAGGGCATGTCAATTGTTTGGACATCCATCATATAATCTGTCTGTATCTGTGTCCTCTTGGTCTTCCAAATTGCAGGCCATTTAGCTTCTTTCAACCTTTATCTCCTCATTCATGAAATGAGGGGGCAAGGACAGCTAGCAAGGTCCTATTTGGCTTCAAGGTTCTGATACATCTGTTAATGTGAGCCTAATCTTTCATATCTGTGCAAATTTCTCTGGTTGTCCTGTCAATAGTTGCAGAAATTTGTCTATCATGCATATCACTTTCTTTTCTTTGGTGTCTTCAGTAGAAAGTATTTTAGATCTTGCTCTTCCTATGCTCTCACTCTCCCTTTTGAAAATTCCGATTTTAAAAAATGCAAATTTGGTATATGAATATTTAAAAAGTGATTTCCATTTAACAAATTACACATGATCACATAATTCCCAGTGTGACTTTGCATCAGGGAAGAAGTGAGAATATGTATCTTATACTAAATGCATAGCATTTAAATACTTTAATACAAACAAACTGCATTTGAATAATATTAATCTCTTCTAAAAAGACCTTGCAAAGCACATTAAATATTTAAAACTTTCACTTGCTACAAAGTTCTTGAACGACTTGACCATTTCTACTTTTCTCTGTTATTTGTAAGTTTGGAGAATCTTGGTATTTTTCTATGCATTATTGCGAATTTTGAATCTCCACTTGTGAAGATTTTCTCCCACAAGGATGGGGTGAACTGAAAAGCTAAGTGTCCCTCAGGGTAGAATGTGATAAACCCATAATGTTACATGCAGCAGTGAGGAGAACCGAGTATGTGGTAACAGGAAGGAAATTGTCCAATATATAAGGTCCTGCCTAAGAGCGGTGGAAACATAGATTCTTTGAATTGGCCATGATCTTTGAAATCATCAGTAAAGCCACCTATTTATTAGAGAATCCAGGTACCACATCTCCTGGTGGTTGGTCAGCCAGTCACTTCTTGTATACTTTCAGTGTTTAGGAGCTCAGCATTTCACAAGCCAGCCCAATGTAGACTGTAGGTGGAAAGTATTCAATTTGGGAAAGTTCTTATTTATCTTGAGTTCAATTCTACTCTCTCTGAGCCATGACTTTAGGAATTACCTAATCCCATGAAATCACTCCTGGAGCAATTACATGGATTAGGTAATTCCTAAAGTTACTTTGTATACAATGATTTTCTGTAGGTGTGTTTGCCACTCTTAGCAATGATTAAAAATAAGTTTCACAAAAAGGAATGATTTTCCAAGTACACATTGAGAGAAATGAATTAAATATAAGTTAGGAATTATCAGTAGTGATATTGATGATAATAAGAACAAAACCTAGCATATAGTGTTTCTTCTGTGCCAGGCACTGCCCTAAGTGTTTTATATACATGAACTCATTTGATATAAGGCATCCTATGAGGTATGTACTATTATCCCCACTTTGCAGATGGGGAAACTGAGGCAGAAAAAATTGTATTAGTCAAGATTCCCCAGAGAAACATAATCAACAGGAAATATATATATATATATATATATATATATATATATATATATAGAGAGAGAGAGAGAGAGAGAGAGAGAGAGAGAGAGAGAGAGAGACACAGAGATTATAAGGCTTTAGCTCATGTGATTATGGAGGCTGAGAAGTCCTACAACCTGCTGTCTGCAAGCCGGAGACTCAGGAAAGTGATGGTGTAGTTTGAGGGCCTAAGAGCCAGAGTTGATGGTGTAGATCTCAATCCAGGTCTGAAGGCCTGAGAATAAGGGGCAACAAGGGCAGGAGATCAATGTCCCAACTCAAGTAGTCAGGCAGAGTTAACTCAACCTTCCTCCACATATTTGTTCTATTCAAAAGATTGGGGGATGCCTGCCCACATTGAGAGGGTCATTGCTTTACTCAGTCTGGTAATTCCAATGCTAATCTCTTCTGGACACATCCTCACAGACACACCCAGAGATAATGTTGATATCTGGGCATCCCATGGCCCAGTCAAGTTGATACATGAAATTAACCATGACAGAAGCTAAATAAATTTTTCAGTTATTCCCATATAGCTAGTAAGTGACTGTTATTGGTTTTAAATACAATAGTTTGCTCCAGAGTTTGGGATCTTACAGATTATGCTATACCTAGAGTGAGCACATAATTTATCATTCAAACCAAGACACTTCCCTGCCCCCGCCCCGCTTTTTTTGAGACAGTCTCTCTCTGTTGCCCAGGCTGCAGTGAAGTGACATGATCATAGCTCACTGCAGCCTTGATCTTCTGGGCTCAAGCGATCCTGCCACCCCAGCCTCCCATGTAGCTGGGACTACAGGTTTGCCATCATACCTGGCTAATTTTTTTTTAAGAGATGAGGTCTTGCCATATTGTCCAGGCTGGTCTTGAACTCCTGGCTTCAAGCAATTCTCCACCTTGGCCTCCCAAAGAACTGGGATTACAGGCATGGGCCAACATGTTTGCCAACACTTTTGAAAATGAAAAGGAGCACTAGTAATAATTAGTCCAGAACAACACCCCAGCTACATGCTTCTCAGATGACAGGCTGATAAAAATGTATTGAAAGGGCCCAATATGACCATGAAGGGCAGATCTAAGTTTTGTGGGCCCCAAATGTTATGCAATGTTGAGGGCCCTCTTTCAGAAAAAGAACATGACATTATGAATACATTCAATATCAAAGTGTTTTTTTTTTCAAATACAAGAAAAAAGTCACAACAAATTAATGGAAACTTGGGGATTCAAGTCCCTTTCTTCTGAGATCTATTTGAGAAACTTCCCAGACACCCCTGACTGTAACTTGTCTTCTCTCCCACTTGGAACATTCTAGAACTCCAAGATTTCACAGGGTGGTGCATATCACAGGCCTTGAAGCTTAAGCTTCAGTAGATCTATTTCTGTTCACCTTTTTTCAGGTGACTTAGAGCACCTAGTGTTTGCGGTGCTCATTACGTGGTAAGATAAAGCAGCACTTAAAAATACATGTCAAAGGATCACCACAGACATGTCAAAAGGGCCACTTTATAGTCTCCTGGTCCTTGTAAGGCATGGTTTAGATCTTCTGGGTCTACAAGAAAAGTTCCTGCCCAGGCAGGTGGTCTGGCAACTTACCGTGAATGGGTTCTAGGTTTCTGGTATGAATCCAGGATGAATATATTATATGAATTATATATTCATATAATATTGAAGCAAATACTATATTATGCTCTTTAAAATTAAAGCTACAGTAGGATTTAGGACTATGCCAATGCAATACACTAGGGAGAGGGGGATCGAAGATTCCTTACCATTTTCTCAGAGACAATTCTTCATCACATTTTTAAAAAGATGTTTTACTGGCCAGTGTGTGGTTTTGACATGACCTTATCTCTCTGCCCTAGTGACTTTTGATTCTCTCTCTGTCTGTCTGTCAGGTCAGCTATAACTTCATAATCTGGATTCCCAGCCTTAGAATACCTGTTTCTATAAAGAAAAAATTTGTCATTTTTTATCCTGCAAGGTCTGGTACTTCTATCTAGGAATCTCATAGTGTCATATGCATTAGCAACATTAGATTATTACTAATAAAAGATAAGAAAGCTAAGTGCTTCCTGCAAAACGATCACTTATGTGTGGTTATGTATAATTTGAATGCTCTCAGAAATATAAATTAAGTTCTTGATAGTGTTCTATTGTGCAATGCCAACTTCATTCTCCTTCCTCTCTTCTCCTCTGCTGCAGTCCTCCCTCACCTGTTCTCTCCCCACTCTATCTCCCTTTTCCCTTAATCTTCTAAGACAGCAACTCAGTTTTGGTTAGGAGAAGGTTAAATATCACTTCACTTTTTTTTTTTTTTAATTTTTATCGGTAGTAAAGGGATAATGGCATAATGGCACTGAGGTGCCTGCAAAAAAAGAGAGAATTAGAAATAGGAACTGAAGACGTCTTCCTTACCGTCCTAATGAAGATTTCCCAGGGAGTCTGAAATCTGAAGCTAGCACTACTGTCTGTCAGTCCAAGTTCATTATATTACTGTTTGTCTTGTTTAGATTATATATCCCCTGGGCAAGAGGCTGGGTGGTTTTATCACAGTACCCATGGCTCTGTCAACATCATCTAAATTAAAGCAAACACTCTTCTTGAATGGCAGCTTTTGATCATGTCTCCCTGTGCCCAGACTGCTTAGGACTGAGAGGTTTGAGTTAGTTAGCTATGACACCATTAAAATGAACTGAACCTAAAATGACTGGGATGTTCTTGAGAAAATTCGTTTTCTCATCCTGACATGGGCTGCAGAAGACACATTGAAGCTGTAAAACACAGCTTGGAAATGACTGGACTAATTTTAGAACTCGTTTACACAGCTGCTCCACTGGAAAGCAGACTTTCTTTGTAATTCTTGCTCTGGGATGGCTTGCCTTTTATTTAATTAAAAATGATTGGCAAGGCAGGCTTTTGATACAACCGGGTCCACAGTAAAACTGCAAGGCAAGTGTAGTTGCAGTAGCTCTCTGACATTCTGCTTTATTAGATGTCAGTTTATAATTAAAAGTTGAGTGGCAGAAGTCTGAGTGTACCCAGAAAAATGATCTTGAGGGTCTTAATTATTTCCAGCCATCTTCCTGGCAAATATGTGAGACTGTAAGTTCCGATATAGAGGGAGTCATTTAGACCTTTGGCATTGCCCAAACATTCTCTTTGAAAAATGCAGAAATAGAGACTGCTCTGGGGTTTAAAACCTGGACGAGGGAAATTCATATTTTGAAATGCTATTGAAACCATCTCCTGCTAGGCAAAAGGGTTGCAGGTTTGAAGCAAAATATATTAGGAGTAAAACAAAAGGAGTCAAATATCCTAGGGAAAGACCTCGGTCTTAGTTATGAAGTTAATTTTTTTAAAAAGTGCTATTTCCTTCCAGTTATGCTTGTTATTTGATGATATTCATGATACTCATTGTATGAGAATACCTTTTAGAAATGTCTAGATTTTATTTTACAAATGTTTTGAGATATTTTTCCATTTGTGTAAACTAGTGCGATGATTCACTGAACTTCAGGAATCATCACATGCTCTTTTATTCTTTGACACTGGATACCCTGACTTGAATATATCACGATCATCAAATGTTTTTCTTGTAAAGGGTATTTATATTTCTGAAACTTCACACCTTGAAAGTGAGCCAGTTAGAAATTTCTGTGGAGCCAACCAAATGAGTTTTTTCTTATTAGCAAATTGCATACTGTAATAGTCACAAAAACTTTGTATTAATAGACTCAAGGCTACTTTTAACTTTGGATTGATACCTTTAGTACTGGTACATTTTAGAGATCAAGTCATGTTTAATAAGAATATCAACAAAGTGCTGTTGAATCTATGTCAAGGCTATTTTAATGGGTGAAAGTTGAGGTTCAGGGACTTTATTACCTCTTTGTTATCTGGTATTGTTTAATACACAGATTGATTAATTCATAAGGCAGAAATAATGTAAAGAGTGGTTATGTGTTCTAAATGACAGTAGACCTGTACCATGGTTTGAGGTCTTTGTATTTCATCTTCTCAGAGGAAATGGTAGCAAGCAAAGAGAAAGCGGCCATTTTCTATTGCGATCACGGTAGCAAATGACTGAGATTTTTGCAAAATGAATTTGAAAGCCAAGTTAAGAAAATATTAAACTGTACTAATTTCCAACAACTACAGATTGGCACATTTTTAGAACTGTCTGGTAAATTCAAATGAGAGAGGTAAATTATGATTTTAAATGAAGTACATGTGGTGCTTGGAGATGACTTTTTTAAACATGCACGTTCCCCACTAATTAGCTCCCAGGAGGTGAATGAGACTTTTTGTTGTTTTTCTTCTAGGTTCAGCTTTAAACAAAGTGAACTAACAAAGTTTGTCACCTATTGGCATTCAGTTAAAGTATTATTTAAAATCCTCCTCCCACTCCCACCACCACAAAAAGAGACTATGTCACATAAGAGATAAACTAGCTTTGGTTTACAAAATATACTGTAAAAATACTGTGTGTATTACATTATCTCCTCCTTATGGCTTTTAGAATCATAAAGTTAAATAACATATTTTCTTTAAAAAAATCTGGCATGAACATTGAAAATACTTTAAATGGAGAGTAAGTCCAAGTGGCACAGTGTTTTGGAAAATAAGCTCTGAGAGTCAGAGGAAGCGGCATTATAAAGGCTGAAGAGACTATTTAACACATTGAGGATAAAATCTCAGCTGGCTGTATGAGAACAATGTCCCTCATCAAGTCCTTATCCAAATTCTGTACTGTGCAAGCCAGTTTGGCTAAGTCTCTGTCGTCAGGTTAATTAGTGACGCTGAGAAAAATAAAGGACTATTGGAGAAATTATTTATCTTCTACAGTGTGTGTATGAAAGACCAGATTTGGCTTTACAATTCTTGGCACAAAATGATAATGCTCTGTACATTCCCCCACTCTTTCTTCTCTATCATTTTATTTTTCTTGATGCACAGTATGTGTTTTTAAGTTTTCTTCACCTCCATAAAAATAAGCCTCAAGTCCTACTGGGATGAATTAAGTCGTTTTTTCTTTTTCTAATTTTAATGAGTACACATTTTAATGTACCCACTTAAAGGGATTGGGATGCGTATTGATAAAAATCACTGTAGTAACATTGGTCTGTTAATTAACAAATTCAACACAAATTTATTAAGGTCCAACTACATGCTATGGATTTTTCAACGTTTTGGAAATAAGAGTGAATAAAGTACAGTTTCTGCCTCTTGTGGGTACAATAAAGCAGGGCAAGACCTTCAAATAGATAACGACCATGCAATGGAGAAGGGCCACAATGATAGCCAATACATGAACTTACTATGCTCAAGAAACTACTGTAGGCACTGAACATGTACTAATGTGACTGTAGTCCCCTGCAAACCCCTGTAAGGTGTATACTACTATTAACCCATTTTACAGCTGAAGAAACTGAAATAGAAGTGGTTAAGCAACTTTTCCAATGTTATACAACTGGCAAGTACTTGACCTAGGCAGCCTGGCCCATGAATTACCTAATTTCTGCTCAGTAGGATAATGCCTCCATTTTGAACCTCAGGATCTACTGTGCCTCAAATCTTTGCCTTCTCCCCACCCCAATACATGCAACAGATCCTTGCTCTTCAAGGCGCACAGGAGGCATCGATGTTCCTGTACTTCACAGCTTTTCTTGTTGGGCCTCCCTTTTGGCCAGCTCCATGTCTTTTTCTTTCCCCTGACTTTGTACTGTCTGAATTGATTTGATAGGTTAAAGCCTTATAAAAAGTAAGCAAAATAAGTATGGGAAATCTACCTTCTTACACCTTCCCTATTATGGAAAGAAAAATAATGCACACCAGTAGTAAAGTATCACTCTGAGTTGCAGGCTTTCAAATGGTATTGGGGTACATGGTTTTGGAGAACTTTGAGATCTGAGACAATGGCTGAAGCTATTTATCTTTCTAACATTCCCAAGGTATGTAAACCATTTCTAATGTAAATTAGAAAACTTATAGGCTTCAACAGTATGCTAGATTTAACATGATCCTTCATTATGGAAGAAGTATTTCCTGTTGTTTAGTTTTGTCTCACTAATGCTGTATATTTTCTGAAACCTAAATCCATATCTTGTATCTATACACGTATAGCTATACTTTTTGAGGATTGATCAACCTCGCTACACACAGGGATCCATAACAGATTTTGGTGCTTCGGGGTAGAAGAGGATTCTAGGAAGGAATCACAGTTTATACACATAGCTTAGCATCATGGATTATGTGGAGATATTGAGGGAATTTCTTATTCTCTGAAGAAATGCTCTGATGAGATACCACTAGAAAAATACACTAATCTCTAAGACAAGTGCTCAGGAGGATCAGATTTCAATACCTTTGCTATAATCCTTTCAAACAGGGGTCCAATAGAATTATGGATATACATCAAATTCTAAAACACGTATGGCCTGACTTTAATGATGCATTGCTGTCTCAATAATAAACTCATTTGTCTAATTATTCTCAGGTGGTTTCATAAAACAAAACAAAACACCACAACACATTGACAGCCTTCCTACTGTACTCCCTATCCCACCTCATCCATGTTTTTGTTTTCTTTATTTTTCAGGGAAATATGCATAAGTATTTGAGCATATTTCCTCCTTTACCACTATACGTTAACTTTCACCATGTTTTAGTATTAATATTAATTAAAATAATATTTTCACTCTAATCGTTAAAGACCAATGGAATTTCGTTGGCATATGGCTGAAGTATAAAAAATTATAATTAATGGTGGAATTGTTTGAAGTCATCTTGAATCTAATAAATAATTATTATCATTGGCTGGGTGCAGTGGCTCACACCTGTAATCCCAGCACTTTGGGAGGCTGAGGCGGGCAGATCACCTGAAATCAGGAGTTCGAGACCAGCCTGACCAACATGGTGAAACCCCATCTCTACTAAAAATACAAAATTAGCCAGGCATGGTGGCACATGCCTGTAATCCCAGCTACTCCGGAGGCTGAGGCAGGAGAATTGCTTGAACCTGGGAGGCGGAGGTTGCAATGAGCCAAGATCATGCCATTGCACTCCAGCCTGGGCAACAAGAGCAAAACTCTGTCTCAAAAAGAAAAAAAAAATTATCGTTATTATTATAAGGCGCAAGTGGCATAGTGGAAAAAGCATGGACTTTAGAGTCAGGAAGACTGACATCCAATCATAGATCTACTTCCTACCTTCATGATCTTGGACGATTTATAAACTTCTCTGAGCTTCGTTCCCTCATTTTTATAATGGAGATGACATCTACCTTGGGAAAGTTTTACTTTGTTTTGTTTTTCAGAATTGTATGTATATGAAATTTCTAACACAAGATCTAGAATGTAATAAGTGGTAGCTATTATTATTTTTTGAAATCTGAATTTAAAAAATTTTAAGTTTATTTTTAATTTTTGTGGGTGCATAGTAGGTGTATATACTTAGGAGGTAATTTGTGTGCTACATATACACTATACTATAGATAGTGTACATATAGTGTGTATGTGTATATATATATACTATATATAGTGTAGTGTATATGTAGCACACAGTTAATATTGGATTTTTTGGAGTATTGTTTAAAATTTACTTTGATTATTGAACATATACCTCCTTACAGAGTCTTGTGAAGATAGGGATCATGTTCCCAACCAATTTAGAAATCTCACTTTCAGAACTACCTCTTCAAAAACAAAAATGTGGTTGGCCTGGGATCCACTCTCTCCAAGAACTTGCTTATCATACGTATTTTCTATTATCTTTGTGGGCCTTCTAGAAAATATAAAAAGAGATGCAGGTAATTCCAGGACCATAAACAATTCTTAACAATTGGCTCCAGATGGACTGTTTGGGTTTGGCTAGGCTTATCACTTGATAGAAACATAGGTGCGTAGAGAAACCAAGAAGAGTCTGGGTGCAGTGGTGCATGCATGTAGTCCCAACTACTCAGCAGGCTGAGGTGGGAGAATCTCTTGAGCCCCAGGAATTCAAGGCTGCAGTGAGCTAGGATTGCACTGCTGCACTCTAGCCTGGTGATATGGTTTGGCTGTGTCCCTACCAGAATCTCAACTTGAATTTTATCTCCCAGAATTCCCATGTGTTGTGGGAGGGACCCAGGGAGAGGTAATTGAATCATGGGGGCCAGTCTTCCCTGTGCTATTCTTGTGATAGTGAATAAGTCTCATGAGATCTGATGGGTTTATTAGAGGTTTCCACTTTTGCTTCTTCCTCATTTTTCTCTTGCTGTTGCCATGTAAGAAGTGCCCTTTGCCTCCCGCCACGATTCTGAGGCCTCCCCAGCCATGTGGAACTGTAAGTCCAATTAAACCTCTTTTTGTTCCCACTTTTGGGTATGTCTTTTTCAGCAGTGTGAAAATGAACTAATATAGTAAATTGGTACCAGTAGAGTGGGGTGTTACTGAAAAGATATACAAAAATGTGGAAGTGACTTTGGAACTGGGTTACAGGCAGAGGTTGGAACAGTTTGGAGGGCTCAGAAGACAACAAGATGTGGGAAGGTTTGGAATCTCCTAGAGGCTTGTTGAGTGGTTTTGACAGAAATGCTGATAATTATATGAACAATAAGGTTCAGGCTGAGGTGGTCTCAGATGGAGATGAGGAACTTGTTGGGAACTGCAGCAAAGGTGACTCTTGTTGTGTTTTAGCAAAGAGACTGGTGGCATTTTGCCCCTGCCTTAGAGACTTGTGAAACTTTGAACTTGGGAGAGATGATTTAGGGTATCTGGCGGAAGAAATTTCTAGCAGCAAAGCATTCAAAAGATGACTTGGGTGCTGTTAAAAACATTCCATTTTAAAAGGGAAATAGAGCTTAAAAGTTCAGGAAATTTGCAGCCTGATGATGTAGTAAAGAAAAACCCATGTTTTGAGGAGAAATTTAAGCCAGCTGCAGAAATTTGCATAAGTAGCAAGGAGCCTAATGTTAATCCCCAAGACCAAGGGGAAAATGTCTCCAGGCCATGTCAGAGACCTCATGGCCTGAAGGCCCAGGAGGAAAACGTGGTTTCATAGGCTGAGCCCAGGGTCCCGTCCTGTGTGCAGCCTAGAGACTTGTGTGCCCTGTGTCCAGCTGCTCCAGCCATGGCTGAGAGGGGCCAATGTAGAGCTCAGTCTGTGGTTTCAGAGAGTGGAAGCCCCAAGCCTTGGCAGCTTCCATGTGGTGTTGAGCCTGTGGGTGCACAGAAGTCAAGAATTGAGGCTTGGGAACCTCCGCCTAGCTTTCAGAAGATGTATGGAAATGCCTGCATACTCAGGCAAAAGTTTGCTGCAAGGGTGGGGCCCTCATGGAGAACCTCCGCTAGGGCAGTGCAGAAGGGAAATATGGGGTCAGAGCCCCCACACAGAGTCCCTACTGGGGCACTGCCTAGTGGAGCTGTGAGAAGGTCCTCCAGACTCCATAATGGTAGATCCACCGACAGCTTGCACCATGCACCTGGAAAAGCCACAGACACTCAATGCCAGCCCATGAAAACAGCCAGGAGGGAGGCCATACCTGCAAAGCCACAAGGGCAGTGCTTCCCAAGACCATGAGAACTCACCTCTTGCATCGGCATGACCTGAATGTGAGACCTGGAGTCAAAGGAGATCATTTTGGAGCTTTAAAATTTGAGTGCCCTGCTGGATTTCAGACTTGCATGGGCCCTGTAACCCCTTTGTTTTGGCCAATTTCTCCCATTTGGAATGGCTTTATTTACCCAATACCTGTACCCCCATTGTATCTAGCTTGCTTTCGTTTTACAGGTTCATAGGTGGAAGGGAGTTGCCTCAGATGAGACTTTGGACTATGAACTTTTGGGTTAATGCTGAAATGAGTTAAGACCTTGGGGGACTGTTGGGAAGGCATGATTGGTTTTGAAATGTGAGGACATGAGATTTGGAGGAATCAGGAGCAGAATGATATGGTTGGACTGTGTCACCACCCAAATCTTAACTTGAATTCTATCTCCCAGAATTCCCATGTGTTGTGGGAGGGACCCAGGGAGAGGTAATTGAATTATGGGGGACAGTCTTTCCCGTGCTATTCTCATGATAGTGAATAAGTCTCACGAGATCTGATGAATTTATCAGGGGTTTCTGCTTTTGCTTCTTCCTCATTTTTCTCTTGCTGCCACCATGTAAGAAGTGCCTTTCACCTCCTGCCATGATTCTGAGACCTCCCCAGCCATGTGGAACTGTAAGTCCAATTAAACCTCTTTTTGTTCCCAGTTTCAGGTATGTCTTTATCAGCAGCAAGAAAACGAACTAATACACCTGGGCAACATAGTGAGACCCCATCTCTAAATATTTCAACCAACTAACCAAACAAACAAAACAACCAAGAAGAGGAAAAAACCAGTATGGCTATTCTGACTCAGTTTTGGCTTTAAATTCAGGATTCTTTTTGGGTTCAGAAACATCCATATAAGAAGCAAGGATCCCTTTATTTATTCAGTATATATTGAGACATACATGTTGCTTTTCCTGTCTTTGGGCAATGTACTATTTATCTTGGAAAACAAGACATGTACACATTAATTCAATAATAAAACAAATTCCAGGAGTTACATTAACAACTAAATAAAACAGATTGTGTGTCAAAAAATTGTCCTAACATTGGAGGCCAGATTTTTATTATTGGCTTATAGAATGTTAGAATGAGAAAGAACTTCATGAATAATTTTATTCATGGTTTCTCAACTTGAAGTCAGTTGATACTGCTTTTTCAAGATGTTTCTTATATTTATGTAGTTAACACCTATATATTATTTCGCTAATATTTTTCTTCTTTTTAGTTAAATAAACCAGATTATACCATGAATGAAAAGAAACCAGTCTCATATGCTATAAATATAAAATCAGATACAATAAAGATAAAACGGTCGTTAAATTCTAGCTAGAGACTTTGCCTTTGGAAGGCCCTAAACTTGAAGTCTGCCCTCTCTTCATTAATAAAGGAGATTTGCTGCTATTAGGGATGTGTAAAAGCTATACCAGCACCAAACTGAGACTTTCTTTTTGACTTTCATAGAAAAGTTAAAAAGAACATTGATAAGAAAATAATTTTCTTACTTTGAAATTCAGTCGTATTTAATACTTTTTGCCAACTTATCTACTACTTCTGCTAATATAGATCTCAAACTTTGGGACACATTAATTTAGTTTAATCTCTTTAGTTTTCAAACTAGAAAACCTAGATTCACAGAGATCAATATTGGACAAGACAGCACTAAAACCTGGGTCTCCTGATCCCAAATCTCTTCTCTGTGCCCTCTCTCCGTAATTAAAAACACATAAAAGTAGGATGCTTTTTAGACATAACCTGTCAATTTAGAATACGGCATATCTGAACTCTCTTGTAGCCAGTTATGGATGATGTCCTTGGTAATAGAGTGATCTCTGCTTTCCTGTATTTTGTTTAAGTGGATTTACTATTCCCTTTACGTATCTGCTTGCTCATTTATATGTCTCATTTGTAGTTAAACATAATATAGGAATTTGAATTTGAATTTTGGAGGTTCTTGAAATTAAGAGACTGAATTAAACTCAACTTCAGCAAATCAATGATAACCATAAGTACCATTCCCCTCCCTCTCTCCCTGACACTGCATGTGATGAAGTGATGAACAGCTGGAGTTTTGCTATTACCCTGGGAACAGTTTACTTTGACCTTGTCACAGTCTACCTGCTTGCTATTCCTAGTACAGTACCTCTTCTCATCAGAGAACTTGAAGCAACTATTATTTTATGCTATTTAAAATTAAAGCCACAGTAAGGTTTAGGACTATACCAAAGCAATACACTAGGGAGAGGGGGATCTAAGATATCATTTTTCTCAGAGACAATTCATCACATTTAAAAAAAGATGTTTTATACTTTACCTCATTGTGAATGAAAAAGAGCCACACAGTAGCCCAACGAGGGCAGATTTAAAATCACACACATTCTTTTGGGTTTTAGTTCAGTTTTTTTTTCCCCTGGAAATAAGAACCATATTATCCTATTTGAATCTTCTTGTTATTTTTTTATTACTCTTGTTTTTGGTTCACTTGTTTTATTGATGTTACAAACTATTCCTTCTAATTGTACAGTTTTATTTCCTTTTGTTGTAAGTGAATTTGTGATTAATGTCAAATAAATAGTGGTCTGAAGGCTTTAAAATGTTTGGCCTTTGTATTCATTTTTCCTTTCCTTTTTTTTTTTTTGAAGCCAAGTCTCACTCTGTTGCCCAGGCTGGAGTGCAGTGGTGCAGTCTTGGCTCACTGCTACCTCCTCCACCTCCCGGGTTCAAGCGATTCTCCTGCCTCAGCCTCCCAAGTAGCTGGAATTACAGGTGTGCACCACCATGCCTGGCAAATTTTTGTATTTTTAGTAGAGACGGGGTTTCACCATGTTGGCCAGGCTGGTCTCGAACTCCTGACCTCAGTTGATCCAACCGCCTTGGCCTCTCGAAGTGCTGGGATTACAGGCATGAACCACATCACCTGGTCTGTATTCATTTTCTGTTGCTGCTATAAAGTTACCACAGACTTAGTGTCTTAGAACAATACAAATTTATTATGGTATGTTTCTGGAGGCCATACATCCAACACAGGTCTCACTGGCTGAAATCAAGGTGTCCTTAGGGCTGCATTCCTTTCTAGAGGCTCTACGGGAGAATCTATTTTCAGCTTCCAGAGGCTGCCCACATTCTGTGGCTGGTGGCCCTTCTCCATCTTCAAAGCCAGCAATGGCTGGTCGAGTCTTCCTTACATCACAGCACTGTGACACAAATTCTTCCTCCCTCTTCCACTTTTAGGAGCCCTTGTAATTACATTGGGTTCACCTGGATTTTCCAGAAAAACTCCTTATCTTGAAGTCAGTCAATTAGCACACTTAATTCCATCTACAACCTTATTTCTCCTTTGCCATTTAATGCAAGATATTCAGTTTCCAGAGATTAGGATGTGGACATCTTTGGTGTCATTATTGTGCCTACTTCATTCTTTTCTTCAAAGCCAACTCTTTTTTTTTTTTCATTTATGTTTTCACTAAGAATGAAGCCATTGAATTTTATTTATTTTTTATTTTTTATTTTATTTATTTATTTATTTATTTATTTTTTATTATAGTTTAAGTTTTAGGGTACATGTGCACATTGTGCAGGTTAGTTACATATGTATACATGTGCCATGCTGGTGCGCTGCACCCACTAACTCGTCATCTAGCATTAGGTATATCTCCCAATGCTATCCCTCCCCCTCCCCTCACCCCACCACAGTCCCCAGAGTGTGATATTCCCCTTCCTGTGTCCATTTGATCTCATTGTTCAGTTCCCACCTATGAGTGAGAATATGCGGTGTTTGGTTTTTTGTTCTTGTGATAGTTTACTGAGAATGATGATTTCCAATTTCATCCATGTCCCTACAAAGGACATGAACTCATCATTTTTTATGGCTGCATAGTATTCCATGGTGTATATGTGCCACATTTTCTTAATCCAGTCTATCATTGTTGGACATTTGGGGTGGTTCCAAGTCTTTGCTATTGTGAATAGAGCCGCAATAAACATACGTGTGCATGTGTCTTTATAGCAGCATGATTTATAGTCCTTTGGGTATATACCCAGTAATGGGATGGCTGGGTCAAATGGTATTTCTAGTTCTAGATCCCTGAGAAATCGCCACACTGACTTCCACAATGGTTGAACTAGTTTACAGTCCCACCAACAGTGTAAAAGTGTTCCTATTTCTCCACATCCTCTCCAGCACCTGTTGTTTCCTGACTTTTTAATGATTGCCATTCTAACTGGTGTGAGATGGTATCTCATTGTGGTTTTGATTTGCATTTCTCTGATGGCCAGTGTTGATGAGCATTTTTTCATGTGTTTTTTGGCTGCATAAATGTCTTCTTTTGAGAAGTGTCTGTTCATTTCCTTTGCCCACTTTTTGATGGGGTTGTTTGTTTTTTTCTTGTAAATTTGTTTGTGTTCATTGTAGATTCTGGATATTAGCCCTTTGTCAGATGAGTAGGTTGCGAAAATTTTCTCCCATGTTGTAGGTTGCCTGTTCACTCTGATGGTAGTTTCTTTTGCTGTGCAGAAGCTCTTTAGTTTAATTAGATCCCATTTGTCAATTTTGTCTTTTGTTGCCATTGCAAAGCCAACTCTTTAGTAGGTGGAGTTTATGAGGTCTGGTTGTGATGTGCTTTTCAAATCACTGGTCTTTCCTGCTCTCCTCCAGTCTATTCTTTCTACCCAATCCCTGTATTTCCTTCTACGCAAAGCTTTTCAGCATGTAATTATGGACATAAGTCAACCTCAACACTTCCAACAGAGGCCTGAGAGCTTCAGTTATCGAAATAAGATTATATTCTACCTTGGTCTGACCTAATTTTAATTTGGGGTGGACTAATCTAAAATGATTCACAGATTATGAATCATTCATTGCACTGACAGATATTACAAGTTGTCACCTACTATGTGCAAAAGTGCTTTTCAAAGAAGTTAAAATGTATATTTTATATGCTTTCTGTTCTCAGTGTTAGGAAAGCAAGATGAGGAAATTAAAGCAACATAAGAATAATGTATTAATACAGATTGACAAGACAAGAAATGTCACAGGCAGCACATGATCAATGATTAATCGGCAAATCAGTGCAACAGGACATAAGAGTAATGAGTTCTGAGAAAGAACTCTTTGTGTTGTGTATACCCCTTGCCCCTATATTATCCATTACTACTTAGCTAACTCCATCAAACATGGCTCCAAATCTATGGCAATTCTCCATATCATCCTTAACCTGTCCTTGTAAAAGGAAAAATCTGATACCAGATGTAAATAGGGCTTAGAAGCTCATGGCCAGATTTGGAGAAATTATGACTATTCTCAGATATCAGTGTTAATAGGGCCATTTGCAGGAGGTGGTCAGCATAAAGTACTCACAGTGAGTCAGCAAATAGTTATTAACATGAAATGATACTGACTCAGCTTTTATTATTTTTTCCAAGTTGATAGATACTTTCCTAACATTTTGCTATATATTATTCAAATATTTTCATGACTTTTATTTGTTTTGGGAGGGGGTTTCAAGTTGTTATCTGCATTACTCAATTTAAAATCAATAGTGGATTTAATTGATATAATGTTTTCTAATCATTAATGAGTATTAAAACCCAGACTAATAGCATTTTAAGTAACATTTTCTGTCGAAGTATCTGAACCATTTTCTTTCACTCAAAACTTTGATTTAATTATGATACTGGTATTATTGTACATGTTCACATGGGATGGGCTCATTTGACTATAATTATATAACTTTAGTCCCATCCTAAGAAATTTACAACTATAGAAGGCTATTTTTAAAAAGGCTTTTTTTTGGCTTGTTAGTTTAAGATGAAAGGGCAGAATTTTTGAACCATATACTTTGTTCATTAGAGACTATTTACATCCCGACCTATTCTCTAGTAATCATGTTCTTCTTAGATGTGTATTGCTTTTGAAAGTTTTAATTAAACTGTTTTTGATATCTAAAAAGACTTTCCACAGAGTAATCCAATTCCATTGTCTGACTCTAATTTCTTGCCTCCCTAACACTGATATTTTCTTTCCATTATTTATAATTTAATTTTGTAACAACTATGATGCCTCAATTTTATTTTTGCTTATGTAATCTCCATATGAGTCTCAACAATCTTGCTAATGTAAAAAGCTGAGATGAGGAAATTCAGAGAGCAACTGGTTATTGAGTTACAGCTAGATCTTGTGAACCTATGGAGGCAGGTGAAGTAGGGGCTGTGATATGATTTTCTGTCTATGCACGCTTCCCCTCTCATCACACTGTCTCCTGTTTGAGTCTGCATCAATACCTTCAATTCATCATATCTCTTTCACCATTACTCCCATTTTGGTAACATTAAACTTCTTGACCAATGGAATTGTTTTGGCTGGCAGCAGATAATTAGGGATTCTCTATTTCTGGTCTCATTTTGTCACTGTTACTAGTGGCCAGTTATCATTAACATAGAGGCCACTTTATAAGCAATTTTGTTGTGATGCATATGTATATTGCAAACCAAGAAAACACAGGGCTAGCAGGAAGAGGGCTGGCCTGGTAGAGACTGGCTAGCTGCTTACCAAATTCCTTTTTCTCGTCTTTCGGCTGGACTGCATTTCCCAGGCTCCACTGTGGCTCCACGTGACTAAATTATGGACAATGAGTGTGAGCAGAAGTGATGTACCCCACAGTCCACCAGTCTGGCCCTATTACAAACCTCCTATATGTGATCCTCCATAATCTCTCCCTATCAGACACAAGAGACTGACAATGTGAGCCTGGGAGACACATGTTGAAGATGGCAGACATAATATGGAAGGAGCCTGGGTCCTTGAATCAGTGCTTGGAGGAGAGTCCTGTGGTGCCCTGGGGCACTGGTATAATAATTTACCTCAACAAGACATGTACTTCTTTTAAGTTTGAATCCTTGTTAATTCTGTTACAGCAGCTAAGTTTAACGTAATTGATACACTTGGGTCTGCCAAAGATATTTCTGCAGGCCTCAATTTCTTCTTTCATAAAATGAAGGAATTTGCCACATGGGCCTTCTTGCTGTTCCCCAAACACACTAGACAGTCAGGACTTCCGCACTTGCTGCGTCCTCTGCCTGAAAAATCCTTCTTCAGAAACTCACATGGACTGCACCCTCAACCCTCAGTCCTCAGCCTGAATGTGACCTTATCAGTGAGACCTCCTGTGGCCACCCTTAGGTATAATAACATTTCTCCCTTCCTCATCATTCCCTCTTCCTCTTAGCTTGCTCCAGTTTTTAAAAAATATATATAACACAATTGCTAAACAACTTACCTATGTATGTATTTGGCACTTGGTTAAATATTTGTTGAACAATTGCATGAGTGAAGTGCTCTCTAAGGTGACAAGCAGCTGTAAAGGATTATGTTTCCTAATTTCAAGATGTTGTAATCTAAGGAGAAATATAAAACAGATTACAAAAGACAAATCTTAAATACACAAATGACATATGAACTTTGTTAACATATTTCTAAATATATAAGGAAAAGAGAGATTCTAATAATTACTGGTGACAAGTGTTATACATTAAATTTTTCAAAATGTCATTTCATTTGATGACTCTACCAAGTCAGTATTATTGTACCCATTTTATAGATAAGGAAAGAGGTTTACAGGGCTGGAATGGAAGCTTCATGAGAGCAGGATCACATCTATCTTTTTTACTATTGTATCACTGGCATCTAGCAAAGTTCTGACAAGGTAGCAAGAAATAAAGAATATTAAGAATAAAAAGTAAAGAGTGGGTTAAATAGCTTGTCCATGGTGGGACAGTTGGCACTAGAACATACATTTGCCTGAATCTAAAGTCTGTGCTTTTTTTTTTACTATCTGAGAATGGCAAATATGCAGCGGTGTGGTCCCCTTTCTGATTCTGGGCTGTTGCTTTTTTCTGTTCTTCCTGGTGAAAGGCTGTCCCGTTAATGTCCTTATATCTGGGATGTTTCCATTCTTCAGGCATCAGTCTAACCATGACCTCAGTGGAATGGCTTTCTCTGACCCCTTGGTTGTAAGATTGGAAGTAGCTTTCTCCGGTTACTCTCTGTGCATCACCTGTTTATTGCCTACGTCACCTTCACAACACTTACTACTGTATAAAATTATCTTGTTTGCTTTTCAGTTGTCCCTCTACCTACTATAATGTAAGCTTTGCAAAGACAGTGACTTTTTCTGCCTCTACTCTGTGCATACTGTGTACCACATTGTTAATCAATAGGTGTGTGTTGAATAAATCAGTGAATCACTGAATAATTTGATCAATGTTGGCATTCACTCTTCCTGTGCTCGTGACAGGCATTACTAATCAATCATGACACTCTCTACTACTACATCCAAACTCATACTCAGAAAAATTTGTAAAATAGCTCTCTAGGCACTTGGAACTTGAAGTGTGGCCCGCTGATCAATAACATCAGCGTCACCTGAGAGCTTATTGGAAATGCTCGTTCTCAGGCCCACCCAGCTCTACTGTATCAGAATATGCATTTTAACAGGATCCCAGATGATTCCTGTGCACATCAAAAGTGTGTGCAACATCACTCACTCTAGGAATACATAATACTAGTCAGTGGGTTTGGCAAATAAGAGGAACCCCCTTTACCATCTCTGTGTTCTCCTCCATTTCACTTGTACAAAGATAGAACCCCAACCTTAGCATTATTGTGTGTTATCTGGAGTGATTAGTTCTTAGTGGGGTTAATGTAGAAATACTTTATAGAGAAGATGAGCATCAAGTGTTTAAAAAAATCGGTTTCCCCAGTTTGAGAGCTGCTAACTATGGAAATAGATGAACATTTTTGTGTAAAATTGAAAGAATCCCTGGTGCAAAGAATGGATGTAGGAGGAAGAGAAAGAAAAGTAGGTGCAGAGGAAATGCTAGGTTAGTGCAAAAGTAATTGCCATTACTTTTTATGGCAAAGACCACGAGGTTGGTGCAAAAGTAATCGTGGTCTTTGCCATTAAAAGTAATGGCAATTACTTTTGCACCAGTCTAATAGGATTAGGATCAAGGGCACATATGCAAAGAGCAAGGCTAGATAAGGTCTAGATGGAGAATGATATTAGTAGTTAAAAGCAAAAAACAAAAAAAACTTACTTCTCAAATTAAATGGGCAAACAAATTTGATATGAAGAAAGTTAGGTGCTCTTAGTGAAAATAGTTTTACTACATGGTAAAGACGCAGATTATAATCTGAGGATGGCAAAAATCAAGGCTTTAACAAAAAAGTTAATGGATAAATAGAACCATGGATATAGATTGTTTGCTCATCAAGTTTTACCATTAAGGGAATCACAGCGGGGAAAGAGTTCCCCTGGAAGGGTGTTGGGTTCAATAAGTACCTCCTTAGACCCAGGCATCCAGGATCCCTGCCCTGCCCTGACTCTGTATCTTAGAGGGCCTGGCTTGTGGCTTTCTCTGGTCAGTGGCTTTCCTTATGGTATGAAGGATTCAAGGAATCAAGAGGACATGCCCACTTGGAGTCTTTGGCCCCCTTTTTAGTGCGTGGTCCCGTAACTCAGACTCCAGAAGTCCCCGTGTAAGTGACTCTCAGGTTGTTTCCAAGGTCTGTGAAGACCTCTCTCCTATGGCCTGGGTCTAAAATCCTGAGGGTGTGAGTACATAACTAGTGTCCACATATCCAGGCCCACAGGGTGTGCAATGAGGGTGTTTGTGGGCATTGGATAGTGGTGTGAAGAGTAATAGACTTGTCTTCTGGATTGTCCATACACACGCCTGTGAGGCTCCAGCTATTGCAGGATGGAGGTGGGGACATGAATAGAAGGACGCTAAGCCAAGGGGGAGTGGTGGGAAGCTCCATCATTGCCCTAGGGCTAATATTGGACCCAGTGATGTTCTCAGTCCATTCTGTACTCCATGAATATTTTTCCCCTTAGGGGGAAGATATTTTCATAACTTATGAATTTAATTAATTTTGCTTGGATCTTCAGTTAAAGAAGTTGAATGATACAGAGCTGAATGCAGTATATTTACTGATTCTTCAAACATTCAGAAGGCACCACTATGGTATTACTAAATATTTGCACTCTCACTGCAGATGTGGGACAAATCAGAGTGCTATAGGGGAAGATATGAATTTGACTCAGTCCTTATTTCTAATTCACTTCCATTTTTAGAGAATGTCTTTTATCATGAGAGCCATTCATAATACACTAAAATTAACCACCATGTGATTGTACCATTTACAGTAACATCATGCTTGCGCCTGGCATCTGTGTTTGTCTCCTTGTTAATTCCTCAACCTTTCCATTTATTTTTCGTGTTCACAAAGGTTAATTGACATCGACTACTGTTTATATGAGGAATTCCTTGGTGAGTCTTAGTGGTGGCCACTTTGTAAGGTTTCAGTTCAGTTGAGCAGGAACTTTGATAGTCAATCTGCAAGGCTTTCTGTAAGCCTAGCACTTAATTGAAGTGTACTACCCCTGACTGGGCTGCATTGTCAGGCATGGGGGATGTTTGATGTTTTTGCTTTCTTTTTCATATGGCTTAATCCTCCATACACAGAGTCCCTCTTAGGGTTCTTATGGGCACTTTCCTTTTTGCTAGGACATTATGCTGATAAAACAGTAGTGATTTATTGGTGATGCTCTGATGCCTTGGGCTGAGGTTGGGCAGTATGGATACAATACATCTGTGTACTGCTTTTCACTTGGTATGCAAATTGGCATACATAATGTGGTTTTTACAGAACAACACTGTAAAGCAGGCAGAGCACTACTTCCTCCTACACTGGTCCCTCTGTAGCGATGGGAGACTTAAGGCTCTGGTCACAGTGGTAGGTGATGGAACAACAACCGAGATCCTTCTGACCAGTGCTTATCCCCTACACCGGTGGCACATGGATCCATTTCCGTTGTCATGAGGGTCAGTTGTGCCTGCTGTGGAAGCCCCCAGTGTGCTGTACAATCTGAGAATCAGTGAGCCACACAGATGTTACTTTTTGATTCTGAGTTGGTAATTGGCCCCTAGTTACTCACTTCCCATGCCTTAGGTTTCTGTGGGTGGTGTTTGCGCATTGCTCTCATTTATGTCCACTGGCTTGCCTTTCGAGGCTTAAAAGTATTGTCACCTGTTGTTGTCACTTAAAGACAAAAATATATTTGTCTTATAGCAAAAGGTATAGCCATATATATAGAATGATACATATGTGTGCGTATGTACTATATTTTCTTGTGATTTTTGTATTTATTATCACCAGCTAAAATTGATGTAAAAAGATAGGCTAGTAACAGTTTAGCCTACTTGTTCATGGTTTGCTGGGGGGAAGGGGAATCAGATCAATTTTCCCTTAGATGAGTAAGTGTTTAGGGTGGAGATGTCTGTCTAGCATGGCGCTATCACGCTCTCATAAAATCACCTTTTTATCCTTTGTCCTTTGGATCCAGAGAAATAACATCCATAGTGTCAGGGAAATAGGATTCACTATCCCCATCTAGCTTCCTCTTCCAAGTCCATGGCCAGTACCTTGGCTGAGGCTTCTCAGCAGATCCATGGTGGTCTGTCCCTCAGCCATCTGTGCCTGGGAAACATCTGTAATTGGTGGCCCCAAGGCAGTGCCAAAGCCTCTGGGGATGGGTGGACACCAGAAACATCCAAGTTTCCAACCCTTCTGCCTGACATGGCCTGCCAGCTTCTAACAGAATTCCCTCTAATGCCTCTGCTCACAGTATCAAGGGACTCCCAGATGAGCCTGAAATGGACATGAGCCTACCTCTGCCCATGCTGACATGAGTGTAGGCTTTTCAGGTTAATGGAAGAAACTGGGTGGCTTTGGAGTTCACTTTGTACAGCCCCTGACTGGTTTGATGAGCAGGGATTATCAACAATTTGCCAAGCAGCAAGCATGAGTTTACAAAAAACAAAACCCATAGGTGGAACAATCTTGCCAAACTGCCAGCTATGATATTCTGGGTTTCATTTAATTTTAAATCCATTTACCCCCAGGTGCAAGTGGCATGGAATTACAGTATGCCCTGTGGTCCCTCCCTGGATTTAGGTGTGTGATAGACATCTGCTGATCAGCACTTGTAGAAGCTGAATTCTTATCTAATGCTGTTTGCTGAGAGTCTTGTAGCCAAAGCCTTTTAAATCAAAGGGAATCATCAGAGAGAACAAAAAGTAATCCCCTACCCTTAAGAGGAAGGCCCTTATGCTGTTCCATTAACTGTCTGCCTTAAACATCTGAATGGTTTAAATAACTAGAGTGCGCTTGTCTCCCCGTCTCTGTCGTCATTAGGCAGGATAAGTTTAAACACACAAGTACACATACACACACATGCATACACGCTTCTGTGGGGATATAGCCCATGTCACTATTTGTCATTCATCACAGTATATGAGATCTCTGTTATGAAATGTTCTGTCTCCAAAAACAGATATTGCTTCTCTTTTAGAAAAATATCCTTGGCTGGATCCCTGGAACTTTAATTAAAATCCTTGTTGCTCTTTAAAAAATGTTATTGCATTTCAGACAGCTTGGATGTAAAACAGTGAAGCCAGGAACCAGAACGTTTTGCCGGTGGGATAAGGGACTGTGAACAGATCAAAGGGTTGCCTGGCCTAGCCTGAGAGGTCTCAGGAGACAGCTCCTGGGAGAGACCTGCCACTTAATGAGGGACAGACCATCAGCCCCCCAGGTTTAAAGGTAATTGTCTGAAGCAGTCACAAATTTTCTTCCATTTGTGCCCTTGACATTGTCTGGGTTGTTTTCAATAAAAAGCTAAGAAGATTATTATTAACTAATTAGTTAATTCATTTATGATTTTTGGTCATTTATGGCACTACTTAACATTGATCTCTTCAATAGACTGTGAACCACATGAGAACAGGAGCTACACCTGTTTGTTCACTGCCATGTCTCTGGCACATACCTCAGAATGTGGTAGTGAAAGTAGGTAGGCAATAAACATTTTTGGAATGGATGTAGAGGCCCATGATGTTCTGGATATGAAGGATGGGATATGAAGGTGGCTAAGACATAGTCCTTGTCCTCATGGAGCTTTCAGGCTATTGGGAATATCAAAGGTAATTAGAAATTTTGGTTATTAGGAGTTACTATTTCTTTAGTGACTTATGATGTGCCAAGTACTTTTCAGAGTTTTAACTCTCAAAGGAACTTCATAAGATAGGGTGTTTTTTTTTTCCTTTATAGAGCATGAAACAGTATGAGAGAATTTAAATGGTTTACCCAAAGACACATGGCTACTAAATAGAGAATGCAGTCTTTCAACTTGGACCTATCTGTCTCCAATAATCTTGTTGGTGCTACCACCTTTGAACATTTATCTCTTGGTGTTTCAATGTCAGGATTTTCTGCTTGTTCTTAATAGAGAACTAGAGGAGATTGAAAAACACATTTTTTTTTAAGTAAAGTTACTAAATGGTTTGCATTACATTTATTTGGTCAGATGAGCTTTGTCTTCATAAAATGGGAATGGGAATATCTATCCTATGCTTGTCCCACCATTGTAGTTTGGAAGTAGACAGCTCGTTTGATTGCATAGGCTCATGGCTGGAAATAATTTGCCTCATGATGTGTTATGCCTTGAGTCTCACCTGTATTTGATTTAGATGAGTCTCTGGACTTTAGATAAGACTGATGCTGAAATGAGTTAAGACTTTGGGGCATTTGGGATGGGATGAACATATTTTTCACTGTGAGAAGAACATAAATTTGGGGGGCTAGGGGTGAAATACTATGGTTTGAATGTGTCCCCCAAAAAGCACGTGTTGGAAACCTAATCCCCAATGCAACAGTGTTGGAAGGTGGGGCCTAACACGAGATGATTAGACCATGAAGGCTCTGCCCTCATGAATGGATTAATGCTGTTATCACCAGAGTGCGGTCATAAAAGAGTGAGTTCAGTTCTCTCTCTCTCACTGTCTCTTGCCCTTCATCCTTCCACCATGTTATGATCAGGAAGAAGGCCCTCACCAGGTGTTAGCCCCTTGATCTTAGACTTCTGAGCCTTTGGACCATGAGCTCATAAATATCTGTTCAATATAAATTATCCAGTCTCAGGTGTTTTGTTATACCAGCATAAAACAGACTAAGACAGTACCTGTGAAGGTTAGACTCTTCCTGAGTGAGTGAAGGTAGTGCTGAGTGCAGGGCAGTCAGGTGGAGTGGGGGAAGCAGAGTGAACCCTCTGCTCTGAGCTATTCTGAGCTTTTCTTATTTTTACTGTGGATGAGCTTGCAGGATGTAGATCAGGCGGTGTTGACAGTTTGGGCAGGGGGCAGGCAGACCAGCTGTGGAGGATGCTGTGGCCATATTCTTCTCTTATGTTTCTGAGGAGAGACATGGGACACTCTGCCACCACCAGAGATTTAGGAATAGAGCTGTTCTTGTGGGCACTGAACCCCCTCCTCAGGTTCTTACACTCATTTGAAGAGGATCTGTTGTGGTGGAGCCGGGCGGTAACCAGGCTTCTGGCAGCATGTGACCCCTTGCTTGAAGATGCCAGGATCTACTACTCACTAGGAGGTCCTTTGGGTCTGAAGCTGAGGCAGATGCTGAAGCAAAGGATGAAGGGAATTGGCAGATAATGTGCTTTCTCATGCAAATTCCTCAGTGGTCCTCCCATGAAGAAGGGTAGAAGAATGCTGGGACTCTCGCTCCTCAGGCAGAAGGGACCAGATTTGACTTGCTGCCTGGGTGCCTTTAAGTTAGAAATTCTGAGTTCTTGTCTCAGGTGTGCTCTTGCATAGGGCCGGGATGCCACAGAACTGACTTCCTCTTATGTTTTGGCAGAGGATATATAGACTCAAAGCCTGCCCGTCCCTCTCATTCTACAGATTAAAATCAAACCAAAACAAAACAGAGGCCCAGAGAGGTTATACAAATGAATCAAAAGATTTGGGGTTTCTTTTGCCTTCAGCTTTGGCTTCCAAATCCATTTTCAGCCTTGTGCCCTCAGGCTCTGGGTGAACCAAGGAAATCCAGACCTTCCTGTGGTAGAGGGATCCACAAGAGCAGAAGTGCAGGTCAGCTTGAGCAGCTGTGTTGCTTGAGTCTGGAGGCAGTGGCGGATGGGATGCCTTCCTCCTTGAAAGACTCCAAGGCTCTGTAACAGCAGTTTTGAATTGCAGCTGCTGTTATGGGTGAGAGGGAGGACTTCATCAGAATCGCCTGGAGAGAATTTCAAAACACATGTCCGAACTCTGCTTGCCTCATGCTACCTAGGGTAATCCACAGTGCAAGAGATGGCAGTGAGCATGAATTTTGTAAGTAATTCTGTTGTGTCCATCCCCTGCTGAGTCCCTTGTGGTACTATTTGACAATGGTAAGCCCCTTGAGGGAGTTCTCATCTTAAGGGTCATTGTGTTCTACACAGCATCTGATGTGTAATTCAGTGGATATTTGTTGAACAAATGGATGAAACAAATGGCAGTGGAGAGCTAAGAACAGAATCTAGGCAAACAGGCCTGAGCAGTGGAATGTGAGGGGGACTGGCGGTGCCTCGGTCAATACGTATCAATCGAGCGTGCTTAAAGGTGAGTCTGGCCTTCTGCAGCAGTCTGACCATTGACTCTTTATCAATAAACATAAATACTGTTCTGCCCTTGACCTCAAGAGTTAAAATAATAAATAGCTTAATTGGTCATCATTAATTCCACTTCAAATTTACTATAGGCATGTGTGGCCTTGAACAGAATGACTCCCATGCTCAGCCCAGGCATTTTATCCCCGAACCTCCCAAAGGAGTGTCCTTGGTAAAACAAATAAAATCAGCCTCCCACCTCCTCCCACCCATCAATAGCACGTTTGCTATTGAGTCCAGGCAAATGGCCATTTGCAAGGTTGGATGAGTAGTTAAGCCACACAGGCACAATGTAATATGACAACATTCTTCATGGTAATATTGTCCTCCTCCTCATTACATTTGAATATAGATTGCCACTGTGCAATGCCTTCGACCTCGCTCTCTATTTGTGAGGTTTAGGAGTTCTTCAGACAAGGTGATGTCCACGTGCACTCCTCAGAAATTATTAGCCTATTTGTAAACCTAAACAAAATAACAGCTATTGTCTCTAATAACTTAATTTGCCAAATCTCTTTTCTTCCTATGCTTAATTATGTATAAATTTATAGACTTAAGCCACCTGCCTGCTCAATGCTTGTATATAATCGTACCTCTTAGCTACCACTTAATGTTTCAGGGCTCTTCCTTTATATTCTCTTTGCTTCAAACTGTACATTTAAATATCAGTACTCAGCTCAGCTTCTGAGTATTAAACATTTTTTTTTCTCCACTTCCTTGAAAAGCTGTGAACAAGCCTTTTAGCATTTTATCTGGACCAAACAGTAGTGGTTTTACATGAGAAACGAGAACTCTGCAAGTAAATCTATGTGTTTATATGTCTAAAGTGCATTATAAAAAGAAGCAATAAATCTAGTTTTCTACATAAAAGGAATTAGATTTTCCAGTTTACCTCTGCACTGGGATTAATAAAATGCGCAACAAATAGCTGATGGAATGATCCATTTGAAGTTTGTAAAGGTATCTAGGGAAGCTGGCTGGAGTAGCCTTTTCATTTTTTCAAAAGCAGGATGCCTCTTAATTTTTTGATTCAGTCTTGTTTCTCAATGACTGTTTTAAAATGAGCTGAGAGGCTGTTACCTGCCTGTTTCTGCATGGCTGAGCAAATTCACCCGTAAATCCAAGTTTCTCTTCATTTCCATCACTATACGTCTCCAAATTACAGAGAATTCATTCCTGAGCTGGAGAGGTGCCAGAAGTTTCTCATCTAGCTGTCTGTGGGCTGCCTTTTTCTTTCCCCTCTTTGAGGCTTTCTGATGCCTAGAGTGAGCTCAACTCAAAGGTTTCCAGCCTCACACTCGCCTCACATTCCCCCACAGTCACATTGCGCTCTGTGATTCTGAGGAATACAGTGTGCCAGCATCCGATCCAGTCTCCTTTCACCTGCAGGTGTTCCAGAAACTTCAAAATGCGTCTGGTAATGTATTTGCTTTTCTAAACGTGCCACTTTGATGTGCATTATATGCAGCTGCTTATTATTTTTTAAAAATCTGTCTTCTGAATTAACATGTATGCAAAAAATGTCAAAAAGAGCTTATAGAACAGTGTGGGCTTAATTATTGGTCTAGGTGCGTGTGCATGTGTCCTTGTTAATGTAGGCATGTGTGCATAAATATGTATTATTTATGTATACATGTGTCTGTGCGGACAGATTTCACTAAAGGAATCTCATTGAAAGCAACACTTCCTATGAACATCCAGATTTTCTAGTCAGATCTGTAAATATCTTACACAACAACAGCAAGTAGAGGAAAAATACATTTTTCACACCCATGCAAATGGTATGTTTTAAACACTTATTTAAAAAGCCCTCCTTTCTTGTGTGTGTGTGTGTGTGTGTGTGTGTG
This sequence comes from Homo sapiens, assembly GCF_000001405.40. Lineage (NCBI taxonomy): Eukaryota > Metazoa > Chordata > Mammalia > Primates > Hominidae > Homo > Homo sapiens. The sequence continues at coordinate 159,069,872 of NC_000003.12, forward strand.
TGTGTGTGTGTGTGTGCGTGTGTATGGGGAGGAGGTGTTGATTTTTGAAAATTGGGAGAGAAGAGTTATATTGCTGCTGCACGAGAATTTCTACCCCATGTTACCTGCCTTCTTAAAACTCAGTAAGCACTGAGGGGAAGAGATGTGGTTCTGCTTTGGAGAACCTCAGGGGGACGTTGATCCGCAGTGTTCAGCAGGAATTTTAGGTATTCTAAATACTAGTGCTTGAATAATAAGTAGATGGGGTAGATTTGCTATAGCCAAATCCTTCTATGTTTTCTGGCTTGTAGGAATCACATTCACACTGTACATTTAGGATCTGCATGTGTTTATTGAACTCTAGTAAAGCAGCGTGAGAGTGCAGGCTCATAAATCACATTATTTATTTGCTAGTGTTGGGTGCTAGATTCTAAGATTAAGAGATTACTTAGCAATTAATAATATATTCAGCATCCCTTGTCTCATTGGGTGAGATTTACATCCTTGGGACTTGCTCTTCTAGTTATAAAGATGAATTATTTAAGGTTCATACTTAATTGCTATTTCAAATTCTTAAGCTAGAAAGATACTTGCAACACTATATTTAAAAGACTTATTTTGAAAAATGTGTATGTATATTTCTAACTGGTGGTGAGCTAATTATGACTACAATGTGCTATATGCTTAAAAATAACTGATCTTGAGTATTGCTTACTTTTGTAATAGAAACTTGTTTTCTGGTCTTCAGATTATAATAATTCTTTCACTTTGCATTATGCTCTTTTTGAGATCAATATTAACTAATTTTTGTAAAGAAGAGAAAATGAGGTAGCAAGTCAAATAGCATTCACAAAGTAGGTTTTCTTTGAACTAGTAGTTTTCTAAGAAATTAAAATAGTTTTTCACAAGTAGGTTTTTTAAATGTACGTTGGGTAGTGATACTTGAAAATGGAAGCATCTTAAATATTAGCTTGTTAAGTGGAGCAGATTAGGATAGTATTAATGCCATCTTGTAGTTTCTTAATATATTTAAGATGATGTAGTAAATAGGTTAATTATTTTATATTGGCTATTATTTTTGCTTCATGATAATGATTATAAAAGCAACAATTGCATTGGATTTACTTCGCATTGTGGACAATTGTAAACTTCAGTAAAATAGTTGACTGAGTTGTAACAATAAAAATGAATATTATTAAGGTCAGTGTGAAAGCTACTCTTACTTTTTAGCATCCAAGATCTAATATTTTATCACATATAGAGCTGTGTACTTATAGAGGATTATGTATATTTTTAAAAATTTACATAACTCTAAATGCTGATTTTATCAACCATGTTCAATTTATAATTAAAGTATAATAGTACAGTAAAAATGCATTTCAGTATGTAGAAATGGCCCCTTAAAACAGCATATTATATTAGGAGCCATTAAAAATCTGTGTAGGCTATTAATGTTATACTCATATATTGTTCTGTGTGTAACTGATTTCTATTTTAGGTCCTATTCATTTCCAATGTTGTAAATGAACCTAAGATTGTGTCTTATTCAATGTAGGAATCTTGCCTTGAATGTAAATATCTTAATGAAGGTTTTAAATTGAATGAATAGGATGGCTAAAGATTTACTAGCACCTTTTTTCACGTGCTATATATGCATAAATACATATATAGAAATATTAATCTATGTAAAAATATTCCTTGCCTTCAATCACATTACAAAATACCCTCACTTTACTTTTGAAGTCAATTATTTTGTTTGAGGTTTCATAGGTGTAAAAAGAGGTTTTGTTTTTCAGAGCTTATGTAGTACTGTGTGGTAAAAGAAAAACATTCAGTGCCATTTTGTAGTGAATATCATATGTACTAAAAAGTGAGAGGAAAGAATGCTGCATTTGCCATCTGTCTCTAAGTATGACCTCCTACTGGCTTTAGACATATTGTAGACCAGGCCTTTATTTTATGAAACAAATTTATATTACCCCAAAATACCTAAAATGATTGTAAAACACTTACTTCCCCTCATACAATAGTTTCCCTATTATGTGACCAGGACTGTCTTAACAAACATTTTATTTTTAAGGCTCACATATAGAATGAAGACATAAAAAATATAATTTGTAGGCTGACCATGCATCCATAGCTGAAAATATTCATCCTTTAAGTAAGCATTTATTAAGCATCACATTGCCAAGCTGGCTTCTAGCTTTGGGACAAAAGGAGGTGTCAAGGAGGGAAGCTCCTGTTTAAAGATACCATTCCTGCTATTTCATTATTAACCATTATTTATGGAGGCAAGACACCTTCAATATGGTTTGAGAATTGCATTGGATTTTTTGTTTTTTGTACTACTTAGTTTCAAAAGGACAAAATCCTTGGGAGCATTTTCCAATAGAGAAGAACAATCACAGTTAGGGTGGGGAGGGCATGCTGGTCAAGAAAGACTCTCTGGAGAAGATGAGTTCTCAACCAAGCGGGGGAGGAGGTTATTAGCAAAAATTGATAAAAAGGAGAGTAATAGGAGAATTTGGAGTGGATGGAAAAGAAAGGAGAAGTAAATCACGGGAGGAGACAAGAAGGTGATGGCATTGTATGGAGAGAGGAGCCGTATTGGAAGTAAGAGGAAATCAAATTTAAAAAAAATTACAGAGTTGGGCTTTAAATTTTTCAAAATTAATATTCACTAACCTTATTAGAGTCTGTGGAAAATTATTTGATTAAGTAAACATTTCTCCTATTTTGTTATGCCAAACAACCTCTGTAAATGCATTTTAAAATCTACATAATAATTTTAATTCATATTTATTGAGTATTTACTATGGGCCAGCTATGGGCCAGGCACTGCACTAAATACTTTAAATGCACTATCTTATATAGTCCTCATTGACTATTAATATCCACATTCTACTGGTGAAGAAACTGAGGTACCGAGAAGTTTAATTAACTTGTCTGAGTTTGTATAAGGTCAGAAATGGAGGAGTGGGATTTGAACCCAGATTCTAGAGCCCAGCCTTCTAGCCACTATACAAAAAAATCACAGTTAGCTTATTTCATCTCTAGTTCCAGGTCCAGACTGGTATGGCTAGTTGTTCACTGGGTGTGTCATTTAGGTTCTCTGGGAAGAGATTCTGAGACAGAATTAGTAGTGCAAGTGGTTTATTTGAGAGTAAAGACAAATGGGGAAGGAAGCAAAATTGGGCAGGGAGAGCCTTCTGACCACACAATGCAGATATGACAAAATCTCACCCAACCCAATGGCAACCTCTGGAGGGAAGATTGCCCATTAAAGGAGTCTCACAGTGGGCAGAAATGACCAGGCCTAGTACCCCTGCTATGCTCAATCACTGGCTGGGGGCTCCCCGAAAGAGCATGGCTGTGGCTTAAAAGTTGAGGAAGATCCTGAAAGTCCTGTAGCTGGATGTTGTCAGCTAACTGCACTTCTTGCAGCTGAATAGCAAGTTCTTTCTTGAAGGAAGATCTGAGCAGTGTACCTCCCTGGCTGCCAAGGTGATATCTCTACAAAATGTATCATAGGAACTTAGCGGTAAGGTGAGCTAGGTGCCTAGGGTGAAGAATTTAAGGAAGTACCTATGCTTTGGGTCATTCAAGTGCTGAGTGGGCACCTCAGAGTAAGTGTCTCCTTAAGTTTTGCACTCTCAGGCATTTTGCCTGTCTCACCCAGTCCCCAGAACCTCCCATTCAACACACTTAGAATTGATCTCATCATAGTCCCTCCAAATGTACTCTTTCAGTCTTATCTCTCAGGAAAATCCAAGAACTGCTCAGTGCATCCTCCCACTAGTCTCTTTGCTCCCATCCAATTCAGTCTCTCCACTGCCACAGCATCATCTATGTTAAATACCACTCTGATTTATAATTCCAATGCATAATACTCTTCATTGGTTCCCTGTAGCCTAAAGAATGAATTCCAAGGTTCTTTCTGTGGCATGTAAAGACCCTGTGTGATCTGACTGCATGGACAATCTCGACTGAGGGCTGAAGCAATTTCAATGCTTATATGTAAGGAACATTAGAATTGTTTATTTTTAAATATAGAATAGGTCATATTTAATTCTGGGGTTGAAGGTTGTGTCGGAATTTGTAGAGTTAAGATTTCCCATATGGAGGAAGCAGAATCAGATGATTTGGAGGTGATTAGAAGGAATGGGGGTAGTTTCACTGAAATTTGGAGAATATATGGAAATTAATGGAAGATATACCTGCAAAAGTAAATTGGAGCTGGCCGAAGAACTGCGGTCATGGAGTTTAACTTTTCTTTTGAAGGGATCTGATCAGAGAAGTAACATGATCAAAATAGGCTTGCGTGAAGGTGAATGAGGCTGTGATGTGGAGGCTCCACTGAATGGAGAGCAATCAGGAGTCAGGGAGACCAGTAAGAAGGCTGTGTTGCTATTCCAGGTGAGAAGAAATGAGGTCTTGAGTTAGGAATGTAAAAAATAAAAAAGACATGAAAAATATGAAGTAAGGATAAATAGGATTTTAAGTCTTATTAAAAGAAGACGTGAGGGGAAGATAGTACTCAAAAGGGACTTAAACATTTGAATTGAGTGATGGGAGACTTATGTATAAGAACCAGAAATGGACAGGAGGAAGATCTTGTTGAGGAAAGATGACAAGGGTCTAACAGGTGTCTGCAGATGAACCATCTCATTTATTTCCCCAAATGAATATTACACAAATCTTTCATTTTTCTTTCATCTCAGGCACTGCTCGTTCAACTCCTCAAATTTTGCCTGATTTTCAATTTACTGTCATTTAGAGATTTTCACGATAATCCTTTAAACAAAAGATTAAGGCATCAAAGACAAAAGTTATGTTTACAGACACCAACAATTCTAACAAAATTTAGGTTCTTTTTTCTAAATTTCAACTGTAGAAACACCTTTTTGGGATCCACACAATTTCTTACAGCCAGTTTGAGTAACGAATTATTATTATATTTTATTTTTTAAGAAGTTGTTTGGCTTCATACAGACCTGATCCTGCCCAGCAGAGGCTGACAAGACTGGCCTATCTAATTAAAGTTCTTTGTTCCTGGGGTAGATAGAGGAGCCAACACTGTTATCATGAGTTGCAGACATCTTCTCATAGAGGAAATCTGAAACTGCTGCCTCCCACTGCCCAACTAACAAAGGGACAAAGGTAATTGATTTAACATGAACCAAAAAAGACTTTGCAAATAAAGATTCACATTATACATGATTGTGACACATAATTAAAAACTCAATTTTCAATAAAATGGAAATAATGGCAAAGACTTGACGCTAAATAAGCTTTAGGTACAGAAATGAATAGTAAGTTTTATAGGAATTTGCAATGCAATATGAGAAGCTCAAAGCAAGTATTTAATTGCCCTGAAAACTGAACAACATAACAGTCACATTTGCATATTCTTCCAGGCTGACTTGTTTTACTGTAGAGTGCAGGAAAACCCTTGTAGGAATATTACATTAGTATCCATGGTGTACAAAAAAAATTTTTTTAAGAGATAATCAAATTAACCTCCAAATCTGACTGAATAACTGCCTACATTGACTTGTGCCTAACAAGCTGTGACAATCAAAAGATAAGCTGGTAACATATTGTTTGTTTTGTGACAGTGATAACAGAGATCTAATGCCTCATTCCTCACTAGGGCTGCCAGACATAGAAATACAGGATTTGCACACTCTGACCTCCAGAGCATAGAGCTATCGTAAGCCAATGAGTATAAATTCCCTTTTTTGTCTCAGACTTAGACATAGGACAATGTGTTTTCCTGATTTCATTAAAAAAAATGAATAAGATACTGAAACATAAAAGGGAGGGGTCTGTGTATGTAGACATTTGTAATTCTGTGCTCTAACTCAAAACTTTAGGGAAGCGATCTGTATGGACGATGTTTAATCTTCATGGCAGATGAATGAGGCAGGCACTGTTGGTTACTGCCTATCTTACAGATGAGGAAAACTGCTAGAGAGGCTTGATAACCTGTTGAAGGTAACACAGTGGTCAAGTAGCAGAGTGGATTTGGACCCAGGGCCTGAGCTCTTAGACATTGAGCTGGGCATGGAGGGTGTGAGCAGAAGCAGTGATTGGCTGGTAGGGTTTGCCCACCCAGAAGGCTCTTCTCTGAAGCTCTCCATCCTTGGGCCGCTCTTCTTACCTTTCCTGGGCTCTCAAACTTTCCTGTATACTGTAAGGAAATACAGTTGTAAATTCAGGAACCAGCACCAAACCTATTTTTTTGATGGACTGATAATGAATTTCTCACTGAGCTTAAAAATATGTTGCTACCATATTCTAGTGATGTATGTCTCTGCAGTGTGGGAGTCCATCTGCTCATCCTCACCTAACTATATCACTCTTTTAAAATGGGCTTTGTTGATACTTGAATTGGGAGACTTTAATTCTGCCTTCAATTTTAGTCCACACTGGACAATTTGAGCTCATACTTTATGGGAAATAGCAAATTGCCACTATATGCTACTCTATGACCATGTATATGTAATTAAATATACATGAATATTCCAACTATATAGCAGTCTGATGAAGGAAGAACTAGATGTGATGGAGCTCCCTGGTAGGTTCTGTTTGTTAGCAAGGATGACCCCATTTAAAACCCCTTATATGTCTCATTCTGAAGTCTTGATTTTCTTATCTGTAAAATGAATATTATGACAACTAGTTCCTAAAAAGAAGCATGGTGTAGTGGAATAAATACAGGCTTTGGAATCAGACATGCCCCAGTGCACATCCCCTTGCTGTCACTTTGGAAAGCCACTTTAATATCTCTGGAACAGGAATAATACTTCTTAGTATTGCTGTGAGGATAAGATGGTGCATGTGTCAGTCCTGGCATAGGGTAGGTATTCAATAAATGTGTTTAGCATATCATTAGGAGCACAGAGACAGAATGCATAAGTGGATAAAAGCACCTGACCCTGGACCCAAACTTCCTAGGCTCAAATCTGAGCATTATCATTTATCAGCCGAGTGACCTTGGGGAATTAACTTCTCTGTGCCTTAGTTTTTTTGTCTATAAAATGGAAATGACTAAAGCACCTTTTTAATAGGGTGGTTGGGAATTATAGGAGACTTAAGGTATATAAAGTACTTAGAACAGTGCCTGGCATGCAATAGACACTCCATGAGTGTTAAGCCCCTCTTTTGAGATTTATTTCACTTCAACGTGATTTCTTCTCAGAGCTCAAGGCCTGGAGATTCACAGTACATTTAGGGGCAGGCATTTCCAGTTTCTTGTTATCTAAGACCTAAAACAATACTTGTTTTAATCCAGTGTCTGCTGAAAATTGATAGTATCCATCTTAGTTTAATAGGTTCTCATATCATCTATACCCATTGTTGGCAAAGGCGGGGCTCTCAATAGTAAGTGTGGGGGAAAAGCAAATTAGTACAACCAGCTTTAGATGGTAATTTGCATTTAAAAAATCTATCAACACTTGATTAGCACCTCCCTTTTGACCTATCAATTTTACTTATAAGAATTTTTCTACAGGTGAGCTCACATAACTGAGCAAAGACATGTGGTGAAGTTTTGGTTGCAGCATTGTTTGTGTTATTAAAAATCCATAAACAACTAAGTATTCAGCCAGAGAAAAATATTGAAATAATTTATGTTATATCCATGCAATGGAATACTGCAGAGGAGAGAGCTTAAAACTGAGCAATACATGAGAATATTAAAAAGTATACAAACATACTTTTAGGAAAAAAGCATTTTGGGGGCAGTCTATAGCATGAATGATACTGTGTTAAAAATAGTTATATATTTACATCCATTTGCTTGTATAGTCATAGTAAAATTCTCAAAGCATGTATGAGAAACTGGTGTTTACCATTGAAAGTAGAATGTATGTGGAGTGAGTACTTTTCCATTTCACTTTATGTACCCTCTTTGAATTTTAAAACATGGGCATATATTGCTTTTACAACTTAAAAAAAGTTATTTTTAAAAATAGTCAATAAAAAATTCCTTTGTTCCCTTTACTGCCATATATTAGTTTTTTTAAAAAATTAGTCCTTCTTGCAAATGTAATCCTAAGCCTTGATGTAATATTTTTGAGTAATTGAGCCAACTATCATCTTTAGTTAAAACAGGACGTGTATCAACTCACGGCCAAAGCTCTAATTTGCTCCCAGGGAGCACAGACCAAAATGACTAAGGAAATACCTTAACATCAAGTCACAGGAGACTCTTAAGTCCTGTGGCAAAATTTCCTGCATTTCAAAAATTCATGCACTTAGAGAGGAAACATTAAATCAAAAGCATTAGATGGGGGCAAGGAGCATTGAGTCAATGACTTTTCCTCAGGACTTATTAATGCTAAACATGGGGAAATATTACACAGGGGACTTTTTTACATTAAGGTTTGTCTGTATTTCTAAAACCCCTCACTCGGTCTTTTGCAAAATGCTATATAAAAGTTACATTGCTTTTGGGTTTTGAGGGTGGAAGTAATTTGCATGAGGAGTAATCAAGGTTCCTTGCCCTTTGTACTTTCAAAAGTACCTATACACACATTGTCTTATTTGATACTCACAAACAAGGTATTTAGGACAAGAATAAAGTTCATTTTCTACATAGGGATCTGAGGTTTGGAAAAGTTAAGTGACAAGCAAGTCAGCATGGAGCTGAACACAGAAGGACTCTTGGCTGTGTCTTGGCCCACCCGCCCCCCGCCTTTTTTTTTTTGCCACCAGCAGTCAAGGGCATGGCTATACAGAAGAATCACTCCTATGGTTGTGAAATGTGAAGTGGTTTAGTATTTTCTTGGAATTACTTTTAACTCTGGTCTAGAAAGACCCAGGAATGGCAAATTGAACTTTCTCCCCAAAGTGAATTATAAACATCCTAATTTAATTGGTTAAGGAACCTCTAATAAAATCCAGGTAGATCTAGTTTCTCATTTTGCCTCTAGTCCTTACTAGCCATATAATCTTGGGCAAACTGTTTCCTCATCTATAAAATGAGGATAATGATAGCTTTAACCTTCCATGGCTGCTGTTAAGATTTTAAATGAAATAATGTGTGAAAAGTGCTTGGCAAAGTGCATGGTAGATAGCAGAGGGTCAATAAACACCCATGGCAATAATAATTATTAATAATATGATAACTAAATCAGGGTCCAGGTCATTGTGGCAGGCAGGGTTCTGATAGAGGCCAGAACTTTTGTCTACTTGGAGGTGACAGCCAGGAGCTGCATTCCAGAGTGGGTGCCAATCAGCTTCTTCTGTTTTGAAGGATTCTTCCCTGGAAACACAAAGAACCAACTAAGCATGGGCAGGAAAGCTACTTTAAACTTCCCTGCATGTCATTGTGGGGGCTTGGGCATTTCTGACTGAAGAGAATACCCCCAGTTTAAAACAGAGTTCACCACCTTTCCAGTTTATGATCAACAGTAAGACGAGGGAGCAGTCACCTCCCCTAAAAGGGCAACCTGATGATCTTCTTGCTCTGGGGAGTTGGTCTTTAGCCTCCTAAAATTCAACTTTAAAAATCAGATTTTGGCTGAAATCTGAGAAGCCAGAGTTCAGAATCTAGATAATAAGCAATGAAAGGTCTATTTGCTAGCTATTTAGCTTAAAAGTATTTTACTAATTTCTCATCTGAGTTTTTAAAAATTATTTTTCTTTATTACACAGTTTATACTTACTGAAAAAAATATACAGAATCAAGATGAAAGAAAATAAAAATCCTTAGAAGCATTTCATATTCATTTTGGTATATAGCCATTGAAACTTTAAAAAATAAATATGTTTTAACGAAAACTCTAAAGCACTGAATGCACAGTTTATGACCTCTCAAAATCTAGGAATATATCATGTACATCTTTCCATGTCAATACATTTTTTCCTATGATTTCATTTTCAATGGTTGCTTAGTATTTGATCGGGTAGACATTCCATAATTTAATCTTTGGATCTTAAATGCTTAGGTTGTTTTCTTCCTGCAAGAAAAATTCTTGAAAAATTATTGCACAAATCTTTATTTTTTTATAAAAAATAAATTCCTAAAAGTGGAATTTTTAGGTCAAAGAGTAAATGCATTTTAAAGGGTTTTGATGTCAAATTGTCTTCCAGTTAAATTTGCCAATTTTACCCTCATTATTAGTACAAGCATATGATTAATGACTATTTAGGTAAACATGACTTCCATTTATTTATTGCAAAAGTTGAATACCTTTACAATAGACTGTATTGCTGCACCAGAAATAAAGAAGATTTCTTGCTGACACCAACTCCTACTTTTGTTTTTATAATCCAAACACAATATATCTTAAGACAGTATGTTAATTAATTCTATTTAGGAGCTTGGTAATCATGATCAGTAGAATAAACTTTGCTTTTGGTGGAATATAATGGAAAATGTAGAAATAATTTGGAGGAAAAGTTACTATGAGCACACTTCCCTGGAACCCATTAATTCCACCCACATACCCTTTTTAAGGTGTGAGAATAAAACAGTCAGGGGCGTATAAACTCTTCCACTGTGGTTATCATCACATCAATTTTCTCTATGGTTGGAAGTAACCCTGCCTGATCCCTTCTCCACCACACTAGGCTTCACAGTAGAAACATGAAGATTGGAACCTTTTCAGCAGAAATTACTCTTGATGACACCAGCCCCGCTGTCAGAGTAATTCCTGCTGGAAAGAAGGCATCTGAATAATTGGTCTAATAAACCGCGTTAGTGTTTCATCTTGGCAAAGGATTAATTAGGGGAAGAGAAACTAACATTTATTTGGGTTGCTATTTGACAGGCCGTTTATTATTACATTATTGGATTTAATATACCCTACCAACTTATGAGGTAGGTATTGCCGTAGGCATTTTACAGTGAAAGAACAGAAATTCAGTCAAATAAAGTATCTTGCCTAAGGCCACACAGCTAGTGAGCTGCAAAGGTGAGATTTGAACCTGGGCTCCCTGCTTCGGGAGTCTGTGTTCTTTATACTGTTCCTTCTCACTGGTTGTAGAAGTCTGACTGTCTCTCCTCTAGAATAGTGATTGTAAGTATTTAGCCAACTAAACTGCAGGTTTCCTCTTAAAATCAGTATGTCAGGTTTACTTAGAGCACTCAGAATGCTGAGTCTGTTTAGAAACTTTTGTAGGCCAGAAACAGAAAATCTGCTAAACTGGCCAGACAATAAAGAGTTTATTGTCTTAGGTAACAAGATATCCTGAGACAGAGAGACTCCTGCCTTTTTTCAGAGGCTCAGTGATTTCATCATGGACTCAAGTCCCCCATCTTGCTGCTCTGCCATTCTCAGTGCTGTCTTGTAGGTGTCTTTTATTGTGTGATGACTTCAGAAGCTCTGAGTGCAACATCTTCATGAATACAGAGACAGGAAAATGAAATGGCTCCTCCTCACACATCCGTTTTCTTTTGTAAGAGCAAGACAAACTTCCCAGTAGACTCTCTCTGGCGCCTCATTGCCCAGGACTGTGCCATAGGCCCCTTCCTAAACCAAACATTGGCATTGGGAATGACTTAGGCCAAGATTCACCTGAGGTTGGGGAGGGTGAATGCTGATATCAGAGCCAGGCTTTGTGGCAGGAGGAACCACCAAAAATACTGCCAATACAGCATTCGAGAGATTTTGAGATTTCTTTTTGTAGTTAATTGTGTATATATTCTGGGATTCTTCAGTGGTATAAAAGTATACTGTTGCTTTTCTAGATGGTTTTATTTTTATATAGCTACCAACTACAAATGAGCACATCATTTTTTCAGTGTGGTTGACCAAATCCTTCCCATTTCCATCACCTTCTCCAATATAATTTATATTCTTCTTCTTTACCCAAATGTTCATCTATTCTAACTCTTCTTCACAGTCCTTCCGAATACGACTTTTTCCAAGAATGTGGGGAAAGTATGATTTTAATGCAAAATGAAGAAGAACCCAATATTCCCTGTCTATTAGAGTTAGTGTAATTTTTGCCCTTAAACAAAAAAGAGTATTGTCTTATTGGAGAGACTTAAGTAGAATAAACATACTTTTCTGTCATTAATAAATAATCTGATCATCTTGTATTTCAGCAATTCATTTAACCCTCATGCTTGTATTCAAACAAAACAAAAATTGAAGTGGAGGGATGTCCATTAACTGCCAAAATAATTAGTTCAGTAAAACAACTTGTTGATTCAAGGGGAAAGGTCAGTTATTTTTTTCATTGTATTGGCTTATTAAATTTGAACAGCCAATTTAGTTCAAATGTTCATCAAAATCTATGATGTACTAACATTGTGGGAAAGTAAGAGGAGCTATAGAAAATCTTACACAACCTGGTAGAGAAGAAGAATAAATAACCAACTTAGAAAAAGTATCTATAATAAACTATTACATAAGATACAACAAAGATATATGAAAATTATAACATCAATAACAAATGTATTGAGCACTGATTATGGCCTAGATTGTGCTTCTATTTGCTTTACAGGTATTAACTCATTTAGTTCCCAAACAACTCTATAAGTTTTTTTTTTTTGTTAGCCCTATTTTACAGATGAAAAAACAGAGGCAGTAAAGAAGCATAAGGAGAGTTTCATGGGAATTTGGATGAGGATGCAATTCTTCCTGGGAAGTTAGGGGAGCAAGTGTTTTAGGGGAAAGATATGTGAAAAAGGTGACCTTCCAGCTAGTGTTGAGGCGAGAGGCCCAGGAAAAAAAAAATGGCTTTGTAGTGGGGAAAAATGGCATCTGCAAAGCATCTCTGAAAGACCTTTGTGTGTCCTGTGTGGCTGAAGCACTGTGCAAATATGTGGAGGTTAAGGAAAGGGAAGCTGTGGTTGGGTTGTCTAAATGGTGTATGCCCAGCTAAAGGGCTAGAGGTCTGTCATCATGAGTCAATACCCATCTAAGTTGTTTATGCAGGAGAGTGACATGATGAGATGTGGCTTTAAGAAAATGATTCTGGGACAGATAGAGACAACCAGATTAGATGGGGGAGGACATGAAAAGGAAGAGGGAGACCCACAGGCTCTATAACCCCTCTGTGAATAGCAATGTCATTGTTCAAAATGTGAGAGAAATCTGATATCCTTCAGCAAGAACACGAACCTCGACCACATGCCTTATACAAAAATTACCTCATAATGGACCACAGACTTGAATGTAAAATGGAAAACTATAAAAAGTGTAGACAAAAATAGAAAAATTTTGAAACCTCGGATGAGGTAAAGCCTTCTTAAACTTGTCACCAAAAGCACTATTCATAAAAGAAGAAAACTGTCAAATTGGACATTATCAACATTAAAAACTTTTGTTCTGTGAAAGACCTTGTCAACAGAAAGAAAAAGACAAGCTATAGCCTGGGGGACAATATTTGCAAATGGCATATCTAACAAAGGAATTGTATCTAGAATATATACAATGAACTCTTTCAACCATAAATAACCCAAATAATCCTTTTGGAAATTGGACAAAATACATATACATACATTTCACTTGAAGAGGATATATAGATGGCAGATAAGCACATGAAAGGATGTCCAACATCATTAGCCATTGGTGAAGTGCAAATTAAAATGACAGTGGGATATCACTATGTATCAAATCAGAATGGCTAAAATTAAAAGTAGTGATAACATCAAATGCTGATGAGGATGCAGAAAAACTGGACCACTCAGACACTGGTGAGAATATAATGTGGTACAACCACTCTAGAGTAAAATATGGCAATTTCTTACAGAACTAAAATGTGCTTACCATGCAACAGTATAATTGCACTGTTGGACATTTATCTCACAAAAATGAAAACTGTATTCACATAAACAACTGTACACAAATGTACATAGCAGCTTTAGTCTTAATAGCTCCAAACTGGAAACAACTCCAGTATACTTTAATGTGTGACTGGTTAGTCAAACTGTGGTGTGTCATAAACTGGAATATCATTCTGTGGTATTCTCCACTGAGTGAAGAAAAACAGTATCAAAAAATTATATATTGTATGATTCCATTCATATAACATTCTTGGAGTGACAAAATTATATAGATGGGGAACAGATTCATTGTTGCCACAAGTTGGGAAAAGAAGAGGGAAGGAGGCGGGTGGGCCGTAAAAGGGTAAAAGGAGGGATCCTTGTGATGGAACTGTTCTGTATATGGACTGTGGTAGTCGTTACATGAACCCATATATGTGATAAAATTATATAGAACTAAAACCACACGCACACATATACAGTGCGTGTAAAACTGGTGAAACTTGATTAAGCTTGGTGGATTGTATCAATATCAATTTTCTGGTTGTGATATTATACTATATTTATGTAAGATGTCATCATTGGGGGAAACTAGAGAAAGAGTATACAAGATTTTTCTCTATTATTTCCTACAACAAAAATTGTATGAATCTACAATTATCTAAAAATAAGTAAAAAAAAAAATAGGGAGAAAAATGAGTGTACTAAAAGAAGATAAATTCGGTTTGGAAATGTTGAGTTTGAGAAGCTAGAAGTCTAGTAGCATGTTCTTAGGACAGTTTTAGAGTGGAAGAATGGAAGACTAATTTGAAGATATTGGTAAATCTGGGAGTTGTTTGCATAAAAATAGGGAAGTCTTTGATGAGCTTGCCCAGCGAGTGAGAATAAAGCCATAATCATAATAAGAGCTCACATAATTGACCTATCACTGTGAGACATTGTGCATCCTGTAGACATGTTCCTTATTCACTCTTCACAACAATCCTATGATGTAGCTACTATTATTATATCCACTTTACAGATGAGGAAACCAAAGCCTAGAAGGGTTAAGCAACTTGCCAGGGTCACACAGCTGGTAATCAGAGGAGCTAGTCTATGTGACTCCAGAGGTTACCTTCCCTCCAGCATGAAAGAAAAGCACTGAATAAAAGCACAGGAATATGATCATTTCAAGTTTTGGCAGAAACTAGAAAAACTCATGAAAATGACAGAGGAGGTAACCCCATTAAGACCCAGGTTTTATATCCTGAGTCTTGATGGGGATTTACTCTAGTCCTGTCTTTCGGGTCTTGGAGGCACATCCTAGTTACTTGTTATCAAGGGGAATGCATAAGTTCTTTTTTTTTTATTATTATTATACTTTAAGTTTTAGGGTATATGTGTACAATGTGCAGGTTAGTTACATATGTATACATGTGCCATGCTGCTGTGCTGCACCCACTAACTCGTCATCTAGCATTAGGTATATCTCCCAATGCTATCCCTCCCCTCTCCCCCCACCCCACAACAGTCCCCAGAGTGTGATGTTCCCCTTCCTGTGTCCATGTGTTCTCATTGTTCAATTCCCACCTATTAGTGAGAATATGCAGTGTTTGGGTTTTTGTTCTTGCGATAGTTTACTGAGAATGATGGTTTCCAATTTCATCCATGTCCCTACAAAGGACATGAACTCATCATTTTTTATGGCTGCATAGTATTCCATGGTGTATATGTGCCACATTTTCTTAATCCAGTCTATCATTGTTGGACATTTGGGTTGGTTCCAAGTCTTTGCTATTGTGAATAATGCCACAATAAACATACATGTGCATGTGTCTTTAAAGCAGCATGATTTATAGTCATTTGGGTATATACCCAGTAATGGGATGGCTGGGTCAAATGGTATTTCTAGTTCTAGATCCCTGAGGAATCGCCACACTGACTTCCACAATGGTTGAACTGGTTTACAGTCCCACCAACAGTGTAAAAGTGTTCCTATTTCTCCACATCCTCTCCAGCACCTGTTGTTTCCTGACTTTTTAATGATTGCCATTCTAACTGGTGTGAGATGGTATCTCAATGTGGTTTTGATTTGCATTTCTCTGATGGCCAGTGATGATAAGCATTTTTTCATGTGTTTTTTGGCTGCATAAATGTCTTCTTTTGAGAAGTGTCTGTTCATGTCCTTCGCCCACTTTTTGATGGGGTTGTTTTTTTTTTCTTGTAAATTTGTTTGAGTTCATTGTAGATTCTGGATATTAGCCCTTTGTCAGATGAGTAGGTTGTGAAAATTTTCTCCCATTTTATAGGTTGCCTGTTCACTCTGATGGTAGTTTCTTTTGCTGTGCAGAAGCTCTTTAGTTTAATTAGATACCATTTGTCAATTTTGGCTTTTGTTGCTATTGCTTTTGGTGTTTTAGACATGAAGCCTTGCCCATGCCTATGTCCTGAATGGTAATGCCTAGGTTTTCTTCTAGGGTTTTTATGGTTTTAGATCTAACATTTAAGCCTTTAATCCATCTTGAATTGATTTTTGTATAAGGTGTAAAGAAGGGATCCAGTTTCAGCTTTCTACATATGGCTAGCCAGTTTTCCCAGCACCATTTATTAAATAGGGAATCCTTTCCCCATTGCTTGTTTTTCTCAGGTTTGTCAAAGATCAGATAGTTGTAGATATGTGTCGTTATTTCTGAGGGCTCTGTTCTGTTCCATTGATCTATATGTCTGTTTTGGTACCAGTACCATGCTGTTTTGGTTATTGTAGCCTTGTAGTATAGTTTGAAGTCAGGTAGTGTGATGCCTCCAGCTTTGTTCTTTTGGCTTAGGATTGACTTGGCGATGCGTGCTCTTTTTTGGTTCCATATGAACTTTAAAGTAGTTTTTTCCAATTCTTTGAAGAAAGTCATTGGTAGCTTGATGGGGATGGCATTGAATGTGTAAATTACCTTGGGCAGTATGGCTATTTTCACGATATTGATTCTTTCTACCCGTGAGCATGGAATATTCTTCCATTTGTTTGTATCCTCTTTTATTTCCTTGAGCAGTGGTTTGTAGTTCTCCTTGAAGAGGTCCTTCACATCCCTTGTAAGTTGGATTCCTAGGTATTTTATTCTCTTTGAAGCAATTGTGAATGGGAGTTCACCCATGATTTGGCTGTCTGTTTGTCTGTTATTGGTGTATAAGAATGCTTGTGATTTTTGTACATTGATTTTGTATCCTGAGACCTTACTGAAGTTGCTTATCAGCTTAAGGAGATTTTGGGCTGAGACAATGGGGTTTTCTAGATATACAATCATGTCATCTGCAAACAGGGACAATTTGACTTCCTCTTTTCCTAATTGAATACCCTTTATTTCCTTCTCCTGCCTAATTGCCCTGGCCAAAACTTCCAACACTATGTTGAATAGGAGTGGTGAGAGAGGGCATCCCTGTCTTGTGCCAGTTTTCACAGGGAATGCTTCCAGGTTTTGCCCATTCAGTATGATATTGGCTGTGGGTTTGTGATAGATAGCTCTTATTATTTTGAAATATGTCCCATCAATACCTAATGTATTGAGAGTTTTTAGCATGAAGGGTTGTTGAATTTTGCCAAAGGCCTTTTCTGCATCTATTGAGATAATCGTGTGGTTTTTGTCTTTGGTTCTGTTTATATGCTGGATTACATTTATTGATTTGCATATATTGAACCAGCCTTGCATCCCAGGGATGAAGCCCACTTGATCATGGTGGATAAGCTTTTTGATGTGCTGCTGGATTTGTTTTGCCAGTATTTTATTGAGGATTTTTGCATCAATGTTCATCAAGGATATTGGTCTAAAATTCTCTTTTTTGGTTGTGTCTCTGCCTGGCTTTGGTATCAGGATGATGCTGGCCTCATAAAATGAGTTAGGGAGGATTTCCTCTTTTTCTATTGATTGGAATAGTTTCAGAAGGAATGGTACCAAGTCCTCCTTGTACCTCTGGTAAAATTCAGCTGTGAATCCATCTGGTCCTGGACTCTTTTTGGTTGGTAAGCTATTGATTATTGCCACAATTTCAGATCCTGTTATTGGTCTATTCAGAGATTCAACTTCTTCCTGGTTTAGTCTTGGGAGAGTGTATGTGTCAAGGAATTTATCCATTTCTTCTAGATTTTCTAGTTTATTTGCATAGCGGTGTTTGTAGTATTCTCTGATGGTAGTTTGTATTTCTGTGGGATCGGTGGTGATATCCCCTTTATCATTTTTTATTGCATCTATTTGAGTCTTCTCTCTTTTTTTCTTTATTAGTCTTGCTAGTGGTCTATCAATTTTGTTGATCCTTTCAAAAAACCAGCTCCTGGATTCATTAATTTTTTGAAGGGTTTTTTGTGTCTCTATTTCCTTCAGTTCTGCTCTGATTTTAGTTATTTCTTGCCTTCTGCTAGCTTTTGAATGTGTTTGCTCTTGCTTTTCTAGTTCTTTTAATTGTGATGTTAGGGTGTCAATTTTAGATCTTTCCTGCTTTCTCTTGTGGGCATTTAATGCTATAAATTTCCCTCTACACACTGCTTTGAATATGTCCCAGAGATTCTGGTATGTTGTGTCTTTGTTCTCGTTGGTTTCAAAGAACATCTTTATTTCTGCCTTCATTTCCTTATGTACCCAGTAATCATTCAGGAGCAGGTTGTTCAGTTTCCATGTAGTTGAGCGGTTTTGAGTGAGATTCTTAATCCTGAGTTCTAGTTTGATTGCACTGTGGTCTGAGAGACAGTTTGTTATAATTTCTGTTCTTTTACATTTGCTGAGGAGAGCTTTACTTCCAAGTATGTGGTCAATTTTGGAATATGTGTGGTGTGGTGCTGAAAAAAATGTATATTCTGTTGATTTGGGGTGGAGAGTTCTGTAGATGTCTATTAGGTCCACTTGGTGCAGAGCTGAGTTCAATTCCTGGGTATCCTTGTTGATTTTCTGTCTCATTGATCTGTCTAATGTTGACAGTGGGGTGCTAAAGTCTCCCATTATTAATGTGTGGGAGTCTAAGTCTCTTGGTAGGTCTCTAAGGACTTGCTTTGTGAATCTGGGTGCTCCTGTATTGGGTGCATATATATGCAGGATAGTTAGCTCTTCTTGTTGAATTGATCCCTTTACCATTATGTAATGGCCTTCTTTGTCTCTTTTGATCTTTGTTGGTTTCAAGTCTGTTTTATCAGAGACTAGGATTGCAACCCCTGCCTTTTTTTGTTTTCCATTTGCTTGGTAGATCTTCCTCCATCCTTTTATTTTGAGCCTATGTGTGTCTCTGCACGTGAGATGGGTTTCCTGAATACAGCACCCTGATGGGTCTTGACTCTTTATCCAATTTGCCAGTCTGTGTCTTTTAATTGGAGCATTTAGTCCACTTACATTTAAAGTTAATATTGTTATGTGTGAATTTGATCCTGTCATTATGATGTTAGCTGGTTATTTTGCTCATTAGTTGATGCAGTTTCTTCCTAGTCTCGATGGTCTTCACATTTTGGCATGATTTTGCAGTGGCTGGTACCGGTTGTTCCTTTACATGTTTAGTGCTTCCTTCAGGAGCTCTTTTAGGGCAGGCCTGGTGGTGACGAAATCTCTCAGCATTTGCTTGTCTGTAAAGTATTTTAGTTCTCCTTCACTTATGAAGCTTAGTTTGGCTGGATATGAAGTTCTGGGTTGAAAATTCTTTTCTTTAAGAATGTTGAATATTGGCCCCCACTCTCTTCTGGCTTGTAGCGTTTCTGCCGAAAGATCCGCTGTTAGTCTGATGGGCTTCCCTTTGAGGATAACCTGACCTTTCTTTCTGGCTGCCCTTAACATTTTTTCCTTCATTTCAACTTTGGTGAATCTGACAATTATGTGTCTTGGAGTTGCTCTTCTCGAGGAGTATCTTTGTGGTGTTCTCTGTATTTCCTGAATCTGAATGTTGGCCTGCCTTGCTAGATTGGGGAAGTTCTCCTGGATAATATCCTGCAGAGTGTTTTCCAGCTTGGTTCCATTCTCCCCGTCACTTTCAGGTACACCAATCAGATGAAGATTTGGTCTTTTCACATAGTCCCATATTTCTTGGAGGCTTTGCTCATTTCTTTTTATTCTTTTTTCTCTAAACTTCCCTTCTCGCTTCATTTCATTCATTTCATCTTCCATTGCTGATACCCTTTCTTCCAGTTGATCTCACCGGCTCCTGAGGCTTCTGCATTCTTTACGTAGTTCTAGAGCCTTGGTTTTCAGCTCCATCAGCTCCTTTAAGCACTTCTCTGTATTGGTTATTCTAGTTATACATTCTTCTAAATTTTTTTCAAAGTTTTCAACTTCTTTGCCTTTGGTTTGAGTGTCCTCCTGTAGCTCAGAGTAATTTGATCATCTGAAGCCTTCTTCTCTCAGCTCGTCAAAGTTATTCTCCATCCAGCTTTGTTCTGTTGCTGTTGAGGAACTGCATTCCTTTGGAGGAGGAGAGGTGCTCTGCTTTTTAGAGTTTCCAGTTTTTCTGCTCGGTTTTTTCCCCATCTTTGTGGTTTTATCTACTTTTGGTCTTTGATGATGGTGATGTAAAGATGGGTTTTTGGTGTGGATGTCCTTTCTGTTTGTTAGTTTTCCTTCTAACAGACAGGACCCTCAGCTGCAGGTCTGTTGGAGTACTGGGCCCTGTGAGGTGTCAGTCTGCCCCTGCTGTGGGGTGCCTCCCGGTTAGGCTGCTCGGGGGGTCAGGGGTCAGGGGTCAGGGACCCACTTAAGGAGGCAGTCTGCCCGTTCTCAGATCTCCAGCTGCGTGCTGGGAGAACCACTGCTCTCTTCAAAGCTCAGATGGAAATGCAGAAATCACCCGTCTTCTGCGTCGCTCACGCTGGGAGCTGTAGACCGGAGCTGTTCCTATTTGGCCATCTTGGCTCCTCCACCCTCACATAAGTTCTGTTTGTACAAGATTGTTGGATGCTGGGTCAGTTCTGAGAAGCACATCGTCCGTAGAGTTGGTGGGTGGGGCTGGTCCAGGTCTATTCATGGAGTCAGTGGACCATGGGAGGGAAGTCAGACTTGTTCAGGGCTGAAAACTTGGAGGCACATATGGGTGTGTCATATTGGAGGAAATGAAATGAAGGTCAGCTGTGAGGAAGCTGAGGTGAGAGTAGGAGAAATGAGCTGAGTCCAGGGCTGTGGAGAGCGTACAGCGGCCTCTCTTTCCACAGGGTCTGGGACAGCCAGGCCTCTCCCTTGAAAGGCAGAGCTGGGACTCACAGCCCATTTGCCTGACCTAGACTTGGGCTTCCCACCTTTTCTTTTCACAAAATTAATCAATTGGAAGGAATCGACAAAATTGTTCAGTTGTCTGGTTTCATGTGGACATAACATAAAAGCCTTACCAGCTTTCAGGAATAAGGGATAAAATGTGGTTTTGTTCTTTCTTAATTTCCCCAGTTGATTTGTATTATAATTCCTGCAGATGTAGCTAAAAACTAAATCCCTAAATTATAGTGGAAAGCATTAATTGAGGAAGTTTTCAAAATGATGTTAATATAATTAATGTTGACCTATGGAAACCCTAACTTGAATTTTTCTTAGGGCCTTTTTTTTTAAGAACTATAGTTCTGTCATCTTCATAATTCATCATCTTTTGCTACAATAACATTGATTAGAAAGAATGCTCCTGGATGAAATGCATGAATACAGGTGTAGGGCAGAGACAATATCTTAGTCTATTCAGGCAGTTAACAGCAAATAACATAGACTGGGTGCCGTATTAACAACAAAAATTATTTCTCTTGGTTCTGCAGGCTAGAAGTCCAAGATCAGGGTGCTGACACGGTTGGGCTCTTGTGAGGACCCTCTTCTAGGTTGCCTATTGCTGACTTCTCAACTTCTTGTTGTATTCTTACCTTGTGGAAAGAGTTATAGAGAGCTCTTTGGGGTCCCTAATGGTATTAATGGCACTAATCCCATTCATAAGGGCTCCACCTTCATGACCCAATCACCTCCCAAAGACTGCACTTTCTAATATCATCACCTTGGGGATTAGAATTTCAACAGATGAATTTGAGAGGGACACAAACATTCAGACCATAGCAGTGAGTCTGCAGTGTCAGAAATCAAGACAGTTATGAGAACCTAAAGGGGTATTTACACACACACACACACACACACGCATGCACACACACACACACACACACACACACACACACACACACACGGCAGCTTGAAGGACTTCCTTTGGCTAAAATTTGGGACAATTTGAGTATCAGAATGATAATGGCACTAAAATATTGTAACTTTTTAATAAAAATTTTAAAAGCCCATGGGTTCATAGTGATTCTAAAAAGAAAGAGAAAGGAGGAAAGAGTGGTGCAGAAAGCTATGCTTCATAGAATTTCAGCTAATAAATGTAGAAGGAATAATAGAATTAGATAATAACTATTTTGAAATTTCTAATAAATTAAGCAAAGAGTGTCAATGGATGCTAAAATCATTTTAGGGATTCAGAATATTCTCATACTCTCAAAGTCTCACCCCTCAGATGACTTAAATTGCCACAAGGGGGAAATGTGCCTCTACAGTGGAAAGCTCTGGAGGACATCACCTTCCCCAACCTAGCATCACCAAGAGGGGGTCCACTTGACATTATCTGCTTCCTGATGAGTTGCAGTAAGATGAATACAATATCACCTACATAGTACTCTTGGCAAAAATGTTAAATCAGAATATAATCACAAGGATACAGTCAGACAAATCCAGAATGTGGGATATTTTGTAAGACAAGTGGCTGGTATCTTTGGGACTGTTATAGCTATGGACAGACCAAACAGAAACATAGCATCCAAATGCACTATGTGGACCTTGATTGGATCCTGGATTCTCCTCTCTACCCTGTATAAAGACCATAAAAGACATTTTAGGCCTGGCGCTGTGGCTCACGCCAGTAATCCCAGCACTTTGGGAGGCCAAGGTGGGCGGATCACGAGATCAGGAGATGGAGACAATCCTGGCTAACACGGTGAAACCCCCTCTCTACTAAAATATAAAAAATTAGCCAGGCGTGGTGACAGGCATCTGTAGTCCCAGCTACTCGGGAGGCTGAGGCAGGAGAATGGTGTGAACCTGGGAGGCGGAGCTTGCAGGGAGCCGAGATTGCACCACTGCACTCCAGCCTGGGCGACAGAGTGAGACTCCATCACAAACACACACACACACACACACACACACACACACCATTTAGAAACAACGGGGGGAATGTCAATGTAAACTGTTATAAGATAATATTTCTGAATTAACTATTTTTTTTTTTTAGCCAGTATAGTATATTGTGTCATGTAAGAGAATACTCTTATTCTTAGGAGACATGTGCTGAGGTATTTAGGGGTGAAGTTTCACGATCTCTACAGTGTACTTTCAAATACCTAAATTTTCAGTGGACTTATGAGCTGATAAAATTGGTTTAGACTGTTAATTTATTGGTGACTTATTTGGACTTTCCTTATTTCTCAAGGTTATGATAGTTCATTTTAAATCCCTCGGTGGTAGTTCAAACTTTGACTCCCATTTTTATCTGCTTTTTGATTCCTTTTCACCTCCATACCTTCTTAGCAACAATGAAGCAAATGTCTGGATTTGTATTAATCTGTGTCCTTCAGAATCTTCTACTCACATCTCAGTCAGCAGGTGTAGGTTAGCATATAAACCTGTAGGATTCTTACCATTTTATTAGACTCTCGTGACAATTTGGCAAGAAGCATTTAGTGTTTTCCTTGTTTCCAGCCAGCCTTTGCCTGAAAATGAATCTACCTCAGTTTCCTAGAGATTGATCATTTTCAAAGAGAAAAGTCAGGAGCTTTTATATCACCACTTCCAACTCCTTTTGCTAACTAATTCTTCGATAATAGATGATATTCTCTGTATAAAGGTTTTACATCTTTTTGTCAAGATTTGGCTCCCACATTTCCAATAAAATGCTCCACTTTTGAGTGATGACCTCAGTTAGCTGTATTGTGCCTTGCCCTCGAAACTGATGTCACCATAACCTGGGGAGCCTGGCAGGACAGGGTCTACCTTCATTTTCATGATGAGGAGGTAGAGGCTGGGAAAGCCGGTGTATTAGTCTGTTCACATGTTGCTATAAATAACTGCCTGAGATTGGGTAGTTTATAAAGGAAAGAGGTTTAATTGACTCACAGTTCTGCATGGCTGCGGAGGCCTCAGTAAACTTATTAATACAATCATGGCGAAAGGGGAAGCAAACACATCCTTCTTCACATGGCAGCAGGAGAGAGAAGTGCAGAACAAAGGGAGAAAAAGCCCTTTATAAAACCATCAGATCTCCTGAGAACTTGCTCACTATCACAAGAACAGCATGGGGGAACCTCCTCCATGACCTAATCACCTCCAATGAGGTCCCTCCCCAAACACTTGGGGATTACAATTCAGATTACAATTCAAGATGAGATTTTGGGTGGGGCACAGACAAATCATATCAGCCAGTAAGAAGCCTTTGTCAGTCATACAGGTAATTAGTTGGTTAGTGATAGGAACAGGGTTTGGGCCTCCTGGCTCTTTGACTAGAGCTTTTTCTCCTTTACATGTTTTCTCTTGGCAATGTCCAAAATCTATGCTCCTAGCCATCTTCAAAGTGACATTTCCTTCATTCACAATAATGGATTGAGAAGCTGCTATAGGTCCAGACCACGACAGCCACTGGGGACAAAGACAAATATTGGCCTCAAGGTTCTTATGTTTGGTTAAAAAAACTAGATATTAGATATTACAGATATTGTAGAAACCAGATATTAGATAGCAGAGATTTGATATTATAGAAAAGGAAGGTGGAAAATTTCTTCAGAGGCACCTCAGTGGTCTTCAGGATCTTTTTTGTTTTAATTCTCTGCAGTTTTTTGTACAGGATCTGCTTTTTTTTTTTTTTTTTTTTTTTTTTACTATTGGAAGTTTTAAATATATGTCCATGATAATTTCTTTGATTCTAGAGCCAGCATAGGTCTGGGGAAGTTTTAGGAGGACAGATATCAGACCCTACCTTACACGATTCCATCCTTCAATGTTGTCTTTCTTTGTACATCTACAAAATGGAGAGAGCCAATGTGTCACCCTGGGATGAGTTCACTGAGAAGCAGAGAATACAGGGAATCCTTGTGAATCCCTTAGAATCCTTAGAACAGAAAAATGAGATTAGAATTGGTAAAAGATGTGTGATCTCTATCAGGTCTTAACTTCATGGACTTTTGTTTTGGGAAATAGGACTTGACCTTGGATGGGTCAAATAATGAATGGTATTTTAGAGGCATCTTCTTTATTATCCATGTTGGTTGATGTAACTTCATTCTCATCATAAGCAAGTTGATATTTATCTAATATGTACCTGTATCAGTAGTTACAGTATTGAAGTTATTCCACATCAGGTAGTAATAACTGCTGCCTCATGAGAACATTCACCTCTGCTCTCTCAGTGTCTTCCCTGGGACAGGTTTCCCCATTCCCACTTCCAAATCCAGCAACCCAAGGATTAGTTCTTGGTGCAGCAAGGACACTGGTTGCCACATATTTTGAATATCTCTTTTTCTATAGTTATTATTATACTGTAGTTCTTAATTTCTTGCCAATCAATTGCACAATTCTTACTCTAAAATACCCTTATACCTTAGAAGTTGGCAAACCGACCATTAAGCTATATTTCAAAACCATGACATCAAGTGAAAAATCACAATCTTAATTTTTAAATTTAAAATAGTAAATGTGTATAGACAGTGTTCTTATTCCTGTATGCTTGATAGAGGAGCTGCTTATTTTTGGAATATAGAGACGACAGATCAAGAGGAAAATTTATTTTATTTTATTTTATTTTTTTTATTATACTCTAAGTTTTAGGGTACATGTGCACATTGTGCAGGTTAGTTACATATGTATACATGTGCCATGCTGGTGCGCTGCACCCACTAGTGTGTCATCTAGCATTAGGTATATCTCCCAATGCTATCCCTCCCCCCTCCCCCGACCCCACCACAGTCCCCAGAGTGTGATATTCCCCTTCCTGTGTCCATGTGATCTCATTGTTCAATTCCCACCTATTAGTGAGAATATGCGGTGTTTGGTTTTTTGTTCTTGCGATAGTTTACTGAGAATGATGGTTTCCAATTTCATCCATGTCCCTACAAAGGATATGAACTCATCATTTTTTATGGCTGCATAGTATTCCATGGTGTATATGTGCCACATTTTCTTAATCCAGTCTATCATTGTTGGACATTTGGGTTGGTTCCAAGTCTTTGCTATTGTGAATAGTGCCGCAATAAACATACGTGTGCATGTGTCTTTATAGCAGCATGATTTATACTCATTTGGGTATATACCCAGTAATGGGATGGCTGGGTCAAATGGTATTTCTAGTTCTAGATCCCTGAGGAATCGCCACACTGACTTCCACAATGGTTGAACTAGTTTACAGTCCCACCAACAGTGTAAAAGTGTTCCTATTTCTCCGCATCCTCTCCAGCACCTGTTGTTTCCTGACTTTTTAATGATTGCCATTCTAACTGGTGTGAGATGATATCTCACAGTGGTTTTGATTTGCATTTCTCTGATGGCCAGTGATGATGAGCATTTCTTCATGTGTTTTTTGGCTGCATAAATGTCTTCTTTTGAGAAGTGTCTGTTCATGTCCTTCGCCCACTTTTTGATGGGGTTGTTTGTTTTTTTCTTGTAAATTTGTTTGAGTTCATTGTAGATTCTGGATATTAGCCCTTTGTCAGATGAGTAGGTTGTGAAAATTTTCTCCCATTTTATAGGTTGCCTGTTCACTCTGATGGTAGTTTCTTTTGCTGTGCAGAAGCTCTTTAGTTTAATTAGATCCCATTTGTCAATTTTGTCTTTTGTTGCCATTGCTTTTGGTGTTTTGGACGTGAAGTCCTTGCCCACGCCTATGTCCTGAATGGTAATGCCTAGGTTTTCTTCTAGGGTTTTTATGGTTTTAGGTTTAACGTTTAAATCTTTAATCCATCTTGAATTGATTTTTGTATAAGGTGTAAGGAAGGGATCCAGTTTCAGCTTTCTACATATGGCTAGCCAGTTTTCCCAGCACCATTTATTAAATAGGGAATCCTTTCCCCATTGCTTGTTTTTCTCAGGTTTGTCAAAGATCAGATAGTTGTAGATATGCGGCATTATTTCTGAGGGCTCTGTTCTGTTCCATTGATCTATATGTCTGTTTTGGTACCAGTACCATGCTGTTTTGGTTACTGTAGCCTTGTAGTATAGTTTGAAGTCAGGTAGTGTGATGCCTCCAGCTTTGTTCTTTTGGCTTAGGATTGACTTGGCAATGCGGGCTCTTTTTTGGTTCCATATGAACTTTAAAGTAGTTTTTTCCAATTCTGTGAAGAAAGTCATTGGTAGCTTGATGGGGATGGCATTGAATCTGTAAATTACCTTGGGCAGTATGGCCATTTTCACGATATTGATTCTTCCTACCCATGAGCATGGAATGTTCTTCCATTTGTTTGTCTCCTCTTTTATTTCCTTGAGCAGTGGTTTGTAGTTCTCCTTGAAGAGGTCCTTCACATCCCTTGTAAGTTGGATTCCTAGGTATTTTATTCTCTTTGAAGCAATTGTGAATGGGAGTTCACCCATGATTTGGCTCTCTGTTTGTCTGTTGTTGGTGTATAAGAATGCTTGTGATTTTTGTACATTGATTTTGTATCCTGAGACTTTGCTGAAGTTGCTTATCAGCTTAAGGAGATTTTGGGCTGAGACGATGGGGTTTTCTAGATAAACAATCATGTCATCTGCAAACAGGGACAATTTGACTTCCTCTTTTCCTAATTGAATACCCTTTATTTCCTTCTCCTGCCTGATTGCCCTGGCCAGAACTTCCAACACTATGTTGAATAGGAGTGGTGAGAGAGGGCATCCCTGTCTTGTGCCGGTTTTCAAAGGGAATGCTTCCAGTTTTTGCCCATTCAGTATGATATTGGCTGTGGGTTTGTCATAGATAGCTCTTATTATTTTGAAATATGTCCCATCAATACCTAATTTATTGAGAGTTTTTAGCATGAAGGGTTGTTGAATTTTGTCAAAGGCTTTTTCTGCATCTATTGAGATAATCATGTGGTTTTTGTCTTTGGCTCTGTTTATATGCTGGATTACATTTATTGATTTGCGTATATTGAACCAGCCTTGCATCCCAGGGATGAAGCCCACTTGATCATGGTGGATAAGCTTTTTGATGTGCTGCTGGATTCGGTTTGCCAGTATTTTATTGAGGATTTTTGCATCAATGTTCATCAAGGATATTGGTCTAAAATTCTCTTTTTTGGTTGTGTCTCTGCCCGGCTTTGGTATCAGAATGATGCTGGCCTCATAAAATGAGTTAGGGAGGATTCCCTCTTTTTCTATTGATTGGAATAGTTTCAGAAGGAATGGTACCAGTTCCTCCATGTACCTCTGGTAGAATTCGGCTGTGAATCCATCTGGTCCTGGACTCTTTTTGGTTGGTAAACTATTGATTATTGCCACAATTTCAGAGCCTGTTATTGGTCTATTCAGAGATTCAACTTCTTCCTGGTTTAGTCTTGGGAGAGTGTATGTGTCAAGGAATGTATCCATTTCTTCTAGATTTTCTAGTTTATTTGCGTAGAGGTGTTTGTAGTATTCTCTGATGGTAGTTTGTATTTCTGTGGGATCGGTGGTGATATCCCCTTTATCATTTTTTATTGTGTCTATTTGATTCTTCTCTCTTTTTTTCTTTATTAGTCTTGCTAGCGGTCTATCAATTTTGTTGATCCTTTCAAAAAACCAGCTCCTGGATTCATTGATTTTTTGAAGGGTTTTTTGTGTCTCTATTTCCTTCAGTTCTGCTCTGATTTTAGTTATTTCTTGCCTTCTGCTAGCTTTTGAATGTGTTTGCTCTTGCTTTTCTAGTTCTTTTAATTGTGATGTTAGGGTGTCAATTTTGGATCTTTCCTGCTTTCTCTTGTAGGCATTTAGTGCTATAAATTTCCCTCTACACACTGCTTTGAATGCGTCCCAGAGATTCTGGTATGTGGTGTCTTTGTTCTCGTTGGTTTCAAAGAACATCTTTATTTCTGCCTTCATTTCGTTATGTACCCAGTAGTCATTCAGGAGCAGGTTGTTCAGTTTCCATGTAGTTGAGCGGCTTTGAGTGAGATTCTTAATCCTGAGTTCTAGTTTGATTGCACTGTGGTCTGAGAGATAGTTTGTTATAATTTCTGTTCTTTTACATTTGCTGAGGAGAGCTTTACTTCCAACTATGTGGTCAATTTTGGAATAGGTGTGGTGTGGTGCTGAAAAAAATGTATATTCTGTTGATTTGGGGTGGAGAGTTCTGTAGATGTCTATTAGGTCCGCTTGGTGCAGAGCTGAGTTCAATTCCTGGGTATCCTTGTTGACTTTCTGTCTCGTTGATCTGTCTAATGTTGACAGTGGGGTGTTAAAATCTCCCATTATTAATGTGTGGGAGTCTAAGTCTCTTTGTAGGTCACTGAGGACTTGCTTTATGAATCTGGGTGCTCCTGTATTGGGTGCATAAATATTTAGGATAGTTAGCTCCTCTTGTTGAATTGATCCCTTTACCATTATGTAATGGCCTTCTTTGTCTCTTTTGATCTTTGTTGGTTTCAAGTCTGTTTTATCAGAGACTAGGATTGCAACCCCTGCCTTTTTTTGTTTTCCATTGGCTTGGTAGATCTTCCTCCATCCTTTTATTTTGAGCCTATGTGTGTCTCTGCACGTGAGATGGGTTTCCTGAATACAGCACACTGATGGGTCTTGACTCTTTATCCAACTTGCCAGTCTGTGTCTTTTAATTGCAGAATTTAGTCCATTTATATTTAAAGTTAATATTGTTATGTGTGAATTTGATCCTGTCATTATGATGTTAGCTGGTGATTTTGCTCATTAGTTGATGCAGTTTCTTCCTAGTCTCGATGGTCTTTACATTTTGGCATGATTTTGCAGCGGCTGGTACCGGTTGTTCCTTTCCATGTTTAGCGCTTCCTTCAGGAGCTCTTTTAGGGCAGGCCTGGTGGTGACAAAATCTCTCAACATTTGCTTGTCTATAAAGTATTTTATTTCTCCTTCACTTATGAAGCTTAGTTTGGCTGGATATGAAATTCTGGGTTGAAAATTCTTTTCTTTAAGAATGTTGAATATTGGCCCCCACTCTCTTCTGGCTTGTAGGGTTTCTGCCGAGAGATCCGCTGTTAGTCTGATGGGCTTTCCTTTGAGGGTAACCCGACCTTTCTCTCTGGCTGCCCTTAACATTTTTTCCTTCATTTCAACTTTGGTGAATCTGACAATTATGTGTCTTGGAGTTGCTCTTCTCGAGGAGTATCTTTGTGGAGTTCTCTGTATTTCCTGAATCTGAACGTTGGCCTGCCTTGCTAGATTGGGGAAGTTCTCCTGGATAATATCCTGCAGAGTGTTTTCCAACTTGGTTCCATTCTCCACATCACTTTCAGGTACACCAATCAGACGTAGATTTGGTCTTTTCACATAGTCCCATATTTCTTGGAGGCTTTGCTCATTTCTTTTTATTCTTTTTTCTCTAAACTTCCCTTCTCGCTTCATTTCATTCATTTCATCTTCCATTGCTGATACCTTTTCTTCCAGTTGATTGCATCGGCTCCTGAGGCTTCTGCATTCTTCACGTAGTTCTCGAGCCTTGGTTTTCAGCTCCATCAGCTCCTTTAAGCACTTCTCTGTATTGGTTATTCTAGTTATACATTCTTCTAAATTTTTTTCAAAGTTTTCAACTTCTTTGCCTTTGGTTTGAATGTCCTCCCGTAGCTCAGAGTAATTTGATCGTCTGAAGCCTTCTTCTCTCAGCTCGTCAAAATCATTCTCCATCCAGCTTTGTTCTGTTGCTGGTGAGGAACTGCGTTCCTTTGGAGGAGGAGAGGCGCTCTGCGTTTTAGAGTTTCCAGTTTTTCTGTTCTGTTTTTTCCCCATCTTTGTGGTTTTATCTACTTTTGGTCTTTGATGATGGTGATGTACAGATGGGTTTTCGGTGTAGATGTCCTTTCTGTTTGTTAGTTTTCCTTCTAACAGACAGGACCCTCAGCTGCAGGTCTGTTGGAATACCCTGCCGTGTGAGGTGTCAGTGTGCCCCTGCTGGGGGGTGCCTCCCAGTTAGGCTGCTCGGGGGTCAGGAGTCAGGGACCCACTTGAGGAGGCAGTCTGCCCGTTCTCAGATCTCCAGCTGCGTGCTGGGAGAACCACTGCTCTCTTCAAAGCTGTCAGACAGGGACACTTAAGTCTGCAGAGGTTACTGCTGTCTTTTTGTTTGTCTGTGCCCTGCCCCCAGAGGTGGAGCCTACAGAGGCAGGCAGGCCTCCTTGAGCTGTGGTGGGCTCCACCCAGTTCGAGCTTCCGGGCTGCTTTGTTTACCTAAGCAAGCCTGGGCAATGGCGGGCGCCCCTCCCCCAGCCTCGTTGCCGCCTTGCAGTTTGATCTCAGACTGCTGTGCTAGCAATCAGCGAGATTCCGTGGGCGTAGGACCCTCCGAGCCAGGTGTGGGATATAGTCTCGTGGTGCGCCGTTTCTTAAGCCGGTCTGAAAAGCGCAATATTCGGGTGGGAGTGACCCGATTTTCCAGGTGCGTCCGTCACCCCTTTCTTTGACTCGGAAAGGGAATTCCCTGACCCCTTGCGCTTCCCAGGTGAGGCAATGCCTCGCCCTGCTTCGGCTCGCGCACGGTGCGCACACACACTGGCCTGCGCCCACTGTCTGGCACTCCCTAGTGAGATGAACCCGGTACCTCAGATGGAAATGCAGAAATCACCGTCTTCTGCGTCGCTCAGGCTGGGAGCTGTAGACCGGAGCTGTTCCTATTCGGCCATCTTGGCTCCTCCCCCAAGAGGAAAATTTAAATGGAATCAAGCATAAGGGAGCCTGGCGTACCTGAGGTGCTCTGTGAACACTGGTGGTTGGTCCTGTTGGAGGCAAGGTTGCTTCATGGGAAGGGGAGAGCCACTCAGTGGACATCAACTATCATCCCCATGTGTTTCATTATAACGGCAACCTTCTTTGTTCATTGACATCTTCTCTGCACCTCATCTTTGCCAACAGAGCTCTGGGTAGTGATCTCACAGGAACTGGCTTTAGCTGTTCTTGACAATTCTCCTTTTTGGACATGGACTCAAGCCCATCTACTGTGTTTCTGACTGATCTTCTTTGTGTTCAGGTTTCACCAGATACAACCCCAAGTCTTTCTGAGATCAATACTTTCTTAATGTCAAGACCCCAGCCCTTAGTTCATGCTCAGTTAACATGGTTTTTCTTAACTGTCGGAAAGACTAGACTCATTAAATTATTTTATAGTTGAATTAAAAACATTTCTATCCAATCTCCATGAGCATATACTTCAGTATACAATTTCATGTATCTGCTATTTACACACAGCAGCTGCACATTTTTAGCTACTGAGGTGTTTGACTGCTTTTCAGCTTCAGAAAAAAGTAATCACATCTGGTGTGAGATGTGCAGAATGGCAGTCCTTGTATTTTCTCTTGCTCTTTCGCTATAATGAATGTCATACTAGTAGCCAGTCAAAAGCATGTTCACCTAAAATGATTCCTTTTACAAACAAGAAACAGGACTTTGAGTGCTGTACATCAGTTGTCAGGCTAATAAGATAATCTGCTTTTCATTTCAAAGTCTGTACTCTAATCTGAAAGCAGAAATCTTCTCTCTTCTCTTTGCAGTAGTCACTGGATAAAGATTCTGTTATCATAATCCTATTAAAATGTATTCACTTTTACAGTACACCTTGGTAATAGTATTATCCTTCTAAGCACCTAAGGAGAAGAGTGATAGAAGACAAATCTATTCAAAATTTCAGGAAAAAATAGTTGCAGAGATTGGGTACGGTAAAAGCTTGGAAATGAATAGCAACTAATATCTGTAACAGGAAAGAGTAAGCATTAATTCATGAATTAGGCTTCTATTTAGGCTCTGATTGGGAAAGGTAGTAATTTTCCTACTGAAATGTCCCATACCAATCACATGGGTCTGCATGGGTGAATGCTGGCTAAACTGAATTTCTTGAGCACTGATACTCACCTGTGGCATTTCTAATACATTACTGTTTATTGGCACTAATGGCTTTGAAGTTGCAACACCATTTTAAAAAATAAATAGTTAGCTTTGATAGGAGATGTGCAATCAGAACCATCATTAATGAATTGACTGCTGAGAATAGTAGCTAGTGCCCAAACTTTTAGTTGGTATAGATATTGTGCTTTCTTCTCTTCATTTTGTATGAGGAATTAAAATTCCTGGTGACTTCTGACATTTTTGCCTTGAGTGAGGGGATCTCCAACTTCCCCACTCAGATGAACCAGGGGTGGTAGATTTTATTCTTGATATGATCATCCTGTATTGATCTAACTTCATTGATATAAAAGCTACATAAAATGATTTGCCATTTCCACAGGCCTTCCTCTACACATTTTTGCTTCAAATCAAAGTGCATTTTCAAGCATCTCTGTATCTTACACTAGCCTCTAGCACTAGGCTTTTCATTTATTTCTACATAGGTCTGTCTATTGTGAATTAATGGTATATTTCAGTTATGTCTCTGATTCACATCATGGAAAATTATCCACTTTCATTCACAAAGATTTCACCTGAAGATTTTTTACAAATTAGTATAAACGTAATGTTTAATGTTATTAAATGTCCTCTCAGTTGTAAAACGTATACACAATATTTGTATATTTGCAGGAAATACGTGGTTTTCCTGTCTTTTACATTTTAAAAACCTGGAGAATTACTTCTTTTGTAGGTAAATTGACTTGACTTATGCTTTCCCCTTTTAGGCACTGTCATATGATTTGATAGACATTTATAAAGCTTCCTGAGATATGTCATACTCCACTCTTGAGGTACTTGGTGACTAAATTAAACACAAAATGGAGTTGTCATAACTTATGGCTTGAATTAAGGGTATTTTAGGATCGACATTCTGCTCATCTAAAGAGCAAACATGTTTTACAGGACAATTTAGGACAAAAAGCCCAAACTAAAGCTCACCATTTTGAAATAAAATATTTATGGAACAAGTTTTGTATTTTCCTTTTCTGGACTAAGTCTAAAATTCCATAATGTGGATATTTCTCATAGAAACTTTCCAGGAATCATTCCAGTGCTGACATTTAATCACCCACTTGTCCATGGTGTTTCACATCTAAGTTGCTGGTTTGCTGGGACAGAAGCAGCACTCTCCTCTTTATATCAGAAAGGAACACTTTAAATGCCCAGCAACTGCTGAAGCTTAAATCTGGAATAGGTACATTGTTTTGAGAAGTAATAATGCTAGGTAGTTGTAGTTTTCCGTTTTGAAATGGAAATACTGCATTGGTTTAATTTAATGTATATTCAAATTGCATACACCTATGTGGATTTCTTTGCTTCATTTCATTTTTGGGGCCCCATCTAGTGAGGCAGAGAGAGCCTTCATCCAGTCTCTGTGCTTCTTGGCCTATAGGCCTCAGCAGGGCTGGTTGATGGGGAGTGGATAGTTTAGAAATGAGCAAAGCAGATATGGGCTGTGGCCTCATGGGGATATCAAGCCATAAAGGGCCATTTACTCTTCCCCAAATGTCCCATAAATATTCTTTCCTAGGACTGCTGGTGATCCAGTCTCTGGCCTTCTCCCACTTCAGCCCTCTTGTTGTTCCTTCTCTTGGGACCTGGATTTAGAAGTGAGCTAACCCACTCCTTAGTTCTTTGTACACTTTCACTGACAGTCCATGCAAGGTCCCTCTCTTGTGAGTTTATTTTCTTCTTAGCTCCTAATGATAACACTCATCCCTCTTCCCCAAATCACCCACTAGAATGTGTTCAGTATGAGTACAGTGATGTGTGATTCTTTATAAAATACATAGTCACTGTGTGTAAGTGTAATTGTATGTGTTAATGTGCTATAGTTCTTATTCTTTCTTACCTTTTCCCTTTAATACATTTTAAATATCTATTCATGTATGTATAGCCAGTTCATTACTTCTACTACTGCATAGTTGCTTTGGAATAAATCCCCCATGCATTATTTACCTGTTCTCCTGGAGCTCCTGCCCACCTTAGTGGCCTCCTCGCCCGCCATTTTTCCACACCGTGCCATTCTAGCCATGGAATGTCTTCTCTGCATTCCTCTAAAGAAGTAGAAGATCTTTGCAACTCCTGTTTGCCCTTGTGAGCACCACCTAAGTAGCACTTATTATTATACATCCTTAGATTTCTCTTTAAATGTAATTTAATTCAGGAAACCTTTTCTGATCTTCCCTTCAGAATATGTTTAACCGTCTGTTCTGTGCTTATTATACCCTGTACTTTCCTTATTGAAACCAAGGTCACACATTGTTATAATGCTGTACTAGTCAATAAGCTCCCAAGTGCCTGGCTCATGTCTGCCTTCCTCCGGGTTGAATGGTTCACTTCTCAGTAATTAGCCCAATGTCTGGAACATAGTAGATATTCGATAAAAATGTTTTGTTGATTGAATAAACAAATGTGTGAATGAAATCAAGACATGGCCACTGAATCCAAGAAGTTCTTAGTGCACCCAATGACACAACCAGTAAGTAATAGCATTTCCATGTTACTGAGAAGGAAACTGAAGCTCTGAAAGATAAAATAAATTGTTAAAGTCACATATATATAAGTTATGGAGTTGGGATTTGAACACATGTTTATCTGACTCTGTATGGTCATATTTTAGACTCAGAAGCCTTTGGGGACTCAAGTATGGCTTTTTCTCATGGATGAATTTGTTACAATTACCACCCTCCTACCTGTGGATATCTACCATTGCTTTGTCCACCTCTTCTGGAGCTGTAGGCTGACGGGGAAGATAACAGACTAATTCATTAAGACAATTTTATTGAGCATCTACTACATCCTGGGTACTATCTCAGGACACAATGGTAGGGGTAACCAGCAAAATCTCTGTCTCAGTGGAGCTTACACTCTCATGGGGGGAGACAAGGAGTAAGTAAAGGTAGAGTTGTGGATGATGTTAAGAGGCTTGAGAGTGAGCCTCTGCTGGTAGTGGATATTTAGACTGTTTGGTCAGGACATTTGAATAAAGATGTGAATGAGGAGGAGCCAGCCATGAAAAAATCCAAGGCAAGAGTGATCCAGAGAAAACACTGGGGCTGGGGTGGAGGGTGGGAAAACACGTCTGGTGGTATAAGGAAGAACAAAGAGGCCCCTGAGATTGCAGCTTGGTGAACACATGTGGGAGTAGAGGAGATAAAGTGGACAGATAGATAGATACATCACACGCAGCCGTATAGGACATGATGAGGACTTTGGATATCATCGTAAGTGTAGCAGGAAGCCATCTGAAGGTTTTTAAGCCAGGGAGTTATGTGATCTATGTTTTCAAAAAGATCAGTTTGGCTGATAAGGGAAAAAAGAGTAGAAGGAGAGTGACCAATTAGGAGATTATTTCAACAGCCTGAAGTTGTGGCTGTAAGAATGGTGAGAAGTTGTCAGATCTGGATACATTTCAGAAGTAGAGCAAATAACATTTGCTAGTTCATGGAATGTGTGTATGTAGGAGAAGAGGAGAATGGAATTGGGGAGGTGAGAGAAAGGAACTAAGGTGAATTGACTACAGGGGAATGAGAGGGAAAGGCTTACAATGGAGCAGGTTTCAAGTGGAAGGCTGGGAGCTCTGTTTTGGACATGCTTGGTTTGAGATATCTGCTAGACATTCAGAGACCTTGTCAAGTAGGAAGTTAGAATAATAGCCCAGGGCTCAGAGGAGAGGTTAGATCTTGAGATATAAACATGAGAGTTGTCTGTATAAAGATGGTGCTAAAGCCAGACCCTTGGAGAAGATCATTCAAGGAGTGAGGGAAGCTAGAGAAGAGAGTGGAGGGCTTAGCCTCAGAATACCTCACCACTTAGTCAGGAATTTGAGGAGCAACCAGCAAGAGAGATTGAAGGAATGGCCATTGAGGTAGGAGGGTGGAGTGGGGTGGGGGAAGCGGGGAGAGAGAGAGATATTTACTACTATTAGAATCTTTATTTCACCCACTGAACACCAAATGTTTGGGGTTTTTCCTTACACCAACAAGCCTGTAATTCTCCAGACACTAACTAGGTGTCCTACAATTAAATTCAATTATAACACTATCTACGTAGAGTTAGTGTCATACCCCACAAGTTAGGGGCTCACTTCCATAAGACTGCCCCCATTTTAGACACCAATCACAAGTTTAGGCCACCCATATTTC
This sequence comes from Homo sapiens, assembly GCF_000001405.40. Taxonomy (NCBI): domain Eukaryota; kingdom Metazoa; phylum Chordata; class Mammalia; order Primates; family Hominidae; genus Homo; species Homo sapiens. The sequence continues at coordinate 159,106,783 of NC_000003.12, forward strand.
TGACTGACCAGCTATGAATTGGGGTTCCCGTGACCCCTTCTTTGGGTTTGATAATTTGTTAATGGCTCACAGAACTATTCTATTTCACAGAAAATAGTTTACTTAAAGCTAATGTATATGCTTTTTCATTTGCTGTTTATAATTTTATAAATCAAGTCTGCTTTATAGGAGCCACAGGTCCTATTACTTTGACTGTACAGATAGGATTACTTTTGTGAAGTCAAATATTCTGTTGTTCTGCAAATTATGACCCCTACTTTTTTTTCTTAGAGTTGTTATTCATATTCAAAGTGTCCTTTCTTTCTCAAGTAAAACTCTCATTCCTTTATCTGCCCTACCTGCTGTGGTTTAAATTTTTGTGTCTCCTCTACCCCAAACTTCATAAGTTAAAAATCCTAACTCCCAAGGCTGTAGTATTAGGAGGTAGGGCCTTCAGAAAAGTGATTAAATGGTAAGGGCAGGGCCCTTATGAATAGGCTTAGTGACCTTATAAAAAAGACCCCAGAGAGCTAGCTAGTCCCTTTTGCCATTTGTGGACACAGCTAGAAGATACTTTCCAGTAACCAGGAGGTTGACCTCACCAGACAGCAAATGTGCTGGCACCTTAATCTTGGACTTTCCCTTTCCAAAACTGTGAAAAATAATTTTTTTATCAGCTATCCAGTTTATAGTATTTTGTTATATGACCCCAAGGCGACTGAGATGCTACCTAACTGCTTAAGGGGCTTAAAGCCTTTAAATTTATTTTCTGAGAAGTGACAATCTACCAGATAATGAAGCTTCTGTCCAATTCATTTAAGAACGGTGTGGCTGAGTCTGATAATACTATTAATAATAATTTATTTAGCATTTGCCATTTGCCAGGCATTGCTCTAAGTGCTTTACATTTATTAACTAATCCTAAGGGCAACCAATGAGCTAAGTTCAGTTGGTACTCCATTTTATGGATGAAGAAACTGACGTACAGAGAGGGTTAGCACATTACCAAAAATCAAGCATCTAGTAAGTGGGGGACATGAGCACCCAACGCCTGAGCTTTCTAACCAACAAGATTGTCTTTATTCGTTCACTGGATGTCCTGGACAAGTTGAGCATTGGGGACAGACAGGCATAACAGGCAGCTTCTCCCCTGAAGAACTCACTGCCACGCTCTGCTCCTGCTTGCAGGCTTCCTTACCCTAGCTGTGCGAATTGAGATTGTGCATGTTGCACCTATGGTTTTCCAAAAAAAAAAAAAAAAAAAGAAAAAAAATTCTAGAAAATGACCAATGGGCATGAAAAGAACTTTAATATAGGGTTGGCAGAGAGGATATTACTCCCTAGTTCAGGTTAGTGAAAAGAGAATTTGCACAATGTAAGTGGCCTGCCAGAGGTCCCAAGAAGCTACCACTGTGATTGCTATTTTATTTAGAGATTGTAAATATTGACAAATTGCAATTAAATTTCCCAGCTCTCCTTTTATGTCAGCAATAATGACACTGAAGATCTGGTTAAAATTAGTTACTTCATTTGCATTTATTTTGTTAATCATTCGTTCCTTATAAACTGGAATATTTTCTTATCTCAGCAAATAAAGATAGCATCAACACTAAAAGAGATAAAAGCTTAAATCTATACTAGTTTCCACTTATTCAAAAGTAAAGGCAGTGTTTTGTCATCTTAGGTATTTAATTTCTTGGATCAAAGGGGAGTTTCGTCTTCCTTACATAAAATAGGTGATGAGAAAAGAAAAGAAACAATTATTTTTGGTTTGTTTGTAAAAATACCTTATACTCTATCAGTTACTTACATTGAGCCTCTCTTAAGAAAAAGATTCTCAGTTATTTGCATAGATGTATTAGCTGTGAAACTAATGTAATGATTCACATACCTGTATTAGCTGTGAAACTCTGCAGCAATAATTTATTGGTAAATTTCATCCCCCAAGACTGGGCACAGCAGTAAATTCCCATCATCTTGATACTTTCATATGCCTACCACTTGGTCACAGTAGCAACTATTTGAAATCACCAAAAACATCAAAAGATTATACCATCAACTCCTTGTGCTTTGTTGTTTTTATTTTTGTCTTCAGCTGTCTAGGAAACTACTGTAATATAAAATGGCACTCATGACCAGATGGTAGAGGAGGGAGTGGGTTTTGTGTGGGAAAGAGGATGGGGCCAACCAGCATCAAATGCCTCCTGGGTCCCAGGACTGTACTAGACACTTTAAACACATTATCTAATTTAATTCTTCTAACAACATATAGAGGTAGGTATAATTGCTCTCAATTTACCAATGACAAGCCCTGAACTGAAAGCTCTAGACATGAGATCTCCAGGCTTATGGCAGCTTGAGCTGAGTGGAACCCAGGTTGAATAAATCTTGCACCCAGTACTTACTGAGTAGGTTGATGGAAAGTTGTTTCCATGTGTGCTGTTTTGTTATGGTTTTCCTTTTGCAGTGAAGAAGGTATTAGTTCCCATAAAAGACCTTTCTCCAACTGTGGTAATTTGAATATGTAAATCCACCTTTCTGTCAGGCTTACTTGAGGGCAAGACATTTATAAAGAAATGATCACACAGCCCACAAGAGTTACTTGGAGCCTTAAGGAGCCTTAAGTTAATGATCTCACATTCTCTTGACTTGGGAGACAACTGCATTTTAACTCACAAATAGCCACATTTAAAAAAACAGCAAACAAAATTTCTCAAAAGTTAAGAAAGCACATAAGGCTGTAGAGTAGCCTTACTTGTATTAACTAAAAAAAAAAAAAAAAAAACCAGTTGTCATTTTGTTTTGCTTTGCCAATTAAATGCTCCGCTTGTCTAGCAAGAAATAATCATCATCTTTACTGGTTTCTAGAGACAGCCTTGGGATTTTCTTTGGTGTGGGTGTGTGGGTGTGTGTGTGTGTGTCCTGCACCTTCACATTCAAATGCCTCTGTGTGTGTTGTGATTTCCAAACATGGGATTGGGACACATGGACTGCAAAAGGATTTTGTCTGATTTGTGAATTTATTTACAGGTGAACATCTTAAGATGTTCCACTTCAGTATTTAAAACGATAAATAAACACAAAAAGTCCTACCTGTTCTGACAAGGGTGAAATCAGGGATTGGTACAGCAAGGGTCACTAATACCTATATACACTAACGTGTGGTTTGCGTATGGAGCATCACTCCTAACTTTTGTGACATTGGAGGTTTTACTATATTTAATAGTCACACAGATCAGTGTTGATAAAAATGTAGTATTTTAGCAATCAGATGTGTTTTTTCTCTCTGCCTTCAACTTCATGCTTTAGCAATATCAGACTATTTATAGCTTTCTATAGCTTTTTGAACACTAGAGTGGAGAGGTGGACAATGTAGGCTTCAAAAACCTCATTCCTGGTTTGGCCTGAACTCTGTGGCTTAATAGCTATAGGATCTTGGGCAGATTAATTTATCTAAGGTTTACATTTCTTATCAATAAAATGGGGATGAATCTCTTGTGAAGATTGAATGAAACAGTCCCAAAGTGCTTATTTTTAGCACAGTGCCTGGCACACAGAACCACTCAGTGAAGGTTAGCTATTATGATTATCATCAGCATCATCAACACCTGATACTTTTTTATACTTTGTACCTTTGCATCTGTTTCCTCTGCATCTTTCCCCACTTGGTCTTCCTTCCAGCAAACTCCTTTTCATTTATTTAAATAATGTCATTTCCTACAGGAAGGCTTTCTTCATGTCCAACCCAGACACAATGATTTGTTCCTCTTTAATGCTCCTTCTTCACCTTTTACTTGATTATTCTGTGGCCTTACACGCCCTGCCATGATAGTTGTTTACAGGACCAGTCTCCTTGTGTAGACCGTGACTGTTAGGAGGGGCCGTCTTTCTTATTCATCACTGTATCCCCAGCACCCAGCGCAGTACCTGGCAGACAGGGTACTCCATGGATGATTACTCAATTGAATTTCTAACAGACACAAGCTGTTCTGCATCTGGCATAAACGGGCCCAAGGATTCTGAATCTGAGAATCGGGGATGTTTAACAATAAACATGTCCTTCTCTCCACCTGCTGCATCAAGTTGAGATCCATTATGCTTAAAAAACAAAAGCAAACAAAACAAAATCCAGTCTGAAATTGTGGTTAAAGGGACTTTAGTGCAACATTGTGGACAATAGAGACGAAAAGAAAATGACCTGAATATGACTAGATCCTTTATGATAACAGAAGAGGCTTTCAGCAAACCTTATTGGTGTGGCTTTGCAAGTAATAGTTTCAGATGTTTGCCCTGGGCCTCACTTCTCTGGCTGCAGGCCTCCTGCTGCTGATGCTCCCACGTTTTATGTAACTGTCACACAGTTTTGATGTACATTTATAATTTTAATATTCTCAGAAAGCTCTAGAACAAAACCTTTATGAATACAGAGGGTGTCTTCTAATCTTTTACCAGGAAATGGATGAAAAACATTTGTTGTAGACAAAGAAGTTCCAGTATCGAAATGATTTTCTAATTTGAAGTGATACAAAACTATCCAGTAAAAACTCTTTTGTCTTGAGTCATATCATATTGAACATACTTGTATTTGAACTAGCTCTCTTCTCTTTGATTATATGATTTTAAATTGAAAATGATGAAAAAAAAACTTGAAATAATAAGTTGACCGGTATTTCTCAAACTGATCTGGGGCTATATTCTTGGGGTTACATGTGTGTTCTGGGAGAATCTTGAAGGTTAGGGCTTTTGTTCTGATGATAGTCTGCAGCTAATCTGAGCATCTTCTGGACCATCCTGTAACTGAATACTGGGCTTGCATTCTGCTCCTGTGGGCGCCAAATGATCACAACTTCCTATTCTAAGGAGAAAGACCAGGAGGGGCCAAATGACATCACCCCTCACATGGTGGAATGCATCTGCTTGACCCCAAAGAACCTGCACCTTAGCAGTCAGCACTGCATTCACATTCCCAGAGGTGATTCAGTTTCAGCAAGAGCACATAAATTGGTCACATTAAAGTAATACTATTAGTTGGATTTTACTGGTTTTGTAGTTTTATTTGCATTTAATTTTAAAATTTGTTTTAGTGTGATGCTTGCTTAAAAGAGCAATAAGCATATGGGTTTAGTTTTACATTTATACATACTTAAATAACATAATTTTTGATGTAATGTGACATTGTGTCTTGGGTTTTTTTTTCCCCGCAATTGTCTGAAAGCTAATCATATAACCAGTCCATTTTGAGAAATGCTGCAATGGGTTCCATTTATGATGCTGACTTTTCTGGAAAAGTTTGTCCGTGACCAAATAGCCTCTTGTATGGCACACTGTATGCCATAGGCACTCAATAAATCCTCATGATATGAGGACAGCCCTTGGGTCTTGCCCTCATTCTGCCACATGCTTGTGAGCAAGTCTCTGGCTGATATGACCAAGTAAGTGCTTGGATTTAAGGATCTCGTTAGCTCCTTCCATCTCTAAAATTTGAGTCAAGAAACCCCAGAGATTTCTGCCATTTGTTTATTTTTCTGCCTCACTGTGCCACCTATCCTGACCCATAAAATTGGATTTTTTTTTCAACTTCTTAGACATCAGCAACAACAATGCCATATTTGAGTACATTCAATCAGTTTTCTTGAAACACAAACTCAACCTTTCTTGTTGGAAGTTGTAGTCTTTTTATTTTCCTTGAAAGAAAATAAATAAAAGGAAAGCACTTAACCTAGACCTTTGGACATATAGAACTAATACATCCCTTTGGAAAGAACCTTAATATCTCTGACAAAGGCTGCTAGACAGAGGCTGAAGCATGTTAACAGTAGCCTCCCTGTCTCTGATCCTGAGGCCATTAGTTCTCTTGGTGTGAAATCGCCCCTGCAGTGTGACAGACCTGGATGCTGACCGTAGCCTCGCACACCGTTTCGTTGGGGGCTTTGGGGAGCAGGAACTACTCAGCTATGGGAGACACAAACTGGGGTCCTCAGGGCAGTCCTTATGTTTAATGAATCAGTGAGCTTGTTTGAACAATTTTAATGTAGCCCAGATTACTAGCTTCCTTAGTTTCTTTGAGTGGGACCAGCAGACCTGGAGAAAAATGGAAAGAAATGGAAAGAGAAGGTGTTTTCCCAATGGAGTAGAGACTACCAGCCTCTGACATGGTCAACTAGCCCCAACTAGAGGCCTAAATCAACTTCAGAAGTTCCCAAAGAAACAGTACATTTAAGAAAATTTCTCTGTAATGTGTGATTAATTTGGGCTGCTCTGTGCTGGGTGACATGTTGGAAAAGGGGAATGTAATCTTATAATAACTTTTTGGTTGATGGGCTGTAGGTGAACTCAGGTTTGATTTGAAGTGAAAAACCATGCCATGAAGAAAAATGTTTATGGTTGCCATTTGGTTTAAAGAGCCCTGGGGCTCCCACCTTTATTGTGAAGTATAGTCTTAGAATAAAAATATTTAGCTGTGCTTCTGTAAATTAAAATCTAGTTTCTCCTTAGGTTTATGATTTGAAGTCAAGTTTCTGACTTAAGTGAGATAATTAAAAGAAAAACAGAAGCAAGAGGATGATAGATGTGACCTGCAGCCTTGGCGTACACAAAAGGCCTGGCCGTTTTTCTTTTGCTCAGCGTAGACTGTAGATTTATCATCAGGACAGCAAATGTATTTAGGAGGAGGAAAAGAAAGAGAAGTTACATATGAGCCTTGTGACAGCGTCTGTCACAGAGAAGCAAATGAATATTCTTACAGGGACATTCCATTTAAAGAATTGCTTTTTATTGTCCTTTGAGTTGCTTTATGTTCGTTTAATAAGCAATACTGAGTTCAAAGATAGCTCTGCCCTTACAACACCTACAATGGGAAGTGATATTCTTGGCACCTTAGTGTAACAGGCTGAGATAGTAATTACATCATCAGTACCTGTCAGATGCTGGGGCAGGCAAGTGCCGAGGCAGAGTGGAGAAAGCATTTAGTGATGGAAGACTCATAACTCTAATTAACTACTGCTTACTCCATGATCTCTGACCATATAAATTGTGCAAACTCTATGGAGCCTAAAATACTGAATAAGATGAATGATATCATAATAAGAGGGAAAGACCCCAAAACATTTCTTTTTATACATTGAAAAATGAGGAGGCAGTGATCGTTTAAGAACAGATGCAAATATTCGAGAACATCAGACAATAGAAAGTCAAAGAACAGTTCTAGTGGATTATTCCTTTCAGCTCTGTACTTGGCTGCCAAGGGTGATTTTGTTATTATTTTCTTCTCTTTCTCCCCACCCTGAAGCAAAAGAAGAAATTAGCCAGAGGTAATTTCTGGTAATTTAGTGTAAAATTGGCACTTGCTAATTTGCTGACCTGATTTTTCTGAGTTGAGGAAGGATGGAAGCTGACCTCGCATTGTCTGCATGCACTGGGTGTCTAGGCAATCTTCCCATAGGAACAGTGCACTGTATTTTCTAAGTTCCTTTGGTGTATGAATAATCTTTTGTATCTCACACTTATCAGTGACATAGGTTTAATTTCACACAAGACTTCTTGTTTCTAAATGTTTTTTTTTTTTTCTGAGACGTAGTCTTGCTATGTTGCCCAGGCTGGAGTGCAGTGGCATGATCTCAGCTCACTGCAACCTCTGTCTCCCAGGTTCAAGCGATCCTCCTGCCTCAGCCCCCCTCATAGCTGGGACTACAGGCATGCACCACCATGCCTGGCTAATTTTTGTATTTTTAGTAGAGAAGGGGTTTCGCCATGTTGGCCAGGCTGGTCTCGAACTCCTGACCTCCAGTGATCCACCCCCCCTCGGCCTCTCAAAGTGCTGGGATTACAGATGTGAGCCACTGCACCCAGCCCTAAAAGGTTTTAAGTGGTCTCTTTGGGCGAAATTCGGAACTCCCTTTGCACTCTCAACCTAATGAAAATGGAACTCGTAAGCTGGAGAGCCACAGCCTCTGCTCTGGAGTGCTCTGCGCATCTGCCACAAGAAGCCTGAGACTTCAAAGCTGCTCCTGGTTTCCAAACTGCCAAAACAATACCCCCTTCTCTTAGCTTTACCATTTCCTCTCTTCTATTTCTCTTGATCTGCTCCGGAAGCTCAAATAAAGCTGAAGACATTTGTCAGTAAAATCATGCAAATTTTAGTAGTCAGGTTTCCTGCCCCCCTGCCCCCGGGGCTAGTGAGGAAGGGTTAGTGTGTAATTCATGCTTTAAAAATAGCACATCAAATCTGGAATAGTTAGCTCAAGTAGTACTTCAACATTTTCCATATTTCTAGTCCCTTAACTAGAAAGCACATAATATGGTTCACCCTATCTAGAAAGGGCTTTTCAACCACCTTCTTGAGGTAGTGTATTAGTTTGAGTAGGAAAGTTGCTTGTTGACAAGCAATCCCCAAATCTCAGTGGTTTCATATAATAAAAGTTTATTTCTTGTCCACTCTCCGTTTTGGATTTGTGAAGGAATAGAGACAGGCTTCCTCTCTTCCATGGCTCTGTCATCTTCTAGGCAAGGCCTCATCCCTTCAACACCCCCACCCCCATTAACACATGGATGGTGAAAAAGGTGAGAGAATGGAGGATTGCATGGGCTAATTTAGAGGCAAGTCCTACAAGTGGTATATCTAATTTCTGCCCAATTTCCATGGGTCAAAATTTGGTTTGGGAGCCTCAACTAACTTCAGGGAAGGCTGGGAGCCTAGCTGTGCACCCAGAAAGAGTGTAAGTTGTAGTGAACACGTAACACTTTCTCTGCCACAGATAGTAAAATTTGCCTTCTGTCTTACTCATTCTAGTGAGGAAGATTAGGAGCAACTGGAAGCCATGGTGAAATATACTTCATTTGCCTTTTGTCTGACCAACATAGCTAGCTCTTTGTCTTGTTTAGTTCTTCCAGAATCAATTTTTCTGCAACTGATGTTTGTCTCATGCAATTGTCTTGTATTTGGGGATCCTACAAGAGGTAATTTTAGTCTGGGAAACATAGGGAGACCCATCTCTAAAAAAATGTTTTTTTTAAAAAATAGCCGGCATTCTCAGCAAACTAACACAAAAACAGAAAACCAAACACCACATGTTCTCACTCATAAGTGGGAGCTGAACAATGAGAACACATGGACACTGCTTGGGGCAGGGGGCATGGGTATCACACACTGGGGCCTGTCAGGGATGGGAGGGCTAGGGGAGGGATAGCATTAGGAGAAATACCTAATGTAGATGATGGGTTGATGGGTGCAGCAAACCACCATGGCATGTGTATAACTATGTAACAAACCTGCATGTTCTGCACATGTACCCCAGAACTTCAAGTATAATAATTAAAAATAAATAAATACTGGGCATGGGTGGGGCACAACTGTGGTCCCAGCTACTCAGGAGGCTGAGATTGGAGGAACCCTTGAGCCTGGGAGGTCAGGTTGTAGTAAGCCATGTTAGTGCCACTGCACTCCAGCCTGGACAACAGAGAAAGACTCTGTCTCAAAAAAAGAGAAGAAGGAGAAGGAGAAGAGGAACAAGAGGAAGAATAAGAGGAAAAAGAAGAGGAAGACAAAGAAGAAAAATAATCTTTCAAAATTCTCACTGGTATCTGGTTCAGGGATATATGGAAGTCTTTGTTCACTTTCTCCAACACTGTCTCTTTTTAAAAGATCTTTGGAAGAAATTTAATCTTCTCCTCAGCAGTGGCTGTATTTTCAGTTCAAGAAGATTGTGGATCTCTTAAGTTAGTCTGTTACCCTTTGCACTGTTGCCATTTTGAAGTTGAGTTAACATTCCACCTCAGGCCACCTGTAGAATCTGTTAACATGCATTTCTATGAAAGAGCTATACCTCTTGTTCTATTTTAGCATCCTGCTCATATGTATATATATATATATATATATATATATATATATATATATATATATATATATATATACACCCTTCATCTAGATTTTCTCATCTGCTCTCTTTTATTTTATTTTGAACATCTTGAACATTTGCATATCTAAACATCTCTGTAAACCTTCACAGATCTTTTGTGCAATTGAAAAAGGGTAAAAATAAGAACCAAACCACACAAGCACAACACTTGGAAATAATCTGAGTCTTAAAAGTCTCTTCTTGAGCTTTCTGTTTAAGTTGAGATGTTCCTGAGAAGGATCACTGTTTGCTACCAGCCCCTGAGAAAGAATGAGCAGAAGTAGGAGACCTGGGGTGAATGGAGGTAGGGAGGAAAGGAAAGTAGAAGTTTCAGCAGCCTGAAAATACTTTAGTTAACATTAAGGAATTATTTCTTGCTAATTAATTACATTTTTGTTATACTACTCTTCCGTAAAACATTTTGAAAGAGTAATGTCTACTTGCTGCCTTTGCCACCTTGCTTTCCCCTAATTCCTTAATCCTTACCACAACCCCCAACTAAAGCCCACATGAATGTCACTAATCCCCTTAGTCACTGCATTCTGTAGCCTTTTCATCCCAAACCTACAGATTGTTGAAGCTCTCTTCTTCTTTGCTCTGTCCAGGTTCTCCTCCACTATTTCCATTGCTGGAGATGGCTTAGGAGGAAGCCGGGCAACTACTAGTTGTGATGGTATGGGGAGAATTCATGTGTTAGGAAAGGGCTGCGCTTCCGACCCAGAACCTTTTAGATCTCTTCCAATTCCAGGCTCTAGATTCTGTGGTTCTCTGCCTAATCCTTTTTGGCCTTATTTCCCGTTTAGTCCTTTCACTTATTTAATCATTTAATAAAACGTTGAGTTCATTGTATGTACAAAGCATATGCTAGGAACTCCAGGCATAGCAAAGTGATTAAAATTTTGTAAAAGCTGAATTAGTAAAGAGTCATAGAACATAGTGGAAAAAGCTCTTGGCTCAGGTTCTGGTTCTGGTTCTGGATCTTCCATTGATAAACTGTGGGACACCAGGAAGCCACTCAACGGTTCATTCACTCAACAAATAGTTGTTGAGTGTCTTCTATGTGATAGGTACCCTGCTAGGCCTGGAGACACAGTGCTGAATAGTAGAGACAGTTTCTGCCCTCAGGGAGCTTACAATCTATCAGAGAAGACACAATAATATTACCAGCTTATTTAAAAGAATGAAACAGTTTTTACACGTTTATAACTTACCCGGCATCAGGTTTACTAGCTACTGTGCTAGGAGCTTCCACATGCATCATTTCACTTAATTTTCATAATTACTCCGTGATGCGCCTTACCCCCAGCTCTGCCTTAAGATGATCAAACTGAGGTGCAAAGTAGTTTAAAAAATAATTCCATAAAAATGGTAAAAAGTAATTTTATTCATTCACTCAAAATTTATTTGAAAGCACTGCTAAAGTGTATTAACTTTTTCCTGAGGCAAAATACTAAACCTTCTATGTCTTTAGTTTCATAACATCAGCAATTATAAAATGGAATTTTAAGGTACTAAACTCAAATGATGTAGGTGTTAGCTTAAAAGAGAGAAATGGGGAAGCGATCAGGCTTGTTGGAGGGGAGAAGGGAGATGACTTACAAGGCTCCCTGCAGAAGAACAAGAAATCCTGGGCACAACAGAAAGCAGAACTAGTTGGTAGATGCTCCCAGCAGACTTCCCCTTGATCCAGAAGGAATCTATTGAAGGCTTTCTGACCTCTGTCTCCAGAGAACTACTCAAATAATGGCAAAAACGACCATGACCCCAATCAATATTTATGAATGCTTACAACCTTCCAGATACTTTTATAAACATCTTACATGTATCGGCTCATAAAATCTCCAAAAACCTAAAGAGGTAAAAGTTATCAGTCACATTTCATAGTTTGGAAAGCAAGTGTCAGGGATGTGAAGTGACTAGCTCAAGGTTACAGCTAGTTGGTGGCAGATCCAGGATTTGAATTCAACCAGTTGGCTTCCAAGCCTAGGTTTTTAATAATGAGCTATACTGCTCTTACCCCGACCTCAGCTTCTGTGTAGGTCTGTAAATATAAACCATACACATACTGAACACCATTTCTATGGTCTCAACTTAGGTAATCCTGGCATATCTTGTTAGTAACATCTTTGGCATCTTCTCCTTATATTGGAAACCCCTTGAAAGCAGAGTCTATGCCTAATCTACAATACTGAAGGAAGGTTCGCTCATAGCTCTTGATAAAATGATCATTATCAGGAAAAGCGACCAGACAACAGCCTTTCTTCTCACTAACCACTCTGGAGCATGTTCTTAGAATGGAGTTTGAGGTTGAGGAGGAGAGATGAATTGCAGAAAGTTTCCAGGATATCAGAGACTTGATGGCTATATTTACTCATGCTTTCCATAAAAACAGGTCACAGCTCTGAGAACCGAGCCTTGGCAATCTGTTTTGGCTATATCCAAGGGCTTTCCATGGGAGCCCATTCCTACTTACACCTGGGTATGCTCTTGTTTGCTGCTGTGGCAGAGGATTGGCTATCCTACTGCAATGTCCCCTGGTTCCAGAAGCTCAGCATTTCAAAACCAAGACCTTAGAATAATCAATTAGCCTAGGAGGCTGCTCAAAGTGGACATAACTCCTTGTAAATGGTAGATGACATTTTAGTTGGGTGCTGAGGATCTGTTCTGAACTGTGTGCATTGCCATCTTCAGTCTTATAAAACTAATCACTTTTCCCTGCTCCCTGAACATGCGGCAGACTACCAAAACTTAAAATCAAAGATGCAGAATGAGTCTCAGTTTAAACGGTCCACAAATGTTGAATGTGATATTAGGCCCATGCCTTTTTTAAGATGAAAAATTATATAAATTTCTTGCTTTTTCATAGAACATTTGAAGATGTTTACTAGTAAAACATCAGAAAAAAACATTCCATGAAGTAGTAAAGTTGTATATAGAGAGCACTTTGGAAAATTAAAGCCAAGAGAAAGGAGACTAGAGATATATCAACTGTAAGGATCTTCAGAATGTTGTCAACATTGTTTTGCTCCACAGATTCTATAAAGTGTGATTTTTAAAAAATAAGCAATGTATCTCCTTTTTGATCAAAATCTCATGCAGAACTTCAATACTGAGCCTCTCCTTTCCCCATGTATCCCCATTCCGTATGGGTTGGGGAAGAGATGAGTGGGGCTTTGGGCTTCCCCACCTTCATTGACCAGAGAAGTACTACCATCACCTGTTTTCTGTATTCACCTTATATGGAAATTCTCATTTGAAGAATGAGTTTTGTGGCTTAAAAATATCTAAAAAACCCTACTCTAGTATGAGATCCATTATTTTTTAGAATTGTATATTTCATTAGTAAAAAATGTTTTTGTGCATGCCTTCAATATATTTACTTGTTATATACATGTAGTACTTTATTAATATGTGCATTACTACATAGTCAAAAATTAGTTAAATCAGTCAAAAATGCAGTTAAGTAGAAGTTGCGGTATTTTCTCCCTGTACCCCAGGGGATCATCATGCATACCCCCAGCAGTGCTGGCCCTGCACTTTGGAGAGGGTCCTAGAGCTATATTTGTAGTAGGCTGGCTACTGTAACAGCAACCTCAAAATGCTGCTTGCTTAACATACTAAACATTTCTTCTTGTGTGTATCCCTATCCAGTTCCAGCTGTTGCAGAGCTCTGCTTCATAGTTCAGGGACCTAGGCTTCTCCTTTTGCATGGTTCTGTTGCTTTCCAGAAGTTTTCTTCCTACACAATCAGCTGGAAGATGGGAAATAAACTAGTGTGGTGAATCTGGGGGAAGGGTTTTATGCATCAAACCTGAAAATAGCATACATAACTTCCTTCTCTTTTCCATTGGCTAGAACTCAGCCATTATAGCCATATCTGGGGAAAGCTGGAAGCCCAGGAGTTTAGGAAAACAGGACTTGGTGAACATATAGCATCCTTTCTGCCACATAAATCAATGCTGTACTGAAGAAGAGACTGTCTTCCTGCCAGTATCACTGGACTTGAAGTTTGTTGAATGTGGCATTTAGAGAGGTGGGTATATGACTGTTTACAGGTAGGGAGTATGTTCTGCTGATTTTAACAAAAACTCACCTAAAGTGGCTAACAGTAAAGGGTTTTAGTTTTCTTATGTCATAAGGAGTATGGTGGTAGGCAGTCTAGAACTGTCGGAGCTGCTAGAGGCATCAAGCACCCAAGCTCCTTCTAGCTCCCTTTTCATTGTGCCTATTTCTGGGTTTATATTCATTGTGCCCAGATGGCTGCTCTTTCTCCAGACATTTTTTTTTTCAAATAAGATGAAGGGTGAACAGAAAAAGCAAAATGCAAATGCAAATGTTAGTTGAGCCTGTCCCATTTAACAAGTAGCTCTGAAGTCCCTTCTGGTAGACCTTCACTCCAATCTCCTTGGCCATAACTATCCCAAGACAAATATACCCAGCCTATGCTGCAAGGGAGTCTTTAAGCTGGGCATTTTTCTTTTTTCTTTTTTTTTTTTTTAATTAGGGTCTTGCACTGTTGCCCAGGCTGAAGTTCAGTGGCATGATCATGGCTCACTGCAGCCTCGATCTCCTGGGCTCAAGCGATCTTCTCACCCCAGCTTCCTGAATAGCTGGGACCACAGGCATGCATTACCATGCCCGGCTAATCAAAAAAATTTTTTTTAGAGACTGGGTCTTGCCATGTTGCCCAGGCTGATCTCCAACTCCTAGGCTCAAGCAATTTCCCACCTCAGCCTCCCAAAGTGTTAGGATTACAGGTATGAGCCGCTGCGCCCAGCTTAAGCTGAGCATATTATCAACTTGAACAAAGCAGAGGGAAAGAAGGGGGAAATTACAGTCTGCAGCCATTTGATAATTCAGAAATTTCAGTCTCTGCCTAAGTCCATCCTGGTGAAAGGAGGTTGGTATGTATGCCTTTTCAATTTTTTGTCTGAGCTCCAGTTGGCTGCTGGGATCTTTTATAACTGGCCTAAAAATTAAGCCATATTTTCTTTGAGGTTGACATTGTTTACATGTTATTTCCTCTTGGTTAACTATCATAGAAGCCTTTTGAAACACATTTTCGAAGTAAACATGAGAGCTAGCATTTAAAGCTCAGTCTTGTATTGGTTACCAAACGCACCTGGGGCAACTGATGTTTGAAGGGAGCAGAAAGGATATTCTGACTTCCATATTCTGGATTCCCTAATATTGAACCCTGCAAAAATCTGGTTCTTAGAAAACAATGTACTTGACATTAGCTTATTATCCACAAATAACATTTCTTATTATACATTTAGACTATGTCTTACTCAGTTCAGGCTGCTATCACAGAGTGTCATAGACTGGATGGCTTATAAACAACAAAAATTTATTTCTCCCAGCTTTGGA
The DNA here is from genome assembly GCF_000001405.40 of Homo sapiens. Classification (NCBI taxonomy): domain Eukaryota; kingdom Metazoa; phylum Chordata; class Mammalia; order Primates; family Hominidae; genus Homo; species Homo sapiens. The sequence continues at coordinate 159,122,025 of NC_000003.12, forward strand.
GTCTGGAGTTCCAAGATCAGGGTGCCAGCATGGTTGGGTTCTGGTGAGGACTCTCTTCTGGGTTGGGCAGGCTTCCAATTTATTGGCTTTTTATTGGTTCATTGTGCTGTGGTAAGATAGAGAGTTATCTGGGGTCCCTGTTATAAAGGGCATTAATTCCATTCATGAGGGCTCCATTCTCATGACCTAATTACATTTCAAAGGCCTCACATCCCAATACCATCACATTGATGGTTAGGATTTCAGCATTTAAGTTTAGTGGGGGGACAAAAATATTCAGTTCATAACAGATTACATGCAGATTAAATGAAGACTTTTTGTAACACTCAACATTGCCACTTGGAGGAACTGTTCGATATGAGACTTCGTTGACAAGGGAAGACGTATCTCTTTTAAAGAACTGAGAAATGCTCCTTAGAAGGCTTTGAGAGATACTTGACTTCCCTCGCACATTTTTTTTCTTTGTCTTGGCTGCTGGGAAACTCAGAGCCAATTTAGTGCTCAAAGGAATAAGACATTTCTCATTTCAGATTCCTGATAATATTATTTCCTTTTTTCTTCGAAAAGTTTCCTTTTCTTCACTTTTAACTATCTTCTGTTGTATATGATTTTTATCTTAAGCTGTCTTTTGAAATATAGAATAAAAATGATACGTGAATAAAGTGAAAATAAAAGAGAAAAATCCAGATTTTTTATTAATGTCTTATTCTACAAAAGCCATTTCTTTTGGTAGGAAGTAATTTATGCTGTCAGATTTGTCTTACAGTCTTTGGGTGGCAAAATGGCACTTTCACTTTGGAAGTAAATAAATAAGCTACATTCTTCAATCTGTTCATCTTTCTGCATTTTAACTAGAGTTTAAATCTTGAGAGGGGTTGGCATGAATGGGTAATTACTACCGAGATGAATGGTGATGATGTTATTATTATGATGGTTTTTCTCTTATTTGAACTTTCAGAGGGAAGCAGCATTTATCTCGGTCAGTCTTAGAATTTGGAGAGGCAGGGGAACTAGAATTTTCCCTTCTTTCAAAATAGCAAATTTTAAATGTGACAGGCAGTAAAAAAGTTATGCTTGAGGTAACACAACAATGGTGTTAATGTAATTGAAATAAAATAAGCAGCGGGTTGGACACCTTTCTATTTCAGTATAATTCTGCTCAATGGCAGTATATTTGACTTCATATCCAAAATATGAATGACCCACATCTCTATTCAAAATAACCACCTAAAGTCAGTTCTGCCCTGAGATCTGAGTAGTGTGGGCTCTCTGTCTCCTCACCTAGAAAGCCTGCTCAGACCCTGCTACAGTCATGGCCTTCCCCATAGGAGAAGAATTCACACTGCCCACATGACATACATGCTCCTCTTAGAAACCTCGCTGCAGATGTTTAGGATCCTGGACACCCCCTGCCCAGTCAGCTTCTAAGATCTGTGTGGAGGTGGCCAAGGGACAGCTGTTTTTCCTAAGGGTGATGATGGTGGGTGGTTTGGAGCTTGATTGGGTGGGTTGGGTTGTGTACTGACTTGCACTTGAGGCCCCTCATGGCACAGAATGGGTTATGGGGTGGGAACAGAATGGGTGGGCAGGACAGGGGCTGGGGGCTAGGCACTAAGGGCCGATCACTCCACACCTCCATATTTAAGTATGAAACTCCACAAGGTCTTAGAATTCTACATTTTGATTTTCCAGCTCCAAGCTCTTAAAGAACCTAAGGAAACAATGCTGTCAGGAGTGAGGACCTTGGGCCTCTGTGAAGATAGAGGTTGCCTGTCTGTGATTTAGTGGGGTGACAAAAAGCTTCACGACACATGGAATTAGGAACTTCATCTAGATTTTCGCTCTGAGCTATGGGAATATTAGAGACAGACCCACTTAAATGTTTCTCTCCTTCCTAGGTTCTACTGTATAAAGTCCAAACTCTCAGTAGTTTTCAGGGTCCATCACTGCCTAACCTCAACCTCTTTACACTCTTGCAATATCCTTTCATGCACCTTGTGTCTCATACTATGTATCTTATTTCAATGCCCCACTTGCCTTAAATATCACCACCTGCCATCTAATCACTCCAAGGCAGAAAAGCAGAGTCATCCTTCCTAGTTCCAGCTCCCTCCGCCCTTATTTGCAGTCAGCCACTAGGTGCTCTGGACTCCTTCCACTTCTTCTTTCTTCCTGGTCACCTGTCTGGGGAAGGCTATCATCATCTCCACATGGATTTACTGCAGGAGCTTTTGGTCTTCCCACATCTACTCTGACCTCATCCGACGCAGATCCACTTTGTGGCCACAGTAATGTCTTTCAAACCAATGTTGAATCAGGTCACTCCTTGCTTGGCTGCAATGGTTACTATGAGTAAATACCAAAAATGTGGTCCCCAGGCTCAGATCACTCTCCTCCTCACTCTCTGCACCCTGTTGTACTGCCCTCCTCATGGTTGTTTCCTTAGTCATGTGCTCCCAAGGGCCCCATTCTTCAGCTGTCAGCTCAACTCTCACCTCAACTCTCACCTCTTCAGGGAAGAGATAAGCAGGTTCCCCTGACACATGCCATCATAGCACCCTATGACTTTACTGCACTCCTCACTGTTTGGATGTATGTGTTCATTTGCATGATTATCTCTTTAATATTTCTCTCTTCTTATAGACCTTACTGTGTTCTATAAGGTCAGCTGCTGTATTTATTTTTGCAACCGTTGCAACACCAGGATTTAGCATGGCATCTGGCATGGAGTAGATGCTCAAAACATGTTTGTTGAATGAATGAATAAATGTATGAATGACTCAATGTGATTTTCCACAAAGAAGATAGTATATAAGGAAAATGACAATAAGAGTGGTTAATACTTATGGTTTATGCTGTTCCAGACACTATGCTAAGTGCTTTACATTGATTACCTCAAGAAGCACAACATACTCGCAAGGTACATTCTATTCTTATCCCCAACTTTATATATGAGAAAGTTAAGGCACAAAAAAGCAAGGTACCCACTCCTTTAGTGTGGGATGCACATAGTGACTTCTTTCCAAATATTGTGGTATGAAGAGGGGGAAAAATAGTAATTTGATAGTGTAGAAACCTGATAAACACCACCTTAGCCAGGTGATCAAGGTCATTATGTTGATAGTGCATGTCCTTGACATGATATGATGAAAATGGTGTGTTACCTCTGTGATCTTCCTCCCCAAAACACTAATCACAAGAGAAATATCAAATCCCAATTCCGAGACATTCTACAAAATACCTGACCAGCACTTCTCAAAACTAACAAGGTCATCCAAAACCAGCAAAGTCTGAGGAACTATCATGGCCAAGAGAAACCTAAGGAGACATGATGGCTTCATGGAATGTGGCATCCCAGATGGGATCTTAGAGCAGAAAATGGACTTTAGGTAAAGACTAAGAAAATCTGAATAAAGCATGGGCTTTTGTTGATACGAATGTCTCAATATTGGTTTGCAATAAAATGCAACAAATGAACCATATTAATGTAAGTTGCCAATAAGATGGGACACTGGATGTGGGGTATATGGGAAGTCTCTGTACTACGTTTGTATTTTTCCTGGTAAATCTAAAACTGTTCTAAAAGCTGAAATTTATTTTTTTAAAAAGGCAAGGTCACAGAGCTGGAAATGGATATAGTTAAAATTCACTGCCCTGTCATCTGACCAGATTCCTTGCTCTTAACTGGTGAGGTTTTCCCTAGGGCTATCCTTGGAAGATAGGACAACATTCCAAATTTCAAGTTCAAATTCAGCCTAATCAATCCAAATATGGAACTGATTAATGGCAGCCTTGACCCCTACAGGGGACCAACCTGGGGCACCTCCAGTAGGAGCAGAGTCACAGGTGTGCTGTGGGATCCGTATTCCAACCAGGTTGGAGAAGGTTGTAAGCAATGGCAAATCAGAAGTGAAGACAATCCCTACACTCAAACTTGGGCTGGTCTGAGGTGGCAAGTACAGCGGCTTCTCCCAGAAAGTTATGCTGAGAGCAGGGCGGGGCACATTGCTGGCATCTGGATGGATTTTCCTTCAACTCCTTCTGTTGAAATTCCATGTATAAGCTCCAATATCCGTATCATTTATGAAACTTTCTCTGATCCTCCCAGAAAAAGTGAACTCTGGCAGTGTGAAGTCAGAGTGGAGGAGCATGTGCTTTGAAATGGATGGGTGAGCATCTTGCCTCTGCCAGTCCTGGGCATGTGACCCCAGGCTAGCTATTCAACCTCTTAGAGTCTCAGTTTGCTCATCTAAAAAGCAGGGATAGAAATTCTTACCTCTTAGGGCTGTGAAGAACAACAGAGAAAGGTGAATATTTAAGTACCCAGCTCAGCACAAAATGAATGCTAAGTAAGAGTTAGTTCTGTGTGTCTCCTTCCCAATTTCCTCTCTCTGGAGTCAGCATATTTCTCACGCCATTATTAAGTACTGGCTTCAGTCTTTCTTATTAGTCATAAACATGACCGTGTCCCCACAAGACCACAAACTTCTTGAAGGAACAGGCTATGTTTAATTCATCTTTGTATTTCCAGTGCTTGAAAAAGGACAGGGTAGGTTCTGAATAAATCATCAATTTAACTGAACTGAATTAAGCTGAATTGAAAAAGCTGGGTGTTTTTCAAATAATGTTTCCTCTTAGGGAATTTGACAGAAGTGGATGAGAGCACACCCAATGACTTCTGAGAGCACCCTAGGCTTTCTGTCAGTGTTGGTCGAAGCAATCTTTCCAGGAGCACATTGACCTTCTTTTTTTTTCATTTGTTGATAAAGGACTTTGGTCATCAGCTGTTGATACAGTGCTTCCAAGTTAAATGAAATCAACTCACCACTGCAGTGCACCTGTTTTCAGCCTCGGCTGATCTTGCTTGAAGGGCAGAAAATGAGGGCAAGCCAAAGACCAATGACTGACATAGGTGGGTCAGCCGGTGGTTGACATCCCCTTGCTGGAAGCCTTGGGCAGATTTGCTTGGCCATTAGCCACAGTGGGCCCTGGCACTGCTTTTGGCTCCTGTGTGGCACAGATTAGGGAGCACAGAGGTGAAACAAATGGGCATGATGCTGACAGGTTTCTATTAATTTCATAACAAGGAATTCCATGCAGTTGACAAACACATTTTGAAGGTTGATTGTTGGCAGAGCACCATCATAGCCAAGTGAATGTGATATTAACCAAGCCATAGTTCATCTGGAGCCCATTACTGCCTTCTTCCTTTCTCATTTGTCATTGAGAGGACAAAGTTTCCACCAGGCAGAGGGAGTTGGGGAGGCAGGGGTTGGCAAGGGCACAGGCTTTGGGATTCTGGCTCCACTGACCAGCTGTGGAAAGTTGGGCCAGAAACCTAATCTTTCTGCCTCCAAGTTTACACCCCTGTATGTTGTATTTGATTCTTATTTGCAGTGAGCGCTCATGAAATGCTTATAATGTATCCTGGTACAAAGTAAGAGCTCAGGAAACTCTAGTTGTTTTTAATCCTGGCAGCACTTATTTTTTAGCCATAAAGCATCTATTTGTGTTTCAAGAGTGAACCTCCTCGTTGTATATTATTCTCAAGATGCACATCAATTTCACATGATTTATGTTTATTAAGGCTCTAGAAATGACTGTTCCTGGACACAGAAAGCATAGTGCATTTAGTCGTGTTGACTGAGAAGAAGTGGCAATTAGAGAATTTTATCAAATCTATTATCAGTAATTACAAAATATAGCGTGAACTATTATTATCAAAACTTCGAAGAAAGTCATATTATTGATAGTACGCTTATTAACTCAGTGGGAATGACACTTAATTAAAAATCAGTGGGGGGCTGCCTTTGGGTTTTTTTGTACAACATGTACCAAAGATTTTGCTGCAGTGCAGAAGTGTAATAAATGCTTCTCATTTAATCTGGGAGTTCTGTTACTCCACAGTGCTCATTTATGTGATAAACGATTATCATTGATCTTTCATAAGTTACTGCTGCTGTCTATTTAAAAAGAGGCCTCAGTCACTTTTATTATAGTGTGTTTGAAAGACTGTAGAGAGAAATATCTGAAATCACCACTTCCTAGTTACCATCTTCATAATACTGTAAGGCAACACAGAATTTTTTTATTTCATTTTGTTTGAATAAACCACAGTCTAACAAGATGCTTCTGTTTTATTATCAGGCAAAGGTAAATGTAAAAATTCATGGGACAATGGGCTGAGATTACCAGAGAATACATTCATAAGAGAAATTTGGGAGGCTGTGAATTTCAAGTACGTTCTAGGGCTGAAAGTAATAACTAGAATTGGTTGTTGATATGTCTATATATGAGCCAGAGGAATGGATAGAAATCCAGACATTAAGAATTAATTTCAGACTGGCTATGTCATTTCACTTGTGCAGACAAGAATCTTCTCATCCATCTGGTGATGGAATCGATGTTAGAAATATGTCTTTTCCTCTGTCATTTTCTGAAGATACACAAGCAGAATTCACAAATATTTTTCTAGGAATGTCTGTTGGGATACCCATTCTCAATCTTGGCGTCTCATCCACAAATCCCACACTTTTTGTAGTGCTGATACGCATGCCCCTCGTTTCTAGACTGACCTCCCCTCTGTGTAAAATCTTGTGTGGACTCTGTCAGCCTCTCTCATCTTCCAGCTTACTAACGTTCCAGTCCATCCTGCCTGTGTGGCCAGATTAGTCTCCCTAAAGATCTGCTCCCAACACATCACCCTTCCCTTTCCCAAAGTTTATAAAGCACCCTTTCTTCCTACCGTGCTTTGAGAACAAACTTCTCCTTCACAATATAGTCTGACTCATCTTTTTCTACCCAAGTCTTGCACAATTCTTAAATACTTCCTCATATTCCATCCAAATGATGTAGCCCCTTGTTTTCAGAACTCATATGCCCTTTGTTTTCCTGTTTCTGTCTTTGCTCATCCTGTTTCTTCAGAACTCTATTTCTTTTTTTTATCCCTATCTCTGTTTGCTAAAATCTTATCCACTGCTAAAAACAACCACGCATACCAACTCATCACACGTTCAACAACAACAATAACAACAAATTTTTCAACTTTTATGAAAAATTACTATAACAACATTGATAATTTGGAAAATAGAGGAGAAAACAATCACAAGTCTCTGATGTATTAATAATTATTAGTATTTCCATCTCGTAGATAAGGAAACAGAGGCCCTAAGAGATTAAATAATTTGCCTGGGCCACACATCCTGTAACTAGCAGAAAGTTGGGATGATAACAAGTCTACACCAAATCTGCTGATTTGTGAAATAGGAAAAAATTTTCATTTCTGTCTCTTGTTTTCACTTAATAGTTTGAGAAGCTCAGGGCTAGTCCTATAGAGCTAGCCATTTCCCCCTAAGTAACATCTGCAAATCTAATTGCACCTGAAAATATATTCCATTATTTGTAACCTCCTTGCCTTCTAAGCTTGTGGCACAAGTTGACTAGAGGTGGGGTTCTTTGTTTGCTCAGCACTGTCATAAACTTGGTGAGCATCTGTGGTGGTAGAAGCTCAAAAAAGCCAAATTTCTCTGTGTAATAGAGGGGAAAGAGTTGTAAAGTTCCCAGAAGAAAAGTTCAGGGGAGAGGAATGAGAACTAAAGGGAAATCATTTGTATGGAAGGAAGGGTGTGGTCTAAAAGAAAAACCTCATAATAAAGAGCAGTTTTAGCATATAGAAACATTTAAAAATTGTTTCATTTTGAACTAATATACATTATCCCTGATGTAGATTCATACACAGCAGTAAGAAATAATACAGAGATATCCCCTAGGCATGTCACCCAGTTTCCCCCAGTGGTATTATCTTGGATAAGTACAGTTCAGTATCACAACCAGGAAACTGACATTGATAAAATCCACTGACCTTATTCAGATTTCACCAGTTTTACATGCACTTGTGTGTGTGTGCACAAGTGGGTGTGTGCAGATGCCGATGTGTATTTGGCTCTATGCAATTTTATCACAAGTGTAGATTGGTGTGAGCAACACCACAGTCAAGGGAAAGAACAGTTCCACCATAGGATTTCTAGTGTTGCACTCCTGTAGCAAACCATCTCCCTCCCCTCCCCATCCCTAACCTCTGGGAACCTCTAATCTTTTCTCCACCTCTATAATTGTATCATTTCAAGAATGTTATGTAAATAGAATCATACAGTAAACTTTTAATATGAAATTTTCAGTTATTTGTTGGGAAGTTTTGTGATATAAGCACCTCATCTGTCTTTCTAATGTCATCTTGAGTCTATGCTGCTTGCTATTGCTTTTACAACTTAGGCCACGGGGAGGCAGTATGTGATGGAATGCAAGTTCCTAGGAATTGAGAGATGTTGTAGGTAGAGCTTTGACTTTCAAAGACCACAGAATTGGTGGAACTGTGAGCCCACAGTACCTAGATCTCTAAGGGGCAAAAGAGGTACATGTGACATTGCATGAGATAATATTTGACATAGAGCAACTAGAGATGTGAGTGCATTCTGGCCACATCATCTGCTAACTGTGTAAGATGTTTCCTCATCTGTAAAATGAGGATGATAGTGATATCAACATCATAAGGTTGAGGAGAAGATGAAATAAAATACATTGTGTACCTTGCCTGGCATGTATAGTTTGAAACATTGTAGCTTCTCAGGTATATATTTATTTCACAAATATTTATAGAGCATTTCCTGTATGTCAGGAAGCACCAGGGTCAGATACAAAGGTGAGCAAGGGTAGATTAATCTCTAAGAAATATGTACTTCTTTTAGTTAAGTGGAGTATGGTTATAGAAAGCATACAAAAGCAGCAATAAAGCATAATTTAGTCCGATTTACTTTTCTATAGAAATATAGTTTTTTTGTTTGTTTATTGCCTGTTCCCTTCTGCTATTGATCCAAGCTGTTAATTATCACCTATCTTTCAGAAGAAAAGTGTTAATTGCTCCTTTAATCCTTAACTCCTTCATCTGTAAAATAAAACTTTATCTTTCCTACCTCTCAGGATTATTCTAGGGAAAGAATTTGGGAAGAACAGAGAAGGCAAAGTATGTAAAAGAATTGGTAAACAGCAAAGAGCTTGTGAATGTGAGGTACCACAAGAGCAGCATGGAGGAATGAGCACATACCTGGAGGTAGAAGTCCTGGGTTCAAATCCTGTATTAGCCACATGGTGCTAGTTGTGTGACTCGGAGCAAGTAATTCAACTACTTGGGGCTTCAGTTTCTTGACATGTCAAATAAGAATGACATCACACATAAGTATGTCTCTCTCTTAACGTTGTGCTCTGGGCACTACACACCACCCCCCGCCTCACCCCCACCCAAGTCCCTCTCTACTTTTCTCCTTTTCTCTGTGCTCTGGGTGCCTGATCCCTCTGAATGCCTCATCCAGCTCCCTGGCCAGTTAGCTGTCAATTAAATTTGGCCAATGAGAGGCATTGGCAAATCAGAAAGTTATGGGAAAGAAGCTGGGGCACTTCTTTGCTCTCTCTGCTTCTGTGCCTAGTATCTGGCAAGGATTGTGCCCCTCCTTGAACTCAGTCTCCAGGATAAACCCTCCTAGATGGTGCAATTCTCACTGAGCTTTAGTAACATTATATTTTCCTGGAGGTTGATAACAGCTGTCTACTGTTGTAAGTTTCTGGATGCCTCACCATCCCTTACTAGTTCACTTTTTCCTCTCTGCACCTCTGCACTCCTTTCATTAAGGTCTGTTCCCTTGAACCAGCTGAGCTAATTATTATTCCTGCCAAGATCCCAACTGGTACAGGTGGGAAGGGATTAAATTTAAATATAAATGAATATTATTTAGCCTTGGGTCTGGCACACAATAATAAACAGTGATTCTCAGGCTCTCATTTGTCTACATGATTTTGCTTAGTTTTTGTGCAGAGAGTACCTTCTTTTTATTCCTTATGGCTTACATCAAATCCACTCTTTTACATTAAGTACACACACACACACACACACAAATAGAGCAAGCCTGTTTTCCCCATCCAGAGATTATGCTGCCATGAATTTGCCTCTGTCAGCCCTTCCAGCTGACCCATAGATCCTCACCCTCTGTTTGGAAACTATCTGTATTTTTGTACTAAATGCTAAAGAAAGATCATGTGCAAGTTAGCAGAGCTTCTCCTGGGATTTTTACAGCCTGCTGTTTTCAGTTGAGAAGGTCTTGGAGTTTCTTGTTTGTTTGTTTTTTAAGATTTAGGCTCAGAATTGGAAGTTACCTTGGGGTTGTCTCCTTCAGCTTCTTTTTCATACATAACCCAATCCTTTTAAGCTCTAAGTAACTAAGAAGTGTGATTTGGAGAAAAATTAAAAGAAACCCCTGCTCTTCTCCCACGATATCCAGGCATGGATTAAGATGCTGTCATTTGAAGATCTTTCTGGCTGGATTTTTCTTCCCCTAAATGATTGAGTTAACACAATTAATTTTATAGCATCTCCTCTGGTAATCACAAATGATTTTTTATTATATAATTTCCAGTAGGAGAAAGATGGGTGAGTAATGAAGTTGTGTGACCAGAGACAAATAATGTGGTTGCCAATATTTGGAGTCTAATTCAATCTGTTTCCTGCCTTTGGATGCTTTAGACTCCTGGGATTTTAGGAATGGAAAGAGCCTTACTGATCACCAATCGATTCCTCTTACTAACCGATAAGGCCACTGTGTGAGGCTCAAATTTAGGAAATTACTTGCTCATTTAGGAAGATGTCGTATCTAGTTTTTATGGCTAATGAATTCAAAAGCATAATCTAAGTGTTGCTATTGATCTCAGAACCTTGAGTAGAGAAAGGTTACCATTTCCATTGACTGTTTTGGAAAGAAAAGCAAAAACGTGAGAATACTGATCTACATGACCCTCCGTTTAAAATTAAGAAGGAAATCTGCCTCCCTGGGCTCATGCTTGCTTTCTTGCTTGCTTTCTTTCTTTGCTTTCTTTTCTTTCTTCCTTTCTTTGTTTTGAGCCAACAAGCTCTGAGAACTATAATATTTGGTTTCAGTTTTTCTACATGTGTATGTCTGAATTCTACTTTTCTTTTTCTTTTCTCTTCTTTGAACCATGCAAGACATTTGCTTGTGTGAAAAAATCATAAATTTAATAAGAAAAGAAAAGAGGTATGTAAGAAAAGCTGGGCCCTTTATTCACCAGGTATTATTGGCACACAGCCCAGGACACATGTGGTTCTCAGGGAAAACCAGAACAGATTAAGACCTGAATAAGAAATCATTGGTTCCAAAATTCTTAGAAAATCCTTCACAAATGAAATTAATAAATATTTAAACATCTCCTAAAAATAACATTGTGTCAGCTTCATTCCTTGTTCAATTTAGTATTTATAAAAATTTCATTGTCTTAGAAAACATGTGAAGGTGAGATGTTCTTTCACAAATTCCCAAGTCTGCATGATAACTGCCAAGAAATCACTGACATTCTAAATTAAATGAGTTTTTGAGCCAACTAATTTTCAAGGCAAAATTGTAAATAAAAACCTTTCATTTTAATTTCCCTGCAGAGAAAATGATATTTAATGTGTGATGTGGGTACACATTATATTATTTATGTCATATGGACTGAGGCCTCCAAGAACAAAATACATGGGATCTTTGAGGGGCTTAAACGTGTGCAGAGGATGACAGGAGAAGTGGGAGGAACATTTTATAGTTCGCTGGAATGGGGTTCTGTACCAGTGCTCCACTAATGTTACATGAATAACATTACATGAATAATATTACAAGAGCCACCTTAGTAGAGTGGAAGGCACTGATGGTCACTGTTTCTGTTAGTAGAATGTACTTATTATCTATTACTATGTAACAAATTACCACATACTTAGCAGCTTTAAACAACAATTTACTATCTCATTATTTTTGCGAGTCAAGAGTCAAAGCTCTGCTTAAATGGGTCTTCTGCTTGGAGCCTCCCAGTATGCAATCAAGGTATCCACCAGGCTGTTTTCTCCTCCAAAGGCTCGACTGAGGAAAATTCACTTCTGAGCTCATTTGGATTTGCAGGCAGAATTATTTTTCTTGCACTCTTAAAAGCAGAAGAAGACTGAGGGTCTCACCTTTGCTAGGTCACAGCTAGAGGCTGCTCTTTGTTCTCAGAGGCTATCTGGCATTCCTAGAGGCTGCCTGTGGTTCCTAGAGGCTGCCTGCAGCTCCATGCCATGCTGGCTTTTCTCCTGTGGCAGATCACTTTATCAAGTCAACAAGAAGAGTCTCTAGAGTAAGTCTGATAGCAAGATGGAGTCTAATATACTAAAACACAATTATGGGAATAATAGCCCATCACCTTTGCCACATTCTGTAAGTTAAAAGCAAGTCATAGGTCTCTTCTACCTTCAAGAATAGATGGTTACACAAGAGCGTGAACACCAGTAAGTGGGGATCACAGGGGAGCCACCTATAAGCCTCTCCAATATTCATGGAATCTAAGGGCATGAATTAACTCAGCTTTTATGATTACACATTTAGAATAGTTCTGCTTGTAGAGAGAGGGCCATGGAACAAACCCAAGAGTGACCAGAACCACATTTATACAAAGAAGAGTATACATCATTTATAGAAAGAAGCTTATACATCTTTCTTTCAGTGACCTTTTCTGTCCTCCTGGGACTCTCAGCAGATGGCTTTCTAACACTCAGATGACTAGCATTTCTCTAAAAAGTGACATAACCAAACTTATCTTTCTTGGTAGCTGTCCATACAGAAGACCAGCCCCACTTCCACCATCAACAATTACCTGTACTGTGTTCCATTCCCTTGGACCCTATAAGCAATTGGAAAACTGCTCTTATATAGAAATACAAACTCATAAATTCAGGGTGAATAATTACCTTATTTATTGTTCAGCATGAATTGCATTTTCATGATAATAAAACATGCAACATTATGTCAGCTCAGGGTTGTAAGAATTACGGTAATTTTAGTCCCTGAGGTAAGTCTACTTGGGAAAATGTTTGGGCACATTATACTAAAAATGTCAGACCTAGAAAATTATATACCAGGACAGTTTGTGCTGATGGGAATAGGAAGGCTGGCCAATAGAGGGAGGCCATCCTCTATAAATTATCTGAAGCCAGTTGGACTCATGTGCTTGTTCTTATGATTTTGACAGCTGTGATTACTGTGGCCATCTTTCAACCATAGTTTCTCCTAGATTTTTTGCTTAAGCTTTGGATTTTACATTTCTTGCAAGGCTTACTTGGTATCTACCTCTGTCCTATGCATAACTCTGCTTTCTTTTCTGGGTAAGGCTTTTCTATGTCATCCATGCTTTCCTGGCATCTAATCCCAGCCCAACCACAATTTTGACCCAGCCATCCCCTCTAGGCACTGAAGGTTGTAGTGACTTTACCTCAGTTTGAAGCCTCAAGTAAGAAATACTGGACTGTGTTGTTAAGACAGCATAACTAGCTGCTGTAACAAAACCCCAGAGGCTTAATAAACAGTCAGAGTTTATTGCTTATAGACACCTGAGGATAAGGCAGATGTTCCTGGTCAGGCAACTCTCTCAAAATACAGTGATGCTGGGACCCAGGCTCCTTCTACCTGTGTCTCTGCCATCTTTAACACATGACTTCCTCCATCACTGGGTACATCTGTATCAAGACATAGAGAGGGAAAGATAATGGAAGAGTGTACATGGAAGGTTTTATGGGTTAGGTTTTATGGGTTAAGCATGGAGTAATACCGATCACTTCTTTCGCTGGCCATACCAAATGCAAGGGAGTCTGGGAAATGTAGTATAATTATGTGGCCAGGAAGAAGGGGAAACTTAGCAGCAGTTTCTGCCACATGTAACCTTTAGGCAGCCATGAATTTATACCCACATTCATGCTTGGTGGGCGGCACCTTTAAGGAAAGGGACAGTAATCAATTATTTATGTAGTAAACAAGTACGCAGAACTTAATATGTTAAAGCTACTACTCTAAGTGCTTTTTAAATAATAATTCATTTAATCCTTGTACCACCCAATAAAGTAAGTACTGTCACTATCCTCACTTACAGAAGGGATCAGGATTGCACAGAGTGCTTAAGTAGATTGCTCAAGACAACAGCTCCAGTAAATGGCTGGAGTGAGAATTTGAATCTGGGCATCCTGACTTCAGAGTATGTGTTTCATAGCTATGCTGACTCTTTATCAGTACTGTGACCTTTTATCAGAATGAAACCTTTTTATTCGTAAGAAAATTGGATATTTTAGTACAGCCCCCTGAGAAAAAACAATATTATCCCCATTTTATAGATTATGTAGTACAGTTCACAGAAGTTAATGGACCTCCCCAAATCACACAACCAGAAGCAGTAAATTGCCATGGCCTTTGGGAAGAATTCAACTTTGAATTGAATTCGATGTTCCTCAGGCCACATCTGGTTTTTCTGGATGGCGATTTGAGTGTGTTCCCCTTAGAGACCATTTTGGTGCTACTTTTATAGGCAAAAATGTTTGTATTATATCTAAGGCAAAAGACTCATGTCTTAGTTCATTTGGGCTGCTATAACAACGCCATAAACTGGGTGGCTTATGAACAGTAGAAATTTATTTCTCAGAGTTCTGGAGGCTGGAAAGTCCAAGATTAAGGTGCCCGCATATTCAGTGTCTGATGATGGCCCACTTCCCTGACAGCGGGGTTCTCACTGGTGGAAGGAGCGAGGGTCTTTCTGGGGTCTCTTTTATAAGGCCACTAAAATTATTGAACAAGGGCTTTGCCCTCATGACCTGGTAATCTCCTGAAGGTCTCACCTCCTAATACCATCACCCTGGAAGCTAGGATTTCAACATATGATTTTTGCAGAGACACAAACATTCAGACTATAGCAAATCATTTAATCCAAGAAGGGAAGAGTAGATATTGTTACCTTCAAAGTATCTTGAGGTCTTAAGTATGGTGTAAATTGACAGCACAAATACAAAGAATGGTTCTGTGTCGGGTGATGCCAGTGACCACTGGTATTAAGAAGTATAGTAAGCTGGCTAGGCGCAGTGACTCACGCCTGTAATCCCAGCACTTTGGGAGACTGAAGCAGGTGGATCACCAGGTCAGGAGTTCGAGATAAGCCTGGCCAACATGGTGAAACCCCATCTCTACTAAAAATACAAGAATTAGCTGGATGCAGTGGTGGGCACCTGTAATCCCAGCTACTCGGGAGGCTGGGGCAGGAGAATTGCTTGAACTTGGGAGGCGGAGGTTTCAGTGAGCAAAGATTGTGCCACTGCACTCCAGCCTGGGCAACAGAGTGAGACTCCATCTTGGAAAAAAAAAAAAAAAGAAATACAGTAAGCTTTAGAAAATCCTTCACATGATTCACATTTACTTATTATTGAAAAATAATGCATAAAGCTATTCATGTGACCTTCACACTTCTTTGAGTGAAGGTTACAGAGTATTAAAGAATTATATCACAGTGATTTGACCTTTATACTTCATGTTTCAGTTTCTGAAAAATACTTAAAGATCTGCCTTTTAAACTCTTCCCTTGAATTTTCAGATTTTTGTCAGATTCATCATAAGACAATGATCCTTTAAAAACATAAAACAAAAAAATTGGGACAGTATCTCTGTTTCAGCCTTTTAATTACATTTAGCAAATAACTGTATAACTTTATTCTTTATTTTTGATCTATTGACTTTCTTATTTAAGTATCATGACCATATACCTGATCTCTTTGGATTGCACCATGAGCTTATTAGTGCCTATTTTATGAATGTCATGATTCTAGCATCAGTAACAAATGACTCTGCTTTAAGAAACCTATTTTTCATCTCTAATGCTCTCACTATAAAAAGTGCAATGAATCTCTAAAAAATAAACCCCAAGGTTTTTGTTAAACTTAGATTTGTAAAATAAAATTTTAAAAGCAAAATAAATAGGAAAGGGATTTTTACCATTCCAACATAACCCTTTAGATTTCTGTATATCTGTATAGCTCTCCTTTTGTCTTTATATATAAAATGCAAATTACAATGCTTACAGATTACTTGGAAATTTATAGATGAATTTCATTTACATATGTTATGTAATATATTAACCACATTTCTTGGAAGTAAATGTAACTAGGTTTACTTGGCTTCAGTTTACACATAAAGGAACAGAGGCTCTGAGATGCACAGTGACGTGTTCCTGCCCCACAGCTCAGACGGGACAGTTGGAGGCCTGTTCTTTTCACAAAGACTGACAGTCTGGTTTTTCCTGACTCTTTCTGCTGACCAAACACTAATAGGAATATTTCCACTAAAACACTGGCAGTCAGAGTCCGTTAATGAAGGAAGAGCCTTCTACAGGTTCCCAGAAATCTTCTGGACACTTGACCTTCTTCCTAAACACTTCATTCTCATAATAGTCCTTTGGAGTTCATGTTACTATCCTCCTTTTCATAGCTAAAAAAACCCATAAAATTTTGAGAGACTATGAGACTTATCCAGGAGTTCATGGTTAATACCATAAAATTTGAATTCAAGCCTCTGTTCTTCTAGATCACAATTCTGTGCTTTAAAAACATTTATTTCAAAGTAAAAAGTTATTTTTAAATACTCCGTGTGTGTTTAGACATACCTGTATTACGCTAAACAGTGAATCTTAAGTAAACACCTGTACTGGTTTGGACAATACATAAAGTGAGGAGAAATTGGTCATCACTCTGGGCTCTGTGTGGTGGTTGTGTGCATTACTGATTGAGTGAATATGTTCGTGTTAATGGTCATGTTCACCTTCAATCTTTTTTCACTCTTGGTATCTGAGCTCACCTGGTAAGTATGTTCTAATGCTTTCAGATGAGAATATTCCCTTTTGTATTTGGGGTTGATACACTTAATCTGGTATTTCATAGTTTTCTATACATATTTATTTGTGGAGCTCTGTAATGAGACAATTTGAGGATTTTGTCATAAAGTAGTGATTGACTTTTATATGAAAAACAGTTATTTGCCTACAACAGTGAAATCCTGAGGACAAGACCTAGGGAAAATTTGTCACTCAGCCTGAAATTGAACAATTTTCTTTTCTCTGGTGCTTGGAAACAAATGAGTTTATTTCCTAAAGAAGCCAAACTAACATTTAAGTAAATCTATGCCTTCATATTCATATCTTTATAAAATGGATTTACCTGAGTGAGAGAAAGATGAAATCAAGGACCATTTTTTTTTTCTTTCTTGGATTCTGTGTTGTAAGGATGTTAGATTTTATTTACATCTGTGCATTGACATAGTGATGAAAAGTGAATCCTAAGTTCTGTCAACAGTTTGGTCCTGAAGTAACAAAATTTAAAAGAAATGAATTGGTTATTTCTGTTTTTTTTAATAGAACTATATTTGAAAACAACTTTACTTGGAAAAATGTATTCTGTGTGACAGCATATTGTTAGCCTGTTTGCTGTGAGACTGTGTGACTTGGATGCACCCCAACTTCTCACTCCTGGTCATGGTTGGTTTCTTCTCCCTGGTATTATTTACACATATATTTACTGTCAAGTCACCAAGCGGTCCTCTCTCATGAGGTCCGGCTCACTGCACTTTCCCCCAGCTGAAGTCTACTTGCCAAAGTTCTGCCTGGCTAGGCTGACCCTGTTCAGCAGCCAGAGGTGGTAACAAGTTGCCAGCTGTTGGGGCTGTTACTGTGAAGACCAGCAGGAGAAATGCCCTGTGGGCTTGCTAAGGATCCCAGGAGCAGTGGGCTGGGACACCTGCCAGGGTGCTGCTCAACAGATTCTCTCTTCATGCATTCACCTCCATTTGAAGCACCGGGCAAGGAGGTGGGCCTTGAGCAAATAGTTATTGAGAAGTGCCCATCTCTCCAAGGCCCTGCACTCAGTGTTTTTGAGTGAGGATTAGATATAAGATGTGGTATTATGCCCATTTGCCTAATAAAGAAATATTGCTAAATGTTCTACATTTAGCCGTGGACAGGGCCAGGATCCAAACCCAGGTCTTCTGACTGAGCACTCTAAAGTCATTAAAAGATAGGATATAATTTTTTTAAAAAATTTAAATAGATAATTTTTTATAGAAGTTTTAGGCTCACAGCAAAATTGAGCAGAAAGTAAAGAGTTCCCATGTTCCCCCTGTTCACCCCCATGTGTAGCCCATTATCAACATCCCACACCTGAGTGGTACATTTGTTAGTTAATGAGGCTACACTGACACATCATTAGCACACAAAGTCCATAGTTTACATTAGGGTTCACGATTGGTGTTGTACAGTCTATGTGTTTTGACAAACGTATAATGACATGTACCTACCATTATAGTATCATACAGCATAGTTGCACTAAATTTTTAAATAGCAATGATAAAGGCCTTCTGACTCCAAATCTAGTGACTCTTCCTTGTGACTTCAGCTGCCCCAGTAACCCCTGGAGAAGGAAAAGAAGGTCCAGAGATGAGCAGTTGTGGATGGAGCACAACAGAGAGGATGTGTGTTCAGGTCTGTGGGTCACACTGGTCTGGTTGCAAGCCTCTAGTATCTTCCAGTTTTTGAATAGTACTATATGTAAAATATCACGTTATAAATTTTGTGCTAGTCCACAGTGTGAAGTCATTAGATGGTTTTCACAGGGATACCCAAGAGCAAACAAGGAACATGAAAGACAGAGTGTGACACAGAGGCAGGATAAAATAGGGGTTCTGAGTGCAGGGTCTGGAATGAAAGTGATTCAGTTTGTCTCATGAATTTGCTACACAGCAACTGTGAATCATTAGGCATGTTGTTCTACTGCTCTGTCCCTCCATGTCTTCATCTGTAAAATGAGAATGATGGTACCTACCTATATCAGTTTGTTAAGGCTGCCACAACAAATGAGCCCACCAAACTAGGCTGCTTAAAACTGCAGAAATGTGTTGTCTCACAGATGCATGCTACGCACCCAGTGGGTTTGTGCCAGAACTAAGAAAATCAGGGTAAAGAGCCCTGCACTTTTCATAGCAAGCAGTAAGGAAGCTGCTTTCTGTCCATAATACACTACTTCACCTCTCAAGACTGCTATTCGGTATAAACAATCCTGAGAAACGGCCTGGTTAAACAGTGAAAGAGTAAACAGGACCCTGCAATGTTGACCTATTCAGCAAGACACATAAGAGAACAAGAGGCCAGGAACAACTGTTTCCCAAGAAGGACTAGATCTCATATGGAGGTTCCAGAAAGGCTTCCTTGAGAAATTGTATTGGAGAGTGCATTTAAAAAAGGTGAATAGAAGTTATCCAGGCAAAGAGGAATTTGGAAAAGAAGATCATATGCAGAGGTGAGAGCATGAGCATTGTCAGGCTAGGAAATCTTGAGGTCCAGGGAGGCTGGGGGGCATTAAATGAGGAGGTGGAGGTGAATGATAAGATTGAACAGGTAAGCAGGGATGGATCACACAGGACCCAGTAGGCTGTATTAAGGGTTTTAATGAGTATACTCAGATTTGTGGGAAGCCACTGGAGAGTTTTAAGCAGTAAAGGTGAGACTTTATTAGAATAATAACAATCTCTTTAGAATTTTGACAATCAAGATGAATTTTCCACCTGTAACCATGACTACAAATAAGGCAAAAGCAGCTTACATCATTTATAATACAGTCCATGTTTGTGATAAGTTTCTGATTAGCTAAGAGAGTAGTAGAAAGTCTCTTCAAATATTGTTAATACAATACAAATCTTTTGTTAATTAATATCTATAATTAGTACTTGAATAAATTATCTTTACAAGTTAGATGTATGATTTTGATAAGTAAGTTACTTACCAAAGCCATATTTTTCTTCCAAATTATGTGAGCACTTACTATATGCAAGGTACTCTGATAAATCCTGCTAGAATCATTTTGAGACATCCCATACACTTGAGCATTAATTATATTGTCTTATTTATCTACTTTTATGGAACAAATTATTTATGATAACATATTAGAATATCATCCATTGCCCAATGATTACTGTACTTGCAACTTTATCAGCTCCAGTTGTACCTTTTTGTTGTTGCTAAAGGAAATGAAGATAAAAGATTAGCATTAGTCTATCTGTTCTTAAGTTGGTTTGAATACCTTGAGGCATGGAGTAATCACTTACCTTGCATTTCTCAGAGCCCTCACCAGTCCTGCCTCTGTAGACTAATTACGTTACTGTTCTGTTTCCTCCATTTGAACAGCTAGTTGTCACAGTTCCTTGAAATGGAGCATAAATATCTGATTTGATTTTGTTTTTTAGTCTGCAGTCACAGTCAAAAACCTGTTACTGTGTCCTGAACTGAACATGGTAAATCTATTTCCTGAGCATTCCCAAGGATTGTTCAGAGGCAAAAAACTGCTTGAGGTGTGTACCCAAAGAGAATATAAGATCTTGTGTTCTTCATAGCTGGTCTCCAAGGCCCCACGGGCTTTGTCCGTGAGAAGCTGCGTTGTTCAGATATCCATGATGGTAAGTGCACTGAGGGGCAGGTCTTTTCCCCCCCCCACCAGATGGAGTCTCACGCTGTCACCCAGGCTGGAGTGCAGTGGTGTGATCTTGGCTCACTGCAATGTCCACCTCCCAGGTTCAAGCGATTCTCCTGCCTCAGCTTCTCGAGTTGCTGGGATTACAGGCACCTGCCACCATGCCCGGCTAATTTTTTATATTTTTAGTAGAGACGGGGTTTCACCATGTTGGCCAGGCTGGTCTCGAACTCCTGACGTCAGGTGATCTACCTGCCTCAGCCTCCCAAAGTGCTGGAATTACAGGCGTCAGCCACCGTACCCAGCCCGGGGGCAGGTCTTTTATTTTATTTTATTTTTTATTTTTGGAACGTAATGCCAAATTATGGCCCAAAATACATAATATTGGCTTTCTCACATCCCACTGAGTCTTTTTATAGTCTTAATAATTTGATTATTACAATTTTTTAAGTGTTAGAAAAACAGCCTGAGAGGGTGCTATAATTGATATATATGTAAGCCTTCAGCATATATTCCTGTAATTAATATATATTAGGTCTTGATAATTTAAATGGC
This sequence comes from Homo sapiens, assembly GCF_000001405.40. NCBI lineage: Eukaryota > Metazoa > Chordata > Mammalia > Primates > Hominidae > Homo > Homo sapiens. Next base: position 159,142,966 of record NC_000003.12, read on the forward strand.
CATTTGTTTTTCATTATCATGCCCAAAATAATTTCTGTGAAAACACAAAATCCAGTCACATTTGGGCAAACTGCTTTGTGTATGTTGCTGCATTTTTTAACCATCAAGTGTGTACAGTCATATCCGTACATCAGCTCTTAAGAAAGAAAATTCATGTTTTTGGAACAAAACACTGAAGTCACCATCTCAGCATCACATAGCCAATGATGAAGTGTGAAAAAATCACAGCATCTTTGGTAGCAATGCTTATAAAACTCACATAGTCCACAGCAGGACCACATTTAAAGATTCAGGGCCTAAATCACATCTTTATTAGTATTTCTCTTAAGTATGGTCCAAGTACTGTTCCATACAAATTCTCAGGGTTCTTTCTATTCTTGAAGAGCTTGAACCTCTCAATAGTTCCTTACCCCACTACCCTAGAAGAATCTTTTTTCTCATTTCTGTTGATCTCTTTCTTTATCATTTAGTTCCTCATCCCTTCGTTGCTCTTTTCTTCATGGTCACATACCACATTATATTCTCTCTTCACCACAAAAGCTCCATGGACGCTGTATTATTCTCCTGTTGCCTTAAACCCAGAGCGTGGGTCATTGTTCTTCTCAGAGAAGCAGACAAGGATTGGGCAGGAGAAGTTAAACATTAGTTTCCTGAGTGGTCTTGACAGGTTGGAGGAAGGAGAGAAGGTCATGAATCTCCATGTGTCAGTAATTATCTCTAAAATAAATGGCAGTGTTTACTTCAAAATTATAGCCAGTCAACTCTTTCTGTGCTTCACAAGAATATTGGAGCCAGGAGGTACGTCTTAGTCCACTTGTGCTATTGTAACAAAAAATCTGAGATTGGGTAATTTATAAAGAACAGAAATTTATTTCTCATGGTTCTGGAGGCTACAAGACAAAAGATCAAAGCACTGGCAAGTTTGGTGTCCCTTGAGGGCCTGGTCTCAGCTTCCAAGATGGCATTTGGGATGCTGTATCCTCCTGAGGGGTTCAATGTTGTATCTTCACATGGTGGAAGGCAAAAGGGACAAAGCCTGTGCCCTCAAGTCCTTTTATAAGCATACTAATCGATTCATGAGGGTGCAGCCCTTATGCTATAATCACTTTCCAAAAGGACCTGTTTGTTAATTCTGTTGAACTTGGAATTAAGTTTCAACATGAATTGTGGAGGGGGCACGAACATTCAAACCACAGCAAAGTATACTAGAAACCAAAAGGGAAATTGATGTTCTGATAGATGAAGTGACCCAAAGAAGCTTGAACATTTATTCAGTTGCAGATCCAGGACTGAACCCAAGCCTCTTGAACCTTTGTTCTTACTATCCTTATGCAATATAGTTGTCTAAAAAGTCTTCAGTTGTGTGCAGGAACACTAGACTTGAAGGTTGTGTGTGTTCAAGCACAGATAGCTGGCACATCTTTGGCATGATTTAGGGATCATGAGTATCTCTGATACCAACCCTAGGCTGAACAAACATGTAGTTGACAATTCCTTTCTCACCAGTCCTCATAAATCCTCTAAGGTGAACAGATAGATGAGAATCAGCAATGTTAAGTGACCTGTTCCTGGCAACATTGCTGGCTGAAGGATTGAGCCACAACAAATTCCCAGATCACCTGACTTCTGACTTCTGGTCTGTTTTTCAGTCTTACTGCCATATTCTATCTAGACGTACACACACATACACACACAGACACACACACACACACACACACACACACAGAGTTCCTGCTGCATTTCAAATCATTGTGTAACATAGAGAGTTGTAAGATCTTGGTATCTTATTTGGGTAGAAAAGACAACATCAGTACCTGAAGGAGGAAATAAAGCAATGATTCATCATTAAATGAAATTTTTTATCCTTAAAGAATCAGATACGAAGAAATGGCCTCATTTCTAATAAAGAACATTTTCATCCTCTATTAATTTGCTTGAATTGTTTCCACCTTTTCTTCTAGTACTGCTCACAGATGGTTAAAAGTCTCCTCAGAAGGAAAGCAAGCATCTGAGTGATCATATTCTTCTTTTTCCTTTTCTTTTGCTGCTGTATCACTGAGCTTGAAGCAATGAGATCACCTCTGTTTCCTTTCATTGGTGTTATTCAGGTTAGCAGAAAATTCTGCCTCCTTCATCTGTCAGGAGTTTCAGTCTTTTGCTTTCTTTGAAATCTGACCTCTGAACAAGGCTGTAACATCCAGAAAATAGTAGCTGAATTGATTTATTTCAGATTGTTGCTATGGTGATTTCCCTACTGATGTAGACAGAAAATGAGGGAGAGAAAAGAGTGTGTTGAAAAGAATGGTGGAGAAAGGGTCAAACCAGGAAAAAGACATGAACTGTGGAAGGCATTTCTGACCCATCTACCCATGCATAGAGTTAAATGTCTTCTTCTGTTTACTGTTAATTCATCCATAGTGATCACAAACAATCTATTTGCATTTTAAGAAGCAATGAAATGCTTTTATCACATAGACAGCTAACTGTATCATAAGTAGCCTTAAAATTTCCAGAGATTTTTTTTTCACAGGAATAATGAGTGTGAGTTGTAAAAAAATGTTTGTGACCAGAAGCATTTTGATTCTTGAAATAGTTTCCCTTTAGTATGCTTTTTTTTTTTTTCTAAATATATTTCTTGACATCATAGGAGAGACTTTTCCGGAGAAAAAGTGAATGTATCCATAAATTTTAATCAATCACTTATTTTTTCATCTCTCCAACTTTCTGTCCATTCTTCCATTCAAAAAATACTTACTGATCCTATATTCCAGGCTCCAGCTATACATTGATACATTCAATGAATATTACTAAATTTAACAAATATGTTTTGGGCATTAAACATGCAAGAAAACATATAGGTCAAAGTGAGATGCAGAACTGAGTAGAGTCTTTGTCCTCAGAGTGATCATAACCTGGAACAGGATGGAAAATTTAGACCCGCATACATCAAAATGAAGAACCATTATTATTGTACCATAATTATCGGAGCCAACAAGTAGCTATTTCTTCGAAGGCTACATGAAGTAGATTTGGGGAGAAAACTAAAGGACATACAGGATTTTGATAGGTACATTGAAGTAGAATGGAGAGGAAGAGAACCTGTGGGAAGTGCATTCAATTGTGATTGGAAAGGGGCAATTACATTGGCCTCCTTTACAGATTGAAGATTAACAACATGAGTAGAGACCATCCCACTATTCACTCACATCATTGGCCTTTGAAAGGCAGGAGCTGAACTTGGGACATGGTGTTAGCTCTAGTTTGAAGATGTGGCAAATTGATGCCATTTGTTTGAGTGGAGGTGAGGGTAAGAAGGCTTTGGAAATAAACATTTGGAGCTGCTCTAAATCCAAGTAAAAAAAAAGGAGGCAGTGTAAATACAACAGAATGGAAACCAAGTGGAGTGCAGTCACAGGCACTGTTTTCTAGGCCTTTCTTGCCTCCTGTGCCCCTTTGAAGCTTACTTTAGATTTCAGCCACATAAAAGAAGAAGGAGAGGGGTATTCCATTCCTTCACTTCACGATGCAAGCTTCTTTTAACCCTGTCTTTACACGGGATTGGTTGCATAGATGGTGAGGGGCAAGAATCAAGGGTGTGTTCATGTCTCAAGCCTGGCCTTGACACTGTGTTTAACTTCAGACAAGTCATTTAACTTCCAGGAACCTTAGATTTCCCATCTGTCAGGGCAAAACAACTTATGAGCTGAAACATTCCATAAGACCACAATATTAGAATTGGAAAGGACCGTAATAATTTAACATATATTTTCAAATATGTAAATAAAAGCTTCAGAATAAAGGAAATATGATAATTCTCACTTTATTAATTCATCAGCTGTATCTCCTCACTGATGAGAACTTTGTGATTCCATCACATATTTCAGCCAAGATTAAATAGTCAAGGGCTGTCAGGTGGGCTCAGCTTCCTAAGACTTCATTACTATTAAAAATACACTTTGAAGAATTATAAATAATTAAAATCTATGTCAGTTATTAAAATAAATGAACAACGGCTATATCCCTGTTTTTTACACAGAGGTTTTCAGCATCTATGAATTAAGTCACACTGCTCATTGTCTGCCAGGATTTAGCCTTGAGAACATTCTATTCATTTTTCACATTTGTGTAATTTCCTTTTAATATGCCAATGTAGAATTTATGCTAATTTTTACTAAAGTCATGCTTTCATATCAAAATGAGGTTCCATTTGAGCTCCTTTAATTTAAGGATGGGAGAATAGACAGAAGCATTTGTTTAGTGCAAAGGGAAATGATTTATTTATTTGTTCCTGGAATTCAGGCTGAGATTAAAATACGCATTCAGGCATAAAGACTATCATTTTCAGCAGGTCGTAAGAAATGTGACCAGCTGATGCTGAGCACTTCCCTTTTCAATCACAGCCTTTGCTTCTCCTCTTCCTCATAACTTCTATCATGAAACAGAATAATAGGTTACGTTTTCAGATTAAGACAGAAGATATGAGACCTCTGAAGAATAAATATGAACTTCCATGGATATCTGTCTTCTTTCTCAGAACTTTATACTCTCAATAGCAGACTGAGCTTGACCTAGATCCTGAAACATCCTGCGAACTGATTGTGACCTTAAGCAAATCTCAGTGAGACCAACAATTTTCTTTCTTTCTGAAGAAGGTGTGGTTGGGGGAGGGGAATTAAGAAGATGGAAGTAACAAAATAATTAATATTACAAAGCAATTACTGTTACCGAACTTTTTTATCAATCATCTCAGTTTATTCCAGGATAACAAATATATGAACTCTGTATGGTCATCTTGTCAACATAATTCATGGTTATCTTGTCTACATAATTTTACATCTGAATCTCTCTTTGAAACTTACTAAAAGAGGAATGACAAAGTTTTCAAGGATACTAACTACAGCAAGAGAATCGTGGAATCGTGAATTTGTTTATACATCTTTCTGCTAAGATATTCATTTATAAAAGTAGTTCTCAATGTGTGGTCCCCAGACCAGCAGCATCAACAGCGCCTAGGCATATGTGCAAAATGCAAATCCTTGGGCCCCACCCCAGAACTGCTGAATCAGAATCTCTAGGGGTGGAACCCAATAAGCTACACATTTTAGTATGTCCATTGTTGAACTCAAACTGGATAGCACCTTACATTAGGAAAGTAGATTGCCTGGCTGTACTGATATATGTACTTTATTCCTCACTTAATGTTTTTGTTTCCTATGGATTCTGTGTCTCTTTAACTAATCGTGTTTTCCTCTTTAATTTTGGCTGCTAGGAATCTCACAGCCAAATTTGAAGGCTTATACAGATCTTCCAGCCTCCTTCCTATGTCTGTTTTTGTTTTCTGCCCTATTTTCCCTTTGTCCTAATTTCCCCACTTAATTATCTTATGTGAACTATTTTGAAAGATGATGTATTAAGTAAGCAAACTTGTTCATTGGCATGAGTAGTAAGTGAATATCCCTGACAGGATTTCCTGTTGTCAGTTCTCAATATGTTTATTTTATTCACAAAGTAAAAACTTCATTTGGGATATTCTCGAAAGAATCTGTAAGATATATGCTTAAATATCCAGGCTCATTTTATCTGATAGCTCCCACATACTGACATCTTTCTAGTACAAAGTGATCATTAACTTAAATACATTGAAACTGAGAAGTCCTATTTACCTCTTATAGGTACCATCTTTTCCTAATGGCAGTGACATTTTTCATCAAAGATTCCCTTGCCATCAAAGTCATTCCTTTTGAAATTGCAAAATCACCTCTGCCTAATGGTTTTATTAACACATTGACAGCCAAATGTGATTGTAAAAGATGGATTTTTTTTAACAAGTGCTTTCATTTAAGATGGATAAGGTCAAAGGTTATATAAAATTTCAGCTTTCAGGAAAATTCAAATGTGCCGCATCCACTCCTTCAGGTGCCTCTGACACATTTTGGCAACAATACCATAATTAAGAAAGTCAGGATGAAGCATAACATCAACAGTATGATCTGGGTCACTATGGATGGCACCTCTGTCACCTTTTAATTGTGTCAGATCTGTGCAGCAAGCAGAAATATTTAGTTTATTTAGTGGTTTGTGAGCCCACTAAATAATTAAAATAAACAAATGACTAATTTGCTTACTTTTAATTTTTATCCAATCTACATTAATTAATAATTTACAAGGTAAAAATGAATAGTAGATAAAAATGACTTTTCTTCCGGTGCTCACACGGGCACAATCCTGGACAGATTCTGCTTTATTGACTGCTCATTTGTAGTAGAAATAACCCCAGAGAAAACAGTGTTCAATGTGAACCAGGCTTTAATAAAAGGAACGGCAGACTCCGGAGGTTTTTTCTATTTCCATATAATCCCAGGATCATTTGTCTGGAGCTGTTTTTGAATTATTCATATGAACGGTAGCTCTTTCAGATATTAGATGTGAACAGCTTCTATCGTACAGTTTCACAGGCAGTGTCTTTTTTGCTGGCCTTTTAAAAATAGAGCTTTTTTTTCCTGTTCCAAATTGCTCTTTGGTAGTTCTGAGTGGGGTTGTATTAGCAAAACGTTAAACATTAAGAGGCTGTTTGGGGGCTACTGCTAAGATTTCTGCAGGTAAAAGAGAAGAGAATGGAGAAATATAATGGGAATATGATATTCCTGGGAAAGCCTTCATTTTGAAGCAGCTTTTGAAAATCTCAGCATAGTCTCCTGGTGTAAGCATTGTTTAGGAGACTCAGTTAACATTTATTCTCATTCACTGTAATCTAAACTACAAGTAAATTGGATTTGAAGGATTTACTCGGCTAAGCCTATTGTTCTTATATCCCATTTGACACCAAGCATTGAATCTGTTCTCAGCCTTCAGGAGAAAAACAAGGCTCTTTAGGGAGGCTTCCAAGGGCAGGGAGGTGTGTTCCCTCCATCTCTCCCCTGACTCATCTCTCCCTGCCTCCTTCATTCACTTTACCTGCCAGTATGCCAAAGTCCTTTAAGTTCTCCCATCCACCAGGAAGATTCTTTGTCTCTTCTTTGCACTGTCTCTTTTGCCTAAAATGCCTAGCACTTCCCACCCACCAACACCCTATTTTCCCTGCTTTTATCTACTTCTTTATCCTTTGAACTTAGATTAGTGCTCATCTCCCCTAATCCCAAGATGGTTGTTGATTGCCTGGGTTGGAGGGTTTCCCCAGAAACCAACCCAGAACAGGGATTTGAATGCAAGTAGTCTCTTGGAAAGTGATTCCAGGAAATACTGATAGGGTAGTGGGTAAGTGAGAGAGGGAAGGGATGGAAACCGATAGAAAGTATATTGTATCATAAGCAGTTGCCACTGTGAGCAACTGAAGCTCACCCTGCAGGGGAGCTCTGGGTGACAGTGTAGAGTTAGGCCATCCAGGGAGGAGCAAGCTGAAGTATGTCTTCCGGTTCCCATTTGCCATTGGCTGAGGGCTGAGGGCTGCTCCTGGAAGTACTGAATGAATCCCTGTGAGTCTGGCCTGTGCTATGCTGTGAAAAGAAGACTGGTGGAGAATTGCAGATGGGCTCAGTAGGATGCACAGGCATAAACTGGAGCAGTGAGAGCCACGGAGGGTGTGTATCAGGCACCAATAGCATATGTTGCATTGTCCCCAACACACACACACACACACACACACACACACACATATTCTGGGGGCTGTGCTTCTGTAGGTTGAGGGTAAGAAACTGCTTGTCCATTTCTGTACCCTTTGTGTCCTAATGTAGTACTCAGCACACAGTAACTATTCAGTGAACATTTGTTGAAGTAGCAAGTGTAGAATGATTGAGTGCCTCTGTTAGACTGCCCCATCCTGAGTTTTGATTTCCAGTGCTTCCTCATAAGCACATTCTGCCAATCATTGAGGCACCTTCATCTGCCTACTCAGCTCTCATGGTTCAGAGCGTCATATCCATGTTTCTGAATGACTACCCTGGTGCTTTGATTTTCCATGAATGGATAAATATTGCAGCCCGTGCCATCCCCTGGTCCTGCGTGCTGCTCTGTCAGGCCTTTTCAGGTGGAGGTAGCCAATGTTGGGAGTTGTGTGGGAATGCAGGTGGGAAGGTAGTGGGGATAGAATCAATGTCAAACTTTTAGCCCCTGTGTCACCTTCCACCTTCCTTGCAGCACACTGGATTGGGTGGCAGATGTTCCCAGAGCCCGGCTCTTTGGAAGGAGCAGAACATCTCTTCCACCAGAAAGCTTCCCAACTCCAAGGCAATGGGTAGAGAGCCATTTCCTGGAAACAATAATCTTAGCCTGGTGGCGTGGGGAGCCACTGTGCTCTGTCAGCCCACACCCTCCTTGTGTGTTCCCTCCCTGAATGCCAGCCGGCCCTGTGCTTCGGAGGCCAGCACTTCCTGCCAGAGCATCTAGAATCCAGCCTATTTGGCCTGTGTCTTCCAGTTTGGCTGACTGGCTCGGCTCTGTCCTCAGCACTGCTGTTCTCTCCAACTGAGTTCTTCAGCATGCTGGACAGCCTGTCTTTCTTTCCAACCTTCCACCTGCTGCTCTGGCCTGCTGTCTCCCCAGCCTGTCCTCTGTGGAGCTGCCCCTCCTGTGGCTGTGGCCCTAGGAGAGCTCAGTCAAGTTACTTACCTGCACTGGTCTCAGTTTCCTTCCCAAAAAACAAAACAAAAACAAAAAAACAAAATTTAAGGAGAGTCAGACTAGATTTTTTTTGAGACGGAGTCTCGCTCTGTCGCCCAGGCTGGAGTGCAGTGGCGCTATATTGGTTCACTGCAAGCTCCACCTCCCAGGTTCACACCTTTCTCCTGCCTCAGCCTCCTGAGCAGCTGGGACTACAGGTGCCTGCCACCACGTTTGCCTAATTTTTTGTATTTTTAGTAGAGACGGGGTTTCACTGTGTTAGCCAGATGGTCTCAATCTCCCAACCTCGTGATCCGCCCACCTTGGCCTCCCAAAGTGCTGGGATTACAGGCGTGAGCCATCACACCCAGCTCAGACTAGATTATTTTTAAGACTCCTTCTAAATATCAGATTCAATTCTGTGACCCAAGGTTGTTCCCACTACCCTTCCCAGCCAGATACCTAATTTCTAGGTTTGTGATCCATGCTCGATTTGGTGAATTCCGAATGTTACAAAGCACTCTACTGGATGGGGCAGTGGTGAGGGAGGTGAGGTGGGCACAGCAATGATTGCCGCCTCCAGGACCCACCATCTGATTGGGGGAAAATGGCCATCAAGTAGGTCCCCATGGTAGAAGCTAGTGAAGAACTGTTCCTGAGAGCTGTTCCGTAACGTAATGATGGCTGTGAAATCAGGTCACTGTGGCATCAGGGGGAGTTTCTTTTGTGCTTGGAAGTAAATATTGAGCTGAAAAAGGCTGTTAATTCTGGCTACATAAGGCCATAGTTTCCCTTCTCTGAGATCCCAGCATCCACTATCATGTTCTCTGGGGCCCTTTCATGGCATGAGGGAGGTGGTATGTGGCTCCTCAGGACCCTCCAATGTACGTTACCATGTGTCTGAACTAGGAGAGACCATGGGTTAATAAAGTCAGACTAAAGACCTGGGGTTAAATACTAGCTCAGCCACTCACTAAATGTGTGATTTTTGCCTCTCTGCAGCTTACTTTTGTCACCTGGAACAAGTGGGTAGCCCTTGCTTTGCTGTATTTTTTGAGAATTAATTCTGTGAACAATCATTGAGTACTTACTATGCCTAGGTTATTGTGTTAAACTTGGTGGGGTGGCCACACAGAAAAATTAGACATTATCTTTGCTCCTATCTCTAACTCACATTCTAGTAAGGGAGAGAGAAAAATATATTACAAAATAATCTGATAAATGTAACAATAGATTCAGTGAATTAATAATTTCCTCAGAAACAGGATATGCAGTTTTCAATAAAATCTATTTTGCTTCTCCTACCTAAGTAGCAAAGAATCTGCAAAAAGATGAGATAAGGTAGTACGCCATAAGTGACCCACCTCTGGAGAGCTGTCAGGGCCATTTTGCACAAAGGCAAATGTCACTCATACTTCATAACTGAAAAAATTATTTTGAGTTCCTTAATAAGTCATAGGATAATCCTGAGTCATTTCAGGAAAGCTTAAATAATGTTTAAGGGTCAGAGAAGTATATAATATATTTAGGACAGTTTAAATCTGGAAACATTAAACTTTTCTTAATTTTTATTTTTTAAGATAATATTTGGCATACTGACGGAATTATAAAAATTATGTAGAATTATATTAATACATAAACTTTAAGGAACAAATGAAATCAAAATTTTACCATACATCCTTACAATGCATCCTTTAATGGCAGATTAAGAAACTTTCCTGTAGGAGCTCTGTTAGCCAACTTTCCCTTAACTCCCCCAAATAACGGAAACCCTCTGTTTCCTCTATACAATATTCTAATGGATACCCACAGCACAATGGAGGCTCTGAGTTATTGCATCTATGAATGTCTTCTACAACCAGTGGAGTTGTGTGCTTGTCAAGAGGGCTGGTTATCATAGCTATTAATTCCCGTTCATTTCTTCATTCAACAAGTATTATTTTCATACTTTATTAGACATTGCTTTAGATATTAGAGATACGGCAATGACCAATGTTCCTTGTATTCTAGTTGTATTTACTTTTGGAATTATGTAAACTGAATATTCCATCAACTAATGAAGAATAAATGTGAAAGGCCAACTGCTGATTTTCATGAAGATTAAGTGAAAAGCTATAGTGGGCATCTGTCCTTTGTGACTACCCAAGATCTTTTAAATTTCTTCTCTGTCTCAAGTTTCCATTTCCTTTGTGACATAGGTTCTACCAATCAGATGCCCCTGTAACTAATGTATATGGGGCTGAGTATACCTGTTTTGCTAACTAGGTGGTAGCAGAGAAAATCCTAGTGCTGTCACTGCGGAGCTGTCTGTGGTTGTAGAGTTGGCTATGGCGTCAGTTCCCACAGAAGACTGGTTCCATGGTATAACTCTTGGAAGCTTAGTCTGAGCCTGCTTCCACATCTTCCTCCCCAAATTCTGTAAGTCTCAAATCATTCTTAATAAATTCCTTTTCTTAATGAATTAGCCATAATAAATCCTGTTGTTTGCCACTAGGAAGCCCAACTATTAAAAATCCTCTGGAAAGACCTTAAAGTTCCTTTAAAAAGTTCCCAAAAAATCTAAACCCCCAAATTGTCAAGTTTTATGTGGGCAAAACAATTGTGCACACTGAGGGGATGATAAAAATCATTAGAAAGATTTCACACTTAGATTGCTTCATAATTTTTTTTACATTAGTTTTTGCTCCACTTTAAAGAAATCCAAATTGGAAATCAGCACTGTGGCACCGTAGGCATGGACACAGAATGATGAAGGCCCAATCCATGGACCCAAACACAATGAGAGGCCTTGATTTATCATCAAGAGATGAGAGGATGAATGCACATTGATAAGTTTTTATTTAGAATAAAATATTTAAATTATTTATGAATCTTTTTTTAAGATTCTTAATTGTAATCACTTTGATTCACCAACTTTGTATCAGCTCTGCCTTTTTTTTGGATGAAGAGACTTCTCGAATACTATGTGAGGCCTTTGAACTTGGCAGGCACCTCTACAAGGGGGCCTTCTCCTCATGCCCACCCTTGGCTTCTCTGGGTTTCCTCTACCTCTGGTCTAGAGGTTTGGTCTACTCACTTCTTCAAGCAAAGCCTTTTCAAACTCAAAGAAGTCCTTTCAAGCCTGCTGCCTCTGGGAGCTCCAAGCAAAGCTCTTTGGTTGGAATCTCTCTGAGGTTACTGTGAATTCAGGCTGTCTCTGATCAATGTTATTGAGCACTGCAGTCACAATGTCTGGTGTCACCCCTGTAGCCAATGGCCGTGCTCAACACTACTGTCTTCTAATACATCGACTACTTTTCTGATTTCCTCACAGCTTTTCCTTCTCTTGTTCCTGCCTCTCCTTCCTCTCCCTCCCCTTTACTCCCTGTCTTCCATCTTATTCTTTCTCCTTCACATTTGTATTTCCCACCCCCGCTTTCATCCTCTCCATCCTTCGCCATCCCCATTTCTATCTTTCTTCCAGGCCCAGGGAGACTGAGACCCTGGTATGAAATGAAGCAGAAATTGCCTACACTGAACACGGGCTCCCCTTTCTTTGGTGATCTTTGTTAAATAAGGTTTCTGGCCGATCTTTAGTGAAGGGCAGCAACCAGTTATTTATTTATTTATTTATTTGAGACAGAGTTTTGCTCTGTCACCAAGGCTGGAGTGCAGTGGCATGATCTCAGCTCATTGCAACCTCCACCTCTTGGGTTCAAGAGATTCTCCTGCCTCAGTCTCCTGAGTAGCTGGGACTACAGGCACACGCCATCACACCTGACTAACTGTTGTATTTTTGGTAGAGATGGGGTTTCACCATGTTGGCCAGGCTGGTCTCAAACTCCTGACCTCAAGTAATCCACTTGCCTCAGCCTCCCAAAATGTTGGGATTACAGGCGTGAGCCACCATGCCTGGCCTCAGTCATTTACTTTTGCCTAACAGTTAGCTAACATGGATTCCACTTGTGTAACCTTAAGAGCTTTACAGAAGACTATACAATATGCTTCTAAAATATTAAGTCATTATCTAGTCTTTTATAATATCAAACAAAAATATATTTGATTACAGGAAAACTTTAAACAAAGTAATTTTTACTTCAACTTCTGACATGAGAAGATAAATGCCAATGATGAATTTCCAGTCACTCAGGATGATTTTAGTATGCCAATTTCAATTAGCCTTTTTAAAGGATTGTAGAAACTAAATGTCATAGGGATTAAAAATGTACATACAAATCACTTGAAATTCTAGAAAAAAAGGTAATATTTTTTGGAAAATAAAGCAATCCTGGACTTGTGGCTTTTAAACATAATGCATATTACCATGTTATGTAGCAAACCAATGACATAGCAGACAACAGATGGGCGCTCAGTGTACATTTATTAAGTGGTTGTAGATCATTTCTGAGGTAGTGAAATTTGGCTTTTCTTGCCAGTGTTAAAATTAACCAACCTATTTTGAAAATTGAACTGTAGTTATAACATATATACCTGAAAGGAATGGCAGAGACACTAAACACGTGCCATCTGACTTCTAAATATATACACGTTTAGCACTCTGTATGCATTTTACATAGCCTCCCAATTTTATCTAATCCCTACATGTTTTCATCAAATATTTCTTAAGCCCTGCTATGTGCTATGCTAGATCTTGGAGACAAGAGAAATCTAAGACAAAACTAGATCCTGTTCTGGAGGAGTTTCTAATTTTACTGGGAAGATTGAATATGTTTAGAAAGAGGTGAATAAAATACAGTGTGAAGAAGCAAGAGATAACTAGGAAGACTTCCTGAAGGAGGTGAGCATTGATGGGGGCCCTGTGCTAGGTTTAGAAGGCCATGTATGACTCCTGAGGAGTAGAGGGGAGGCACATGGGCCTTCTGGGTGCAGAATAAGCAGAATAGAAAGAAGAGGCTGTATGGCACGTTCCAAGAGCAATAAAGAGACAAGTTTTGCTGTAGTGGAGTGTTCCTGTAGAAGAGAATGGGTCAGAAGGTTGGTGAAATGAGCAGATGAGATTCTGATTCTAGAAAGCCTTGAATGCGAGCCTAAGCAGATTGAACCTGATGGGTGTTTTCCAAAAAGCTTCTTTCAACACTAAGGCATTTCTGGAGATGACTTTGGTCATATCTTGGGGAAGGAGTGCAGGTAGAAGAGGTGTAAAGAGACAGAGCTCCAGGTGTTCCACTTTTGCATACCCTTAAGTTCATGCATAAAATTTTCTTTAGAAGAAGGGTTCTAGTACTAAAATAAACATGCAAAAACCAGTGCCCCAATCAATAAAAAGGCCTTAAAGATATTTGAGCCTATCCAATGATTAATAACATATAAAGATTCATCTTCCAATTCAGCTATGAGAAGGAGGCCAGCCAGGGGGCTTACTAGACTATTTTCAACTTTTTAAGTCCTTATAACCTACACCTGGCTGTTTTTACCAATGGACCTGGCATTTCAAAGCTGTAGATAATCCAAAAGTCAGTTATATTTGAGTCTGTGTTGTGTGGCCTGATCTTTCCACTGGCAGATTTACCTTCTTAATTGTGTTTTTCTTAGTCTAATACTGAAATTAATTTGCATTTCCCAAGCACACAATGGCTGGATAGTTGTGGAGAGGAGGAGGAGACTGAGAAGAAAAAATAAGGGAGAAGGGTTGTTGTCCAGGGAAGCTGGCTCAGGCTTTGGCATTCATCACACATCTTTGATCTGTGGACATCTCCTCACAAGTAATTGCAACGAACTATGGTATGGCCAATTGACCAGAATCACTTTTCAACTTGCGGTCAGTCTGCTAAAATAAATGTATTTATAAGTGGCTCCCTTTTCTTTTCTCGCCTCTTCCCTCCATATCATTTTTTCTCATGATTGTCTTTATCTTCTTAACAAAAACAAACATTTGACAATGTTTCTGGTCAGTGGAAGCCTTAGGCAATGTTGATGGATAAGCAAACATTTATATGATGAGTAGTGAACTCATTGTAGCCTACAATTAGGTCTAAGGTAAAACTTTTTTAAAAAATGTTTTGAATAGATGTTACATTTATATGGTCTCAGTTTAATATATACCTATAGGTATAGATACAGATATAGGAATGTGTGAAGGTAAAAGTGAACAATTTCCCTTCTGCCCTTGTCTAACATCTACATGATTCTCATGGCCCAGCATACAAATAACCACTATTATTAGAATAATTTCTCATATATCCTTCCACTTTATGCACATACAAACATATATTCATTTCCTCTTATTTACACATGGGGTTGCATACTACGCCTACATTATTGTGCATGTTATTTTCTCATATAACATATCTTAAAAACACTTCAGTGCAGAGGGAGCTTCCTTATTCTTTGTGTAGATCCAAATAATATTCCCATATGGTTGGGCAGCAGTTTATTTAACCAATTCCCTACTGAGAGACATTTGGGCTGTTTCCAATCCTTTTCTATCACAAACAATGCAACAATGAATATTTTTTGTGCACCTGTGCAAGTAGGTGTGTATATAAATTTTCAGAAGTAGAATTACTAGGTCAAAGAGAATATTTATTTGTCATTTTAATATAAATTGCCTTATATTTATATGTGCAATTTTCTTTTAAACCAGTTTTTCTGTTATAAAATGTTTTAAAGGTACTGTTTTGTAGAAAAACTACAAATCTTTTTAAGTTAATTTTGAGATGTTCCCTTACAAGCAGCAGTTCTAGAAGCTGCAGGGCTGATGTATCTTACAGAGCCATTGTATTAGAGGCCAGTGACAGCTGCAGTGATGATGCTGGAAGCCCTGTAGGAGGCAGAACAATACGTCCTTGAGAAAGTGGAAAGTTCTTCTGATGAAGAACAATTACTCAGAAGTTTTGTGAGTTCAGGTGGTGAAGCTTCTTAGTGGTGTCATTGGTCTTCCTTCCCTGGTGGTTGATTGAAAGGGTTTCCGGAATTCTCAGAACCCAATTTTGGAGAGCTGCCAGCATTATGATTAGTACAATGCCAGCATTATGATTAGTACAATGCCAGCTATATTTGTCTGCAGGAGCTTTTAACCTGGGATTCATGGACTGTTGAAGTCAAGGATTGGTGAACTTGGGTGGGAAAAAATACATTTTTGTTTTTACTAACCTCTATGTGAAATGAAACATTTTCTTCAATAACAACTGTAAGTAAAACCAGAGTAGAATTGGCAGTACCTGTGACTTTGTTACTAAAATAAATGAAGGATGTAGCCATGTCACACTATAGTCATTGCAAATATTCTAAAACATCATTTACATTCATCATCATGTCAAATGGTGAAGTTATTTGACCCACTCCTAGTGTCCTAAAATTTATACTTGGAATCTGTTTTAATCAGGTATGGTAAGATAGCAGACACAGACATGATTTTCATGAAGGAAGAGGTTCATACCCACAGGTCTCTAGAAACTGGAGGCCCAGTAGGCCACACAGAGCCACATGGGAAGCACTGGGATTGGTCAGGAGGCAGGAGAGCCACATGGGAAGCACTGGGGTTGGTCAAGAGGGGAGAGCATGGCCCATTAAAGGAAAACCCCTTTGTTGTAGTTTTAATAGGAAGAAAGAGGTGAAGCAGCATGGGTGTGCTGAGTAAGCTAAGATTAGATAGTCTGAATGATTTTGGTGGACTCTGGGCTATAGAGGTGGTCCCTCCTTATCTGGTACCTGGCTATGGGGTAATTCAGGACAGAGAGAATATTGGCTGGGTGAGAGAGAGCTTGATAAAGGAGAAGGTTGGGGCTGTGGGCTCTGAATTGATTGTAATCAATCAAGTCAAGTATATCAAGTATATTCAAGTATATCAAAGGTGTGTTTGTAGGAGGGTAATTTGCTCTTTCTAGGAATTAGCTAGCTCTGGGAGGTACAGTCTCTCCATGATCAAGGCTTCAAATACCAGCGCATCAAGCACACAGAAAATTTTAAAAATCGTCAATACAGCTAGATAGTTATTTTATGTGTTGATAAATAAGCACAGGTACTACATAATCATAGTTGTGCTTTAAAAGTATTTTAATAACTATATTCCATTCTTATTAGCTTCCTTTGTAAACCCATGTAATTTATTTTCTGTCTTCAAAAACATTATCCTGAAAAGGATACTGCTATGGTTTGTATGTTTTGTTCCCTCCAAATTTCATGTTGAAATGTGACCTCTAATGTTGGCCATGAGCCTAGAGGAGATGTTTGGGCCATGAGGGTGGATCCCTCGTAAATGGTTTGGTGCCATCCCCTTGGTTATGAGTGAGTGAGCCCACAACTTTCCCTCTCTCTATATTACTCTCTCTCTCTCTTTCTGTCTCTCTCTCATTATGTGACACACTGCTCCTCCTCACCTTCCCACCTTCCCACCATGATTGTAAACTTCCTGAGGCCCTCACTAGAAGTAGATGCCGACCCTATGCTTCATATACAGCCTGCAGAACTGTGAGCCAAATAAACTTCTTTTCATTATAAATTACCCATCCTCAGGTATTCCTTTGCAAATCTGACTAACAGAGATACCATGGTCTTCATCAAATGGCTCAAATGACATAAAGCTATCAAGAGAGACAGTTTCTTACTTGACTAACTCTT